>NC_000015.10:27216267-27519298 GCF_000001405.40 Homo sapiens | reverse complement strand
ATCCCCCGGGGGCTTGAAAGAGGGTGCATGCTTAATACATTGTACATTTTCTCCCCAAAGCATCTCCATTGATTTCTTGTCTAGGCCACCTCTTGCTGAGATTATCTCCTCATCCTCATCCTCCCCATTTGAATCCTCCACCCCTTTAGCCTGCTGGATTCAGTCATCCAGTGCCCGAAATCCACCATGTCCAGAACTGAACTATCACCTTCCCCGTGCCAATACCTCCTCTTCTTTCAGGTCCATCTCTCACTTGTTCAAAGAGGAAACCAAAAAGCCACCTCTGACTCCTCCTTTTCTCTTCTCAATGGTTCTATATGATCCATTGCTCTCAAATCCTTTCCCCATCTAGTCCAAGCTACCACCTTCTGCCATAGATCCAAGCTTATCTCCTAATGACCAGTCCTTTTTGCTCTAAATCATTCTACCTACTGCCATCAAAAGGAACTTTGTAAAACACTAGTATCATTTTAGCCTTCTCCTTATTAGCTGCCCTTGCACAGCTGTGACACTTTTATGTGGTCCACATCATTCTGCATTAAACACTCCTTGCCCTGTGCTCTCTACACTCTTGGCATCTTGTCTACCCAGGGCCTCAGACTTGCCAAAACCCTTCCCACACTCCTCTGAATTCCTTCCCATCTGCATAGCATGCTCTTCTTTTTATTTCCCCAGCATCTAGATAGTTCCTATTCACTCACTTAGCTTAAAAATCACTTACTTCCCCAGGAAATCTTCCCTGACACCTTCCCATAAATTGGATGGATTTGTTTCTATAATTACTGGTACAATATCTATCTTAAAACCAATAAACTGGTTGGTTTATAGAATATGTCTCTCTTGTTTACCAACGTTGGCTAACCATAATAAATTAATTAATATTTGCTGAATGAAAAAGACTATCACTGATGTCCCATTTTTTTTTTTTTGAGACAGAGTTTCACTCTTGTCACCCAGGCTAGAGTGCAATGGCACAATCTTGGCTCACTGCAACCTCCGCCTTCCAGGTTCAAGCAATTCTCTTGCCCCAGCCTTTCAAGTAGCTGGGATTACAGGCATGTGCCACCACGTCTGGCTAATTCTTTTTTTTTTTTTTTTTTTTTGTATTTTTAGTAGAGTTGGGGTTTCACATGTTGATCATGCTGGTCTCGAACTCCTGACCTCAGGTGATCCACCTGTGTTGGCCTCCCAAAGTGCTGGGATTACAGGCATGAGCCACCACGCCCAGCCCAAAGTCCCATTTTTACTTAAAAGATTGACAGGGAGATGGTATTGGTCTCAGATGAAAACTATGCTCCCAATAAATTAGAATTTTTTGCAGGATGAAATATTCTGTTGTAGCAATATTTAGAGTTGTTGATAGAAACATCAACTTTGATATCATTTACCAAGAAACATTTAAAAATTTAAACAAATTAGTATTTCAGTACAAAGGAATTAGGATGATTAGCCTGAAGCAATAAAAGAGCACAAGTATATATTTTAATGTAATGTGAATGCTAAAATTACATCATTTCCTAAGGAAATGTGATTTGAATTATGTGTGATTCTTAATGTCTATTAATTTTTGGCATAAAATTGCAATCAAAACCCTAGAGGAATAAACCAACAAGCTAACATACAGAAAAACAAAGGACAATAAATCACCCTAGGAGTTATGCAGAGTCCAAATGGAACATCCAAAGAGTAATTTCATTTATCACCACTGCAGGTTACTGACAAGATAAACAGAAAGACAACTCCAGACAAGACGCACAATTTATTACAGCAAATCCACCTGCTTTCTCCCTGCCTGGGGTGAGAGGAGCTCCCCATGCCTATGCTCAGTATACTCCCTTGCCTAATTCAGAAGTCTACCTGGGCATCCATGGTTATTAGCTTCCATGGTCATCCTACTGAGGCTCTGCCTTTCCCAGACATGGGTGCTTTGCAGGAGGGAGGCAGTAGCACCAGTGAAAGTCCCAGTGTTGGGTGCATGACTGGAGGTATGCACAATATGGAGGTGTGCACGATACTGGCAATGACGGAGGAGGCAGCATCAGACAAAGTCCCAGTGCTGGGCACAATATGGAGGTGTGCATGATACTGGCAATGACGGAGGAGGCAGCCTCAGACAAAGTCCCAGTGTTGGGCACATGCGTGGAGGAGTGCATGATACTGGCAATGATAGAGGCGGCACTAGTCAAAGTCCCAGTGCTGGGCGCATGCATGGAGGTGGGCACGATGTTGTCAGTGATGGAGGAGGCAGTGGCACCAAAGTCCTAGTGCTAGGCGCATGACTGGAGGTGTGCACGATGCTGTCAGTGATGGAGGAGGCAGCAGAATGACCCATGAAGATGACTTCTTCCTCAGCTCATATTCAGAGGAAAGTCAGGACCTGAAACTTGTTATTTCCAATCCCAAATACTTGTTTTATTTATTTCATTAGATAGCAATCCATTCTCAATAATTGCTTTTTAGCATTAAACATAGAAATAAAATTTGCCCCAGGATGATGTTTTGAAACGTCACAGTGGACTAGTTGGGGCTTTTCTATTTACTTACTTATTCATTTATTTTAGAGTTAGTAAGTTCCATATCTGGTAGTTCCCACCACCAGAGAGAGACTGACATGCATTTATTTGCTCTCAGTGATTCCATGTTCACATTCTCAGAAAGCCTCTGACACGGTCAATTTCAGACAGGTCAGAATCAGATAAATAAAACCAGTGGTGTAGAAGATTGTATTGGCTTAGATTAGATTGCTGCCCATCTTGGACAAATCAACTTCAACTGAGGCAGGTTCAGGTAAGAACATGGCAGCTCCCAGGCTGGCTGTGGAAGGAGGAGCAGTTCCCAGAAGATGGGGCTTTATCCCCAGAAGAAAGATAGGTTGACGGGTAGGAATAACAGAGGTAATCTGGCTTGGAAACACCAAAGGAAGTAAGTGTACAAATTTTCTTTGTCGTATCATTTAATGACTCTATATTGAAGTATATTTCCATGTTTCTCAGAGAACATAAAATTATTCTTTATTCACACTTCATACAATTAGTTTATTGTAAAATACAAGGACATGGTACATTTAAAGACCTTTTTCTTCATTTTACTAAACTTTATGTTTGCAAAATTATTATTTTAATGAATCAGTAGGTAGATAATAAATTATTATTGAAAAAGGAAGTTGGTAGGGGTGTTTTTTTTTTTTTCTGAAAATGCTAACCGGCTGCTAGATAACATCTTGTGGGCCACATTAATAAAATACCAAATATATAAGCAAATTTACAATTTTTAAATTCTAGGTTTCTGTTTTGAAATTTGACAGCAACATAGCATCTTATGCTTTAAAAGTCCAGTCGAGTTTCAGAAAGAGATCTTCACAGAAAATTTAAAAAAGGAAAACCCTTCACAGAATGTATTTCTAATGTATGAGCTCTAAAGATGTTCCCACCTGAATTTATCATCCCATTTAATTGGTAAGTTTGGAAGTTCATATAGATATTTTCAATACTCCAACTCCTCTACGGACTAGGTGAATCTTTTGTAATTGCATTATTCCCAGAGTATACTATTTCAAAACCATTATTTACTCATGCCATAGATACCACATTTCTTTATTGCATCTCTGGCACCAAAAACATCCTTTGAGTCTCCTTTAAACGTTGTTATTTCCCTCCATCTCCTCTCTTTCTCATGGCCATCTCTTGCCCATCCTCCCAACCCCACCAACTTACAGATACATCCAGCCTGGTTTCCTTTCAAAATTGCCTAAGCTTAATACTCTCTGAAAAGCCACCTGAGGCCTGGAGATTAGCAAGCAATGCTCAGCCAAAAAGCCTAATGTTCTCCATCTTATTCTTCAAGTTTGCCCTGAGGTGACTTGTCTTTTTCTTCTCTTTATTACATTTGTTTATAAAAAGAAGTTCCAGCCGGTCGCGGTGGCTCAACCTGTAATCCCAGCAATTTGGGAAGCCGGGTTAGGTGGATAACCCGAGGTCAGGAGTTCAAAATCCACCTGGCCAACATGGTGAAACCCCGTCTCTACTAAAAATACAAAAAGTTAGTTGGGTGTGGTGGTGGATGCCTGTAATCCCAGCTACTTAGGAGGCTGAGGCAGGAGAATCTCTTGAACCTGGGAGGCAGAGGTTGCAGTGAGCCGAGAACTATCTCGGAATGCCACTGCATTCCAGCCTGGGCAACGAGAGCAAAACTCCGTCTCAAAAAAAACAAAAAAATTAAGAAACATTAAAAAAGAAGTTCCTAATTTTAGGGAAATTAAATTTATCAACCTTTTATTTTACCATTCATACCATTTGTGTCATTCTTGAGAATTTGTTCCTTAATAACCCAGGACCATTAAGTTCCCTTACACAAGTTTTGCTTTTCTCCTAGTTTTCCTTCTATGCAATTACTTCTTCTCCAATTCAAGTTTTCTGAATTCTGTGATTAGTGGCTACACCATCATTTATTGCCACTTCCAGTCATCTGCAGGCCCACCTCTCTTTTATTTGTGTGTTCGTATCTGTATGAATCTGTGTGTGCATTTTGATTCTGCCACATAACCACACTGTCTTAATCAGCATAACTGTGGCAGACACACCCTAAAGTGACCCCAGTTAGTCATATAGTTGTATTGTTCCTTCCTCGTGAGTGTGGGCAAAACCTGATTTGGTTTCACTTAATGGATCAACTCCCTTGATTGAATTTCTTTATACGGCAAAGATGAATAAATTTTGCAAATGTAATTAAGACCCAAAATCTGTTGATTTCAAGTTAATCAAAGAAAGATTATCTTGGGTGGCCCTGACTTAATCAGGTGAAAGATGTTAAAAGAAAGACTGAGCCTTTCATGAAGAGAGAGACTGTCCTCTGGTCTCTACAGCTGCGAATAATAATTCTGTCCACAACTTGAGTTTGGAAATTGATTCTTCTGCAGTCAAGTCTCCAGATGAGACTGAAGCTCAGCCAACTCCTTAATTGCAGCCCTAAGAGCCTAAACAAAGTTCCCCGCTAAGCCACACCTAATTCACAGAAATTATAAGGTCATAAATGTGTTTTGTTTTAAACTACTAAGTTTGTGGCAATTTGTTAAACTGAAATGGAAAACTAATACAATAGCATTGGTCACAAGTACAGAAGCTGCCAATCTTTGTATTCTTCTCCATGGATGCCTTGGCTCTTCTTCGGTCTTTGTGCTTATAAAATTGTAGAATCAGTTTAAAAATTTTTCATAAACACTGTTGGTATTTTGATTGGAATAAATTATGCATCCTCATTTATTTAGATAATCAGTGTAGCTGCCTGAAAGTACAGCAGTTAAGAAAAAGTTTTTGTCATCATGAAGTTTTAGCTATTTCAATTTGCATATCCTTCAATGAAATATTGAATTACTTCCATAAAGCTTTGGCAAGTCTTTTGTTAGATTTAGTTCTTGATACATGTATATTTCTGTTGCTATGGATGATGTATTTAAATTAAATTACATTACATTTATATTTAAGTTCGTGTTTTAATTTTTTTCTTTCTTCCTGATTTGTTATAACTTTATTAACATGTGTCTCGTGTCCTGTTTTCCTGGGACCTGGTTGGCAGATTCACGTCTTCCTTCATTTCAGGATTTTTTTTCCAATACAGCCTTTAAACAGTTTGTCCTATTTGTTTTATTCTTTTCCTCGTCTCACAAACATTAATTATGTGTTTGTGAGTACTCTGTTTGATTTACACATCTATCATTTTTTTCTTACTATTCACTGAGTGCATTCCTCGGTATTACTAAACCTGTTCTTCATATTCCTGACAATATTATCAGCAGGTTAGATTCTGTAACAGCTACTTGTAATGTGGCTTTCATTTTTTTTTTCTTTTTTTTTGAGACGGAGTCTTACTCTGTCTCCCAGGCTGGAGTGCACTGGCGCCATCTTGGCTCACTGCAAGCTCCGCCTCCCAGGTTCACGCCATTCTCCTGCCTCAGCCTCCCGAGTAGCTGGGACTACAGGCGCCCACCACCACGCCTGGCTAATGTTTTTGTATTTTTTTAGTAGAGACAGGGTTTCACCGTGTTAGCCAGGATGGTCTCGATCTCCTGACCTCGTGATCTGCTTGCCTCGGCCTCCCAAAGTGATGGGATTACAGGCATGAGCTACTGCGCCTGTCCGTGGCTTTCATTTTTTATGATTTTATTTCTTCTCCTTCCCTCCCCCAAATATCTCCTGGCCTGCTTGATATCTCCTCTCATCTTTTCATCTCTGTCTATGTTTCTTTTATCCTCTTTTGAGTGACTTCAGTTTTGAGCTAAAATTTTCTTCACTTGGTCCAAGATCATAGGGAAGTATTTGTTTGGAATGTTCTTAATATACATGTCCTCCATCAGCATTTGTAGTGTTTTACGTTTTGTCTTTCTTTGGAATCTCTGCATGGGTCCCATTTGCATTTCTAACTAAAGTTGACAGGGGGCACTTTTTGGAGGTCAGCCCTAGGGTATGAATAGTGCCTGCAGGGGTCAACTCAGCACAAATGGGTTGCCTCAGCAGGTTTCTGGAGCCCCTGGCCATCTACTCCCCTGGGCTTTGCCCTTGAGCAGTGTATCTGAGCCCTGTTTGTGAGTTCTTTTCTTCTCCACAACCTCCATATGTGAGTGTGCCAGTGGCTCAGCCTGGAGACCTTCTCCCTTCTATTCTTTAATTTTCTAGAGGATCTCAACTAGTTGCAGGAGTTTAAATACTATCAGTGCTTTGCATAGTGTTGACTACTTTCGGGAACTTTAGACTCATCTACCCTTGCATCATCTCAATGTGTCCATACAGGTATAACAGGCATTTCAAAATCAACAGGCCACGTGAGTCCTGCTTCTCGTGCCTCCTGCTCTGTAACAAGCAGCTCCACCTGCAGTGCACTGTGCTCAACAAACATTCACTCTGTCCTAGTTGCTCTGACCTTCAACCTCACAGTCAGCCTTTCTTCTTCTCTTATCCTCATATTATATATTTACTCCATAAAAATGCATTAAACATGCTCAGATTCCAACCACATTTTACTACTCTAATGCACCAATGACATCGCACTTGATTATTGTAATAATAATAATACAATATAATATTATTGCAATATAATAATAATTGTAATCGTTGCTTAATTTGTCCTTCTGCAGATTATTTTCTATCTAACAGCCAACATAATCCTTTTAAAATAGGGGTCAAATCAAGCCTTTCCAAGCTCACTCCAGGGACTTTCTATCTCATTGAGATTAATACTAAGAGCGTGGCTTGGACTACAAACTCCTTCATGGTTTGGGCTCCCTCCCAGTCAAGGAAACAGCTCTTGCCCCACTGTCCCTTCTGCTGTCCCCCACACACTTGATCTTGCTCCCTTGCTCTTGCATTTCTAGTTGCTAGAACGTTCCTCCCACAAATCTCCAGCGTTGCTTACTTCCTCACTGACTCAGTTGTCCAAATGTGACCCTATTAGATTATTGACTACCTGTGTAAAGTAAGAACGGTTTGCCATTGGAGACACAATGGATCTATGAACAGTGGGAATCTGTTACCCCTTTCCCTGCTCTGTTTCTCTCTGTAGCACTTATCCTCTTGAAATATATGAGATGCATATTTACTTGTTTATCATCTATTCCCTCTACCCCATAGAATACAAGTTCCGTGATGACACTTCGTCCGTTTTCTTTGCTTCCTGAGCTCTTGTAGGCCTTCTGTGAATGTTTGTTCAATGATCTTTTAATCTTCTCATCATCATACCTCCTGGGATTTTGCGTTGAGCAGTATATCAGTGTGGATTTAAAAAGATCTTTATAAGCTACAGGGGTAGGTATAGTGATGTAGTGTTTCCTTTTCCATGGTTAGTAGCAGTATAGCTAATCTCTTTTGTAACTCATGTATTAATTGCCTAATTCATGGAATGGGCCTGTCCCTTCTTCAGCATCACCAACACCTCCCTTTCGCTATCAGAGGGGACACGGCTCAGGGATGCTCCTCTAGACTGCATCCTCCTTGCCCCAGCCAGCTCTCACACACATATACACGGTGTTAGGTAGGTCAGAAGTTTCTTGAAGGGCCCATCTATTGTTTACAAAACTCTGCACCTTACAAAAGAATTGTAGATAATTCCATGCGCTTTTGGTGCTTCTTTTAATTTAGTCACTAATTTACCTTGCTCCTTTTATTCCTTGTATTGGCAGATTTGTGGTTACTTCCTACAGTCAATGATAATTGTTTTTTCTTCCTTTTCTTTTCACTTGTGTTCTGGCATTCTATTGTTTCCAGAGAGGAATGTGTGGTAAAAATCTTCTCTATCGCACACTACATCATTTTTAAAAGAAGAATCACACAAGTGTTTTTATATATATAAAGAGTTGAGTTTATACCCACATCCTTACCATTCACTTTTATGACCACTGCAAGAAAAAAATATTTAAAGTATTACATATTTTGAAACAAAAAGTGCTAATTTTTATTACAATCAGTTTTTAACTTCATGCCCGTAATCCTGTTTAACCGTAAAGTAACGGATAGTTTTTAGAACAAGTAATTCTTGGCCAAATTGAGGTATAAATATAATGTAAAAAGTTAATCAGTTAATATGATTGTCTACATATGAGGTGCTGGAGGAAACTTTAGGATAATTACAGGCACCACCAAATATAATATAATTCAGTAACTTTATTCAGCTAGAAATTTCTATCTGATCACTAAATGCTGAGTCTGAACACCACCATCTTTTTAAATGGAGGATAAAGGAGAATCCTGAGAAAGCCTCCCCATGGGGCCGCCTGGGAGAGGATGACAGAACTCATTGTGAGAACTCCACCCACGTCCACATCATTGTGTCCCCTGTGAAGCAAATGTCTCAGTACACAGGGGGAAGGGCAACAAAAACTGGTGCAACAGGGGAATGGTGGAAATCTACTGCAGCTGTGTGTATGTGAGTAGAAAAGCAAGCAAGCACTACCCCTGGGGGAGAGATGGCAGTACCGTTGGGCCCAACATCATTACATCTGCAGAAGGCACAGGAACACTTGGGAAGGTCACACTCTAAGAACTAGGTTTACAAATCATGCCTAAGACTGAGCCTTACTCCAAACATAGATAACATCTCACCATCCCTTGATCCAACCACCCACACGCAACAAGCATAGAATGAAAACAGCAGTGTAGTCCAGGTGGTGACTGCAAGAGACAGATGTTCCCTGGGAAAAGTGCAAGGGGAAGAGTCAAAACTGAGCCACAGGACCTGGAGTCAAGCAGATAGTCAACTTCAAACCTGGCTTAACTTCTAACTACATAAGCAAGAACCCTCACACTAAAAGCAGGGCAAAATGAAAGGCATGCTTATTTCTAAGCATACATAAAATGTATCTGAGTATCTACTATTCTATAAAACATGTCTAGCTTCCAGATAAAATTATGGGACATACAAAAACCAAAAATAGCAGCCTGAAAAGGCAAAATAATTACTAAGAACAGAACCAGATAGGAAAGAGGGTATTTAAATAATTATTTAATATGTTAATGGCTCTAATGGAGAAATAGGCAACATGCAAGACCAAAGAGGTGATTTGGTCAATCAATGGAAATTAGCATAATGGAAATTAGCAGATCAATGGAAATTATAAGAAAGAATCTAATGGAAGTACAAGAAATCAAAAATGTAGTAAGAGAGGTTAAGCATGCTTTTGATAGGCACATTAGTAAACTTATCATAGCCAAAGAAAGACCCAGTGAGCTTTACTATAGGTGAGTAGAAATTAGCCAATCTAAAACAAAAAGAGAAATATGAGTTAAAAAATCAGGACAGAGAAACCAAGAGCTGTGAAAAAATAACAAACTGTCTAATATACATATTATTTGAATTCCAAAAGAAGAAGAGAAAACAATATATTTGAAGAAATAATGGCTGAGAATTTTGCAAAATAATGACAGACACCAAAGTACAAATCCAAGAGGCTCAAATATCAGCCAGAATCAAAAGAAAACAAACAAATAACAAACCCCCCAACTACATATATCATATTAAAAGTGCTGAAAACCAGATACAAAGGGAACATTTTGGAAGCAGCCAAGGGAAAAAAAGATACATTTTTGCTTTTTGCTTTTTCCCTCACCAGAGGAGCAAAAAGGATAAGATTCACAGCAGACTTCTCTTCAGAAATCATGCAAGAAAGAAGACAATGGAATAAAATCTTTAAGTTTCTGAAAGAAAAAGTAAACCCACAGTGAAACTCAGTAAAAACACTTTCCAAAAGTGAAATAGACATAAACAGTTTCTCAGAAAAACAAAAACTGAGGGAATTCAGCCGGGCACGGTGGCTCAAGCCTATAATCCCAGCACTTTAGGAGGCCAAGGCGGGCGGATCAGGAGGTCAGGAGATTGAAAGCATCCCGGCTAACACGGTGAAACCCCATCTCTACTAAAAATACAAAGAAACAAAATTAGCTGGGTGTGGTGGTGGGTGCCTGTGGTCCCAGCTACTCGGGAGGCTGGGGTGAGAGAATGGCGTGAACCTGGGAGGCAGAGTTTGCAGTGAGCCGAGATCACGCCACTGTACTCCAGCCTGGGTGATGGAGCGAGACTCCATCTCAACAACAACAACAACAGCAACAACAACAAAAACAAAACAAAACAAAAAAAACTGAGGGAATTCATTGGCAGAAGATCTAATCAACGAGAAATGGAAAGGAAGTTCTTCAGAGATATGGAATATAATATATTCAGAAACTTGCATACATGCAAAGAAATGAAGAGTGTTGGAAATGTAATAAATGAGTGTATTTATGCTTTGATAATATTGACTTTAAAAGTTAACTGTTTAAAGCAAAAATATACAATATATTTTATGTTTATAGCATAAGAAAAAATGAAATGTATAATAGCAATTATACAAGAGATGGAAGAAAGTAATAGGGAATATACTGTTAAAAGGTTTTTATACTACATATATATCAGCATAATACTATTTGGAGGTCAACTCAGATTATTTAAAACTAAAAAGTTTTAAAAGATTGTTATACACAATAAGTCTAAACAGAAAACAAAATTGGAGCATTGTTAATTAAATGTAATCAAAGTAGCAAGAGGGAAAGGAAACAACAGCTGGAATATGTTTTTACAAATGAGAGCGAGATCGTATATTTTAATCTGACCTTATCAATAATCACTTTATATGTTAATGATCTAAACATCCCAGATGAAACACACAGGTTGTCAGCTTGGATAAAAATCAAGACTAAACTATATGCTGCATAAAAGCCACTTTAAGTATAAAGGCATATTTAGGTTAAAAGTTAAAAAATAGAGAAAGGAATACCATGCAACATTAAGCAAAAGAAAGCTGGAGTAGTTACATGAATTTTGAACAGAGTAGACTTCAGAACAAAGGTTATTTTTAGGAATAAAAAGGAATGTTACATAATGATAAAAGGATGGATTCTCTAACAGAACATAATTTTTAATGTGTATGTACTTATCAACAGAGATTCAAAATATATGATGCAAAAACTGACAGATCTGAAAGAAGAGACAGACACAAAGAAATAAATATAGTTGGAAAATTTAATAATCTTTTCTAAGTGATTGAAAGGACAAACAAACAGAAAATATGTAAGGATATGGAAGACTTGAACAATCGTATCAACCAGTTTGACATTATTTATAATTATATAATACTCCAGGCAACAAAACAGCAGAATACATATTCTTCTGAAATACATATAGAATGTTCGGCAAAATAGAACATATTCTGGGCCACAAACCGAAGCTTAACATATTTATTTGTTTATTTATTTATTTATTTATTATTTTTATTTTTTAAGATGAAGTCTCACTCTGTCACCCAAGCTGTAGTGCAGTGGTAGGATCTTGGCTCACTGCAGCCTCTGCTTGCTGAGTTCAAGCCATTCTCCTACCTCAGCCTCCTGAGTAGCTGAGACTACAGGCTCACACCACCACGCCTGGCTAATTTTTGTATTTTTAGTAGATATGGGGTTTCACCATTTTGGCCAGGCTGGTCTTGAACTCCTGACCTCAGGTGGTTCACCTGCCTCAGCCTGAAAAATACTGGGATTACAGGTGTGAGCCATCGTGCTGGGCCAAAACTTAACATATTTAAAAGAATATAAATCATACAAAGTAAGTCCTTAGACTATAGTACAAATAAACTAAAAATAAGTAACAGAAAGATAACTAGAAGTTTTCCAAATATTTTACAATTAAACAACACATTTGTAGGATTTTATGGGTCAGGAAGAAAATCTCAGGGGAAATTAAAAATATTTTGAACTGAAAATTAAAATACAATTTATGAAAATTGTGTAACACAAGTAAAAACTGCATAGATGCACATTTATAGCATTAAATGCTTATATTGCAATATTGCAAAGAATAAAAGACCCTTGAATCAGTAATCTAAGCTACCACCTTAAGAAACTAGAAAAAAAATAGTCACTTTAGTGAAAAAAAACCAGAGAAATGAAAAAAATTAAGATTATAAAAGAAGTTAGTGAAATTTAAAAGAAAAAAAAACCCAAAAGTTGCTTTTTCAAAAAGTAAATAAAATTAATGTATTAGTTTTTCTACTGCTACATTAACAATTGATTGCAGATGTAGTGTTTTAAGAAAACACTCATTATTATGTCACAATTCCATGGGTCAGTCATCCAGGCATGATATTACTGCATTCTCTCCTTAGGGTCACAAAAGGGTGAAATCCATATACCAGCAGGGCTGCATTCTTTTCTGGGGGCTCTAGGGAAAAATCTCCTTCTAATATCATTCAGGTTTTGGCAGAATTCAGCTCCCTGTGGCTACAAGATTGAGTCCCTTGTTTCTCCACTGTCTGTTGGCCAGTGGTTGCACTCAGCTCCCCCTTTCCTTTCCATATGGCAGCGTTCTTATTTAAGCCAGCAAGACCATATCCAATTCTTCTGGTGCCTCAACTCTCTGAGTTCCCCTTCTGGAACCAGTCACAGAAGACTCCATTTGTAAAGGGCTTGTATAATCAATTAAAGCCCACCCAGATAATTTCCATGTCTTAAATTCAACTGTCTCATATAAATAACTTAGTCATGGGAGTCAAATCCATCAAGTTCACAGTGTGAAAGATTATGTAGCAGGTGGGAAATCCTGGAGGCCATTTTAGAATTCTCCCCATTGCAACTGATAAACCTCTAGACAGTCCGAGCAAGAGAAAGAGATAAGACACAAATTACCAATATCAGGAATGAAGGTAGTGGGGCAACATTACGGGAAGGTAAGGGAACAATGCTGAATGCATAACACTATGCCAATAATTCTACAGCTTAGGTGAAATGAACATATCCCCTGAAAAACACAAACTATTAAGACT
Source organism: Homo sapiens (assembly GCF_000001405.40). Taxonomy (NCBI): domain Eukaryota; kingdom Metazoa; phylum Chordata; class Mammalia; order Primates; family Hominidae; genus Homo; species Homo sapiens. Next base: position 27,505,968 of record NC_000015.10, on the reverse strand, counting down.
CACTCAAGAAGAAATAAATAACCTGAATAAACCTATATCTATTAAGTTACATTTTAATCTTTCTAAAAATACCATTCAAATCACAGAAGGCTTCACTAGCAAATTATACCAAGGATCTAAGAAAGAAATAGCACCAATTCTATGTAATCTTTTTTCTCAGAAAATTGAATAAAAGGGAACTATACCCAACTTACTCTATTAGGCCTTAATAGCAAAACCAGACACAGGTATTTTCTGAAAACCACAGGCTAATATACTTAATTAATGTAGACACAAAAATCACCAACAGAATAATAGCAAATTGAATCTAACTAAACACACACACACCACATGACAGGAATACAAGGCTGGTGACATTCAAAAATCAATCAATGTAACTCAACATATTAACACACTAAAGAGGAAACACAATTATTCAGAAAATGTAAACAAATTTTTTGATAAATTGAAACATCCATTTATAATTAAAAGCTTCTAGCAAACTGGGAATAGAAAGGAACATCATTAACCAATAAAGAACATCTACAGAAATACTACAGCTAATATTATCTCCTTAATTGATTACAGGCTAGACTTAGTGGCTCAGTACTAACAAGTAGAAAATTGCAAAGAAAATATTGTAACTTTACAGTGGGGAAATCTGGCAGACAGCACTTTAACCAAGTGATCAAGGTTAACATCACCAGTAATAAGTTATATTGGCATCATGTAATCCCTATGTGATACAATGAGAAGTGTCTAACATGAGAAAACAGACAAGACCAAGTTGAGGACATTCTACAAAATATTTCACCAGTAGTGACCAAAAGTGTCAAGGTCATAAAAAAAACAAATTATCATAGATTTGAAGAGACTAAAGAGATGTGAAAACTAAAAGCAACGTGGTATCAATAATTGGATCCTAGAACAGAAAAAATACGTTAGTGGAAAAACTGGTCAAGTCTGAATAGAGACTGTAGTTTAGCTAAGAGTATTGTGGCTATGTTAATTTTTTAGTTTTGATAACCTCGCTATGGCAAAGTAAAATATTAACATGAAGGGAAAGTGAGCAAAATGTAAATAAATTCTCTTGTAAATCAAAAATTATTTCAAAGGAGAAATTTTTAAAAACCTGTTAACTTGTAAGCTTATACTCAGCAAATATATGTTCAAAGAATGAAGGCAAAATAAAGACTTTCCTAGACATGAAAGCTGAATTGATCACTAGCAAACCCACACTACAATAAATGTTAGAGGAAATCTTTGTTGGGGCGGTGGTGGGGGAAGAAAAAAAAAGACACCAAATGGAAATCTGGATCCACACCAATGAAATGTCAGTCCCGGAAATGGTAACTACATAGGGAAATAAAGTTTATTTTCATCCTATTTAAATCTCTTTAACAAAAATAGTAACTATGTAATATGATATTTAACATATGCAAAAGTAAAATGTATAATCACAATAGCACAAAGTTTGGGAATGGAGAAATATAAGTGTACTCTTGTAAAATTCTTACATCATACATAAAGTGGCAAAATATTTAAGGGTACCCTGTGGTAAGTTCAAGATGTATACAATAAGCTCTAAAATAAACTGCTAAAATAACAAGTCAAAAAGTTTTATCTCAAAAGGTAACTACGAAGATAAAATGGCATCATAAAATATGTTCAATCAATATGAAAGAAGGTAGAAGAAGAGGAAAAATGTGAACAAAAAATAGACGAGAAGTAGAGGAGAAAAAGAACAAAAGATGAGAAAAAGAGGAGAAATAGAACAAAAAAGGAGGATCACAGATTAAAACCAAAAGTGTCAATAATTACATCAAATTTAAATTGTGCAAATACCCAAATTAAGTCATAGTTTTTCAATTTGGATATATAAGCAAGACCCAACTACAGGTTACCTATAAGAAAAAAAGTTTAATAATAAAGACAATAATAGATTAAAAGTAAAAGGATTAAATAAAAGTTTTACTGTGGTAATAATAATCAAAGGAAGCTCAAGAGCCTATATTAATCTGGAAGTAGATTTTAAAGCAAAGAACACCACAACAGATAAAGAAATTCATTTCCTAATGAAAAAGGGTCAGTGCCACAAGATAAAAAATCACCCTAAACATTCATGCACCTAATAATAGAGCTTCCAAATTCATGAAATAAAAATGGACAGAATTGCAAGGAGAAATAGATGAATCTACAATTATGCTTAGTGATTTCAGTACTTCTCTCTCAATAAATGCTTGAACATGCAGACAGGAAATAAGTGAGAACACAAAAGATTTGAACAACACTAGCAATCAACTTGAGCTAATTTGCATTTATAGAACACTCTACCCAATGTCAGCAGAGTACACATTCTTGGTATGTGCACATCAAATAGACTGTATTCTGAGCCTTGGGATAAGCCAAATTATTGTACACTCAATAACTTGGACAAATCTCCAGAAGATTATGCTGAGTGAAAAAAAGGGAAAAAAAAGCCAAATCCAAAAGTTCCATTTTATATGATTCCACTGATACAGGATTCCTGAAATGGAGAGCAGATTAGGGGTTGCAGAGAGTTAAAGAGGGTGTGAAGGTGGGAGCAAAGTGGGTGTGGTATAAAAGGTCTCAATGAGAGGCCCATGTGGTGATCGAAATGTTTTGTATCTTGACTGGATTCATGCCTGTATTATGGTTGTGGTGGTCCGCTTTTCCCCAAAGCATTACTATAACATTGTGAAATATATATTTGGCTTCATCCCCATTTTCTGTCATGCAACTCCAGAAATCCTTGGCATCTCCCAGGTGATGCCTGTTTTGTGTGCTAATAATTGACTGATGGCTGGCAGCCTCTAGGCACCTTCAGGATGGAGCTGGTCACTTGAAAGACCAAGGCAGGATTAGAAGGCTGGGACTTTCAGCCTCACTCCCCAACCTCTAGGGAGAGGAGAAAGCTGAAAGTTAAGTTGATCACCAATGGCCATCGGTTTAACCAGCCATGCCTATGTAATAAAGTCTCTGTAAGAGGCCCCAAAGGACAGAGTTCTGAGCACTTCCAGATGGCCGAACATGTGGAGGCTGGCAGGAACAGGAACGAGAACTCACCCATGTGCGGATGCAGGTGGCGCACCCCAACTCCATGGGGAGGGAAGCTCCTGCCCTGAGACCCTTCCAGACCTCGCCCTACGTATCTCTTCATCAGCCTGGTTATTTGTATCCTGTTAAATATCCTTTGTAATAAATTAGTAATCTGAAATAAGTATTTCCCTGAGTTCTGTGAGCCATTCCAGAAAATTGATCAAACCCAAAGAGGGGGTTGTGAGAACCCCAACTTGAAGCCCGTTGGTCAGAAGCTCTGGAGACCTAGACTTGGGACTGGTGTCTTAAGTGTGGGGTGGTTTTAAGGACAGAGCCCTCAACCTTTAGGATTTGATGCTATCTCCAGGTGGAGAGTGTTAGAATTGAATAGGTGGACACCCAGCTGGTGTCCCCTGCAGAACTGATTGCACACTTCAGATCTGGGGAAAAAAGCCACACATTTGGTCACAGAAATCTGTATTGATTGTTGCTGTTGAGTGAGGGAATAGGATAAAGCACTTTGAGTGTGTGTTTTTCCAGCTACAATTACCACTGGGGCAAATGAATAAGGATGCATGGGATCTCAGTATTTTTTCTTACAACTAAATTTCAATATAAAATCATTTTTAAATAAAATCATTAAACAGCCTATGGATCAAACAATAAATCAAAATATAAGCTACAAAGTATTATTCATTGAATAACAATGATATTGAATACAAACACTGAATGAAAATAAACTTAGTTAACATGATCCATGGTTGTAATTTAGACTTCATGTTAAATTTGATTAGCTTCTTTGACCTAAGCCATCTAATTTTTATTGTCTACACATTACACACTCTCCTACCTTGAGCTTGACCTTACTTTTAGAGTGTTCTGATGCTAGTGATTGTGGCTTCAGTCCTGGGAGGACTCACCTTGTTACTTGGCCCCTATGGGTTGAGATCCCTGATAGCCAATGTGTGAGAATGCTTCAACATGGGTATGCAAGACTCATGGGGAAGGAAGCAAGTGCTGTCCCCTAAAAGCTGTCATTGTCTCAATATCACATCCCACACTCTTCTCCTGCTTGTAGGTGATTCCAATATGACAAACCAGAGGTGTACCTGAAATGAAAACTCTTTGTTTCTCATCCCTAAGTGTTCAAAGGTGCTTGCACACAACCAAACGAGACAGAACTTGGACTCAGCTATAAATACCTGAAGGATGCAGAAGATGAGGAGAGCCAGGCTAAGATGTTTCATAAGCATATTTTCCTTTGTATAAATCCGCTCAGATCGTGTGTCCTAAGGCTTCAGGATTTTTCATGGGTGATGGAATCCATTCAACTCAAGAGTGAGAGATGAGCTGTCAGTTAGGAGACCTGACTTAAATGCAGTAGATTGCAGGAGACTGAGCCTCATTTGGAATGGAACTTATTATATCTGGGAGAAGGGCTTAAAACATCTCTGAGGTGACTGACATTGAGGCTCTAAAAGGCAGCCTCGAAGACTAACCTGATGCTCGTTTCGTCCCATAACTATCTGCAGGGAATATTCCAGGAAGACTTGTAGAGCTTGCTTAGAAAAGAGTCTGTTCTGGTTACATCACTGTGGTTGATGTCTGTGCTCTTCAGGGACAAAGGTGTTAATCTGCTTCTACCACCCATTTCAACATTTAGAAACATACATTACTTTGGCCGGGCACGGTGGCTCACGCCTGTAATCCTAGCACTTTGGGAGGCCAAGGTGGGCAGATCACGAGGTCAGGAGATCGAGACCATCCTGGTTAACACGGTGAAACCCTGTCTCTACTAAAAATACAAAAAATTTGCTGGGCGTGGTGGCGGGCGCCTGTAGTCCCAGCTACTCGGGAGGCTGAGGCAGGAGAATGGTGTGAACCCGGGAGGCGGAGCTTGCAGTGAGCCGAGATCGCGCCACTGCACTCCAGCCTGGGGACAGAGTGAGACTCCGTCTCAAAAAAAAAAAAAAAAAACATACGTTACTTCCTATTTTTCTCAGACAGCCTCCCCAGGCTAAATCTAACGTCATCTTTTACCTTTCCATTCCCCCTTATATAAGATTCCTGGATTAATTTTTTTTTTTTAACAGCAAATACAAATTACACCTGCAGGTCACTAAAAATATTAGAAACTTAGTGATATGATGAATGCAGATGATCAGACTGTGGTACTGAACACTGCAAAGTTTGCACTCACTTAACTGATACAACAGGGGAATGTATCCTAAAATAAAAATAAATGAGAACATGGAGTAGGCTGGATACATTTTTAGGACTAAATTAGCAGGTGGGGCTTAGGGAAGATCCCAACAGGAAAGGCGTCTTAGGGGCTGGGAATATAAGGGCCTGCTTTATTTAGCACGTTTACGTAACGTCTGGCTGGTGCTGGGCCTTTGCCCACAGATCCATTCCTCACCTCTCTCTTGCACCACTCTGTACCTTTCGAAGGTTGACAGGTGCGGCTGTTTCTGCAGCTCCCCAGTGCATGGCTAAGGGAAGTCGCGGTGGAGTCGCGGTGGGAAACGTAGCTGACAGCGTGGAGCAGGAGGGAAGTCAGGGCGGTTCTCCTCCCCTTCTGCCTCGGGCTGTGTGTCGGGTGCTGTCTTGGCTTCTGGGAGCTGCTGTGAACCGGGCCTCTAGCAACAGTGCCTGCTGCCTCTGTCCTACCAGGCTGGGCATGAGGGTGCTTCCATCCTTTATCATCTCTGGGGTATCTCACTATCCCCTGTCTTCCCTGCCCTTCAGTTCAGCCTTGAATTCCCTGCATTCAGTTCCCTCGTGTTCATTTCCTGGTCACTCTCTGCCCAGCTCAAATCAGCTGATAACGTAAAGTCCACTCCCCACGCAGAGAGAAATGAGCTTGCTTCTCTGAGTGCTGCTCTTCCATGCCTCCTTGCTCTGTGTGTTCCAGACACTGACCCTCTTTTTGCAGCGGGGACACACTGTGCATCCTCTGCCAGGGGACTTGGCTCTCAAGCAGCCCAGCTGCCCAGAGTCACCTGTTCCACCAGGTCCGAGGCAGCCTTTGCCTGGCAAGCTCCTCCCATCCTTTGGGTCTCAGTTTCAAGGTCTCTTTCTTGACTCCTGGGGTGAGCTCAGGCTCCCCATCCACATCTGCTTATGGAGAATTCTGCCTGTGGGCTTTCCTCGGCCCCCAGAACAGGGCCTAAGCCATGGGAAGTACCAGCACGTGTTAGCTTTGCTTTTAAAATGTGCTGAAGTTGTAGACATTGTGTGACACTTTTCAGGCTTTTCAGAATGAGGTGAGTGAAATTTATGATTTGTATTGAATTCCTTCAATAAGAGCTACGAGCTTAATTGATGCTCATGCTTATGGCTTATCAAATATTCTCAGAACTGTACTGCCTCTTACTCCGACATAAACATTTCCATTAAAACAATAGCTTTATATCAAAAGGGAGTTGGCTGCTGAAAACAAATGCAAGCCTAATCCTCAGACTGGGGCTGGACTTTTTTTAAATTGAGTGTCCTCTTGCCAGGGACTGCATTGTTTATAGTTAGTGATTTGTCTTGCTATGTGGCGCTATTGTTTCAATAATGGGAGATCTGAATGGACAGGAGGGCGTCAGGAGGCCAATCTCCCCATGCACTGTGTTTTGTTTCCTGAGACTCCTGGGGAATTTTTTGTCTGAGATCGATAAGTGCTTAGAATAAGAACAAAGAACCACTTCATTGATCTGAGTTTTCAATATCCTAGAATTAGTCTTATATCTTTGTATCAAATTAAATCCTGAACATTCTAAGAACTGTTTTAATTTGTAATTATCAATATGACAAATGCATACCCCAAGGCATATGAGGTTGGTTATCTTGGGATGCCGAAAACACCGCCCTTAGCACCACTGCAACTGACGAGGTCTGCTCCGTGAGAAAGTACTGATGAGCAGATATCTTCTTCCCACATTACAGCCAAAGGCTGGACTAAGCGCAGCCACATCACAGAAAAGGTGATGCTTGTCGTGGGAGTCAGAGACAAGCCTTCTGGACAGAGTGGCGGACAGTCACAGTGATCACCGTGAAAACTGTAAAGCTGCCATCTTTCTGATAAGACTTATGATTCAGCTTTCCAGGAAGTTGGAGTCAAAGATGAACCCACATCTGGCCGGGCGTGGTGGCTCACACCTGTAATCTCAGCACTTTGGGAGGCTGAGGTGGGTGGATTACCTGAGGTCAGGAGTTTGAGACCAGCCTGGCCTCAAATAGCCTGGCCTCACGGTGAAACCCTGTCTCTACTAAAAACACAAAAAGTTAGCCAGGCATGGTGGCGTGCACCTGTAGTCCCAGCAGGAGGCTGGGGCGGGAAAATTGCTTGAACCTGGGAGGCAGAGGTTGCAGTGAGCCGACATCACGCCACTGCACTCCAGCCTGGGAGACAGAATGGAACTTTGTCTCAAAAAATAAATTAATTAATTTAAAAAAAAGATGAACCCACATCTAATGGAATTGGAGTTGGACGTCACACACAATGACCAAAGAAGTAAAGGAGAAAATGTTATGCAGAAGAAAATAAAAACAAATGTTACAATCAATCACAAAGCTTTAAAATCAGAAAGAAACAAATAATTTAGAAGCAGAGAGGAGAGTTCCCAGCCTTCTCCCGAGAAGCCAGACTAGCTATGGAAATGCAAAGTGTAGCGTAAAAGCAGCAAACACTAGTCTCACAGTCTGAGGGAAGAAAGGAACAGACACTCCATGCCAGGTGGTGGAGGGAAGGAAGAAGAAAGAAAGAGGGAGAAGGAAAGAAACAGAAGGAAGGGAACATGGATAGGCATATCACATATATGACAAATCAAGACATAAATCCTAAGAAAACACAACTCAGAGAAAAGGAAAGTGACTTCCCTGAGTTTATTCACACAGTAGCATAAGAAAAGAAATGAATAATTTATAAAAATAATTTAAAATGAAACAACAGAATGAGACAAACAGGATATGCTGATTGCAGACCTAAGTAAACAAACTTGGAATCAAAAACCTGTTGCAGATGATTACCTTTGTCAGAAACATTGAGGAATGAAGAAACAATGGTGAAGTTTCAATGATGGACCTGGAAGAAATCATGGTGAATGTAGCACACACAGGGGAAAATGGAATTAAAGCCATTAGAAGTAAGACAAAAATATGAAAGCCAGAAAGGCAATCCAATCTAAATTACCTGGTGTTCATAGGGTAGGAAACACTCATATGAAACACACAACATATCAAAAAATATCATACATAAAACTCTACCCTAATCAAAGAAATAGGAACACCAAATCTGCCAATTAAAATAATACATACTTTTCTGAACTCCGAGTCATTTTCACATTTAAGCTTTTTTAAAATAAAATTTTCTCATTTAAGAATAAAGAAATTTAGGCATTCAGTAAAATAAGGCAAATTTTTTCCAAGGCGAAAGCATGAGTTTGGCCTCCAAGTTCTCCAAAACGATAATCAAGGTCTGAAGACACTAGAACAATGTCTATAAGATATTGCGGGAAAGACACTGTGACTCAGTCAAGGTATAATTAAAGAATCAATACATGGGCAGACATTCTCAAAAGGAAACAAATTCTGGAATACAGCACCCGTGAGTCTTTCGTAAGAGAAATTACTTAAAAATAAATCCCACCCAAGTTAAGAACTCAGAGAGGAAGGAAGTATTATATCAGGAAGCACAGTAATCACTGAATTCACTTAAATATAAACCAGTGCAAAACAACCTTGGAAAACAGAATTTTAAAAGATAACTTGGCATTTATAGAACCTAACAATGAAAAACTAATAATGTAAGCACTAACTAGCCATGAGGGGGATACTGATGAGAGGAAATCTGAGAGTGACCGTGTCTGTGGGAAAGAGGACAGCAGCCTCCTGCATCTGGGCTATGGACTGGTGCAATGGGCCAGGGCTTGGTGCTGCTGAGACCTGGCCTGGCACTCACAGATAGACTTGGTGTTTTCCTTTTGAGCATAAAATTTTCACAGAACATCATCATCAGACAAGGATATTTTGTGACCCTGATATATCAAGACCAAAAGAAGACCACTTTATCTAAACAGAGACAAAGCATAAACATTGTCTAAGCCACAAGAATCACCAAACATTTTTCTACATCCTGCCATGTGAGTGGCTGCTGCTCCTCTACTGATTACAGACTCAGCCTTGGCCTCGTCTTCCCTTTTAGATATGATTTATTATGATACCCAAGCATACAATTACCTCTTTTTTGGACATTTGCTTCTGAGAAGATGAAGTCTACATACTTTACCCTATCCACTAAGTTAAATAAAACTAATAAACCTACATATTTATATGAAATAATCATAACGCTTCGAAATGTGGAGAAGACCAACTAGGGACTTTGGGACCCGAGGAAAGACATGAAGATTATTTCCCTGGGTTGTCTTTTTGCATCACATAACCCAGAATAGGGGCTGAAAAAGCCAGCAACCTGGAAGCACCAACAAGTACAGACCAAAAAGCAATGCCCAACAAAGGCTGATTCTCTCTAGGTAAAGACACAAGAAAGTGGCAGCCTCACACAACAGAACACTTCAGACAATAATCACCCGATTCCAGCCACACATCCCAGAAAAAGCCTGTGGCCTCAGCCTCACTCACTCCTGCCAAGGCCAAATAAGGAAGCTAGGCTTGCCCACTGTTCTGTTGTAATGTGATCCCCCAACTCCTCCACTAGGGCAGCATGAGAGAAGCTCAAGAGAGGACCCAAGACTTCCATACCTGCCAGATGGCCATGAGCGCTCCTGGCACGGTGTCAAATCCAAACCCCTCCAAGCCAGAGTGGCATCAGCAGAGGCCTAGTGCAGAAATCAAATTCCTACCTCTGCCCAGAAAGACCAAGGAGCACCTCACCCATGGAGTATCACTGAAGGCCAAGTAGGTAACCTGGACTTCTACCCCCACCTGCAAGTAAGGAGACAATGTCCCTCTCCTCCTCACTAGAGCAGTGTCAAAAGAGGCTTCATACAACATTTTAGAAAGATTCAGAGCCTAATAGTAAAACATCCAAAATGTCCAGCTTTCAATAAAAAACAGTTTGCTAAACATAGAACAAGAAAGGGACAATCAACAGATGCCAATACCAGGGTGACAAAGATGTGAGGAATTTTACATGAATTTTTAAAGTCGCCCTCAAAAAATGCTTTCACAAGTGATTACAAACACTTCGGAAACAAATAGAGAGTCTCAGCAAAGGTATAGGAGACACAAAAATAATCAAAGGAAATTTTAAAATTGAAATGTATGATAAACAAAATTAAAAATTCAATGGATGAATTGAACATGAATTGTGTTCTCCTCAGAACACAGAGGAGATCAGTGGAAAGAATTATACAACAGACTTTCCTTGTCTTGAGTCTTCTAATTTATGTTGATAGTTGAAGCAAATATTATAAAACTGTTCAATGTGGTTCTAAATGTATGTGTATCCAAGAGAACTCAAATCAGGATCTCAAAGAGATATTTGCATACCCATGTTCACAACAGCATCATTCACAATAGCCAAGAGGTGGAATCATCTCAAATATCCATCAAAGCATGAATGAATTTTAAAAATATGGCATATACTTACAATGGAATATTATGCAACCTTAGAAAAGAAGAAAATCCTGTCACATGGCTACAACGTGGATGAACATCCAGGACGTTATGCTAAGTGAAATAAGCCAGGCACAAAGGGACAAATACTGTATGATGCCACTTATATGAAGTATCTAAAGTAGTCAAAGTCATAGAAAGAGAAGGTAGTAAGGTGGTTCCCATGGGTTGGGGGGAGGAGGAATTACTGTTTAGTGGCTATAGAAGATGTAAAATGAGATGTGGCTTCTACACTACAATTAAACTGATAAAATGTCCATACTAGTAGAGTGTGAAATAAAAGACATCAAACTGTGTGGGATACAGCTAAAGTAGTGCTTAATGAGAGTTTTATAGCACTAAATGTACACTTCAGGAAAGAGGAAAAGTCTGAAATCAATAATCTAAACTCCCACTTTTAGAAACCAGAAAAACAAGAACAAAATAAACCCAAATCAAGTAGAATCAGGGAAACAATAAAGAACAGAAATTAATGGAATTGATGACTCAGAATGATATAGAAGAAAAACAAGAAACAAAGAGATGATTCTCCAAACTATCAATAAGATTAACAAACCACTAGGAGAACCGGCCCCCCCAAAAAGATAATAGCAAATTGCCAATATTGGAAATAAAACAGAAAACTACAGATCTTGTAAGGACATCAGAGGGATAATCAGGGAATAGTGTAACAACTTCTCAAACATAAATGTGGTAACTTAGCTGAAATAAACCAATTTATAGGAAACGACAAACTGCCCTAGTTCACTTAATATAAAATAAGGCATTTGGATAGTCTTATAATCATTAAGTAAAGTGAATTCATAATTTTAGAATTCCCGACAAAAAATCTTCAGTCCCAGATTATTTCCTAGAGAATCCTACCAAACATTTAAAGAAGAATTAACACCAATTCTACACAAACTCTTCCAGGACGTATGAGAGGAGGGAACACTTCTCTCTTCATTTTATGAGGCCAGAATTACTCTCATAAATATTATTTAAAAACTCTCAACAAGATATAAACAAATATCATCAAATTGATACAATATTAATATTGAATTGATATTAATGTTGTATTGTTAATAATATTAACAATATTAATATTTTAAGAATTTTGCATTAATATTTATAAGAGTAGTTATACCCTCAGTAATTTATAGACATAATTATTTACAATGACCAAATGAGATTTATTCCAGGGATTTGAGGTTGGTTCAATATTTGAAAATCGATCAATGCAACCCACAATATTAACGAAGAAAAAAATCATATGATCACATCAAATGATAAAGAAAAAGTAGACAAAATTCAACATCCATTCTTTTATAAAACCAGAATAACCACAGCTTCCTGATAAAATCCAATCGAGAGCCAAGCCTTAGTCCCTCAAACCTTCCATCCAAACACCTAAGACCTACAATAATTCCTTTATTTCCCTCTTACTGAGGTGCCCCACGGTTCCCCATGGTATGTGTTCTTTCACCGCAACAAATAATCATCCCAATCAATCAACTGTCAGTGTGTTCTTAACAATCTCTGGCTGGTAGGTATTGGCGTTACTTCATTTTTCATAGTGTTGAGACTATCGATTCTGTCTAAAATTGAAGAATATAACTAATAGTTATCTCTGAATCTTTTAAAAATGTTTTTAACTTCAGAGCAATCTTTCAGATAATAATATATTTCTATCTCTGAATCTTTAAAATTGTTTTTCTTAACTTCAGAGCAGTCTTTCAGAAAATAATATATTTGTTGATTAAAAAACCCACTTGTTTGAAGTTTTAATTCCTCTATTTCTTTTTTTATTCTAATAGAATCCAGAAAAATCCCATTTACTTTTTAAAATAACATCAATCGTACAAAATTGTTATCAAACATTGCTACATTTTCTATCTGCATACTGGTCTATGAATCTCTCTGTGTGAATTCATTGAAGATTATTTTGAAAGCTATCTACCTGATATTAGCTGTGATCTTTACTAGGAGATAGAATTTAAGTTTTTTAAAAAAAAAATTCTCATGTTTATATTTTTCCCCACTTTTGAGATTTTTTTAAAAATATGAAATCGAGTCTATTGTATGGAAAAGAGTATGTCTCATGTTAAAACAAAACTCTGGAAACATATGTACCAAGATATTAACAAAAACTGGTGGAGATGCAGATTTGTTGTTTTCTTCTACGTATTTTTCTGTGATTTTAAAGATTTTTTAAAGCAAAATTTTAAATCATTTGGAATATGCATCAATAATTTAAGAAGAAAAGCATTATGGAGATATGAGAGAAAAGCCACCACTACTATTTTGTCTCAAGGGTATTTTTTATCTTGGTGCATCTCCACACCCCAATACAAACACATAAAACAATACAGAAGATTTTTATACAACTATTTTTACCTAACATTATATTATGAGCATTTTCTTTTTCAAAATGACTAAATCTTTCTTAGTCTTCTTATTCAATACAAATTGTTGAACAGCTTGTGAATTGAAGACACAGAATCTCATAGATGGCAGACAAGTTAACCAGGAAATGCAGGGCCTAAGGCCAGCCTTTACACGCACAAAGTGAGTGCACAGATGTCGGTCAGTGGTTCTCTCATCAACACAAAGAACAACATGAATATATGTCTTGAACAAATAGATGTTCTACTTTATAAAAGCAAATCTGCTTATGAAACAAACAATATCACTGCATGGAATCAGCAGTTATTTTGAAGATTGATTCCCTGGAATACACTGGGGCCTCCAGCTTAGTTAAAATGGCAGAAAGAAAAAGAAGCCCTGTGCTAGCCAGAGGCTGGGACAGGGCTTCCAGGCTCAACTGCTCTCTCTCCTTAGACTTGCCCCGGATCCCACAGCCAGGGCTGGCAGCTGCTGCAGTCACCCTGGGCTGCATGCCTAGCCATCTTATGATGTGCTGGGAGCAGCGCATTAACTTCACATCATCTTCAGATTCTTTTGAAGTGAGACTTAAACCAAGACCAAAGCATGCTTTTTATGCTCCTTTTATCTGTGACTTTATTACAGAAGAAATAAAGAGCAGTTGGAATGTGCCCTCTCTTTCTACTTGACACATACTCAGAGAGCTGTGATGAATTCTAAGCCAAGTCTGTGGCTCTAAGTCCTCATTAGAATTGGGGGCTGGCTAGCTACTTTTTAAAAAGAGACTTTGTTCTAAGTTGAGCATAATTAGTCCTGACAAATGGGCTAATCACAATGCCGTGCAATTCTGGATAAACTCCAAACCTCTAGAGCTTTTTGTTTTGTATTGATAAAACAAAGGCTTTTGGTATGAAAGACCAATAAATTACCCCAACGTGGTTTGATAACAAGGCTTTGATAAATAAAATTACACAAGTCATATGGGATATGACTAAAAAATTAATTCTGTAAATAACAGTAGCATTGGGCATATGGGGTAATAAGAAGAAAATTTAGAGCGATGCATACTGCCTAAATAGCCCGCATATTTGAAGTACGACTACAGGGAGTAACAGAGGTGACTTTCAATGTCCTCGTAATTCTTCAGTGAGGCTTTTCCTCAGACTCCTTTTTGTTTGTCGGTTTTTTGTTCTGATCACACTTTTTTACTGGTAATTACTTCTTTGAGGAATAGACATTTAAGCATTACGTGGACATATAATTTTTACATTTTATTGTCCTCATACTTAAATTTTACCATAAAATACTAACTGAACACAAGTATATACTGGTCTTACGGCCAATCAGCAGATGTTTGAAATCCAAAGATTAACGGATGGATAGCTTAAAGGAAGTAATAAAACAAATATCAACTGTAGAATCAAGGTGGTAGTAGAATTTTTTGGTTTCTGTATGATGACACATGAGGTGATACTCAAGGAAACCCCCTACGGACAGGAAGAAAGATGTAAACTTTGAGTTGTGATTACGAGGAAAACCCTAGCCAGGACTGGACTGGGCTGCCTGTCTGAGGCTGGGAGGTGCTTGGCTGGAGCATAGCTGACTGCGTGGCTTCTCTAATTATGAATTTTTCTTCCCTGGGAAGAGTAAGTAGGTTGACTGAATGAATGTTTGGATACCCTCTGGGAAGGGGAGCCCCGAGGCCACTGAAGGCAGGGGCCGCAGTGTGGGGCTGATGCTGTGCCACTGAGGGCTGAGGGAGCTGGGCTTGCATGCTTCCACCCAGACCAGCGTGAGCATCTCAGTAGCACAGCAAGGAAGGAGGGCATGAGAGCACCCCTGCCAAGGGCCAGGTGCTTGCAAAACGACTGCATTCCTGCATTCCTCTCATGCGTGGTGTTCTGATAAATGGAGTGAGTCTCCTCTTGGTTTAGAGCAAATCAAAAGGAGAAGGTGAACTACTAAGTCCAATGTAGTATGACTCCGACGACAGACATCTTCAATGGCCACAGAAATGCGGCAAGAGCAGTGTGAAGGGGGGGTGGTGGTGGGGGTGGTGGCAGGACAAGGGCCACACGTGGGGCCACACAATTTCCATGCTCCTGTCTCTGTCAGTTGTTTAGCAAATGAGTCTAAAAGATAAATATATCTTTATTTGTTATGGAGAGCGAAGTGGGAACTGAGCAACATCCGAAGAGCAGTGCTGTTGTCCAGGGAAAGTTGGGGTCTGGAAGGAACTATTTTGGGTGCATTCAAAATTTCCTGCACAGAAGTGTCTGATCAGTGACAACCAGCTGAAATAGAACCAGTAAGAAAAGTTTCATTGGACAAAGAGGAAACGCACCCAGGTTATCTAATTGACGGCTACTGTGATAATAATGGTAGAGAGAGATTGACCCTGGCTGGCAAAAGCTTCGTTATCTCAGGAAACAGGCCTGCATTTCTTCAGATTCTGTGTTGACTAAGATGGAAAATGGACGTCTGGCCAAGAGTCTTCAGGTGAGCTGGATGGACATCACCTATGTAAGCTCCTGACTCCCCAGGGGACTCCTAAGGAATCAATTCCCCACCTAGGCAGCCAGCCTCCAAATAGGTCCACAGCATCCCTTGTCTGCACAGAAGCAGTGTGGACTTTTAAAATCTGAATCCTGCTGAAAGCACTCAGTACTTTCATAGAAAACGAATTTGTGGTAAGCTACATGCCTGTGTGAGTTTATAAAAATAAATATCAACCAACTAAAATCAATCTGCTCTGCCCCTTTCAAAAATTTTGGTTCATTTATTTGTATCCATATGGCAAAACTAGGCTTATCTGAAAAGTACATAAATGGTGTTGGGAAAACTGGCTAGCCATATGCAGAAAACTGAAAATAGACCCCTTCCTTACAACCTTTAACAAGAATTAACTCAAGATACATTAAAGACTTAAGCATAAGACCTAAAACCATACAAACCCTAGAAGAAAACCTAGGAAATACCATTCAGGACATAGGCATGGGCAAAGACTTCATGACTAAAACACCAAAAGCAATGGCAACAAAAGCCAAAATTGACAAATGGGATCTAATTAAACTAAAGAGCTTCTGCACAGCAAAAGAAACTATCATCAGAATGAACAGGCGACCTATAGAATGGGAGGAAATTTTTGCAATCTATCCATCTGACAGAGGGCTAATATCCAGAATCTACAAAGAACTTAAATTTACAGGAATAAAACAAACAACCCCATCAAAAAGTAGGTGAAGGATATGAACAGACACTTCCCAAAAGAAGACATTTATGCAGCCAACAAACATGAAAAAAAGCTCATCATCACTGGTCATTAGAGAAATGCAAATCAAGACCACAATGAGATACCCTCTCATGTCAGTTAGAATAGTGATCATTAAAAAGTCAGGAAACAACAGATGCTGGAGAGGATGTGGAGAAATAGGAAAGCTTTTACACTATTGGTGGGAGTGTAAATTAGTTCAATCATTGTGGAAGGCTGTGGTGATTCCTCAAGGATCCAGAACCAGAAATACCATTTGATCCAGCAATCCCGTAACTGGGTATATACCCAAAGGATTATAAATCATTCTACTATAAAGACACAAGCACACGTATGTTTATTGCAGCACAGTTCACAATAGCAAAGACTTGGAACCAACCCAAATGCCCATCAATGATAGACTGGATAAAGAAAATGTGGCACATATACACCATGGAATACTATGCAGCCATAAAAAAGGATGAGTTCATGTCCTTTGCAGGGACATGGATGAAGCTGGAAACCATCATTCTCAGCAAACTAGCATAAGAACAGAAAACCAAACACTGCATGTTCTCACTCATAAGTGGGAGTTGAACAATGAGAACACATGGACTCAGGGCGGGGAACATCACACACCAGAGCCTGTCGGGGGGTGGGGGGATGGGGGAGGATAGCATTAGGAGAAATACCTAATGTAGCTGACAGGTTGATGGGTGCAGCAAACCACCATGGCACGTGTATACCTATGTAACAAACCTGCAGGTTCTGCACATGTATCCTAGAACTTAAAGTAAAATAAAAAAAATTTTTTAAAGTCCCTTGTTGGATAAATTTTAAATAATGAAACTATTAATATAAACAGGAGTGAAGTGTAGCTACTAAAATATCAAAACAATATCTTCACTCCTATGTCTCATTAATGCTTCCATATTAATTTTTCTAAGATGACAACTAAATATTTGCAAAGGGATATATTTATCCTTTAGACTCATTTGCTAAACAAATTAAGGGTCATTTTCTCTTCCAAACATTCAAGTACTTTCTTTGAGCTAATTATTTTGCTAGCTCCCTGGGATACCAACAGGTGGATTCATTGGGAAATGTGTAAAATGAATGCCAGACAATGATTGCTGTCTGCTTTGAAGCTCAATCCTCACAAGGTCCTTATCTCTGAGGCCGGCACTAGAATTGTCTTCCCCATTTTGCAGATGAGGAAACTGTGTCTCAGAAGTAAGACAATGCATCCAAGATGACAGACCTTATGAGTGCAGGCCTGGAATTTAAACCCAGGTAGGATGGCTCCAGCATCACATTCTCAACCTCCGTTTTCCAAGTCCTCCTTGGTTACAATCACAGTACAATGCTATGTGCTAAGTGTCACTATGGGGCAAAATCAGGGCATTATGGAAGTAAATGGCTGTCAACCTGTCTTGGCCTTTGAGGGACGTGGGAGCGGCTCCTGAAAATGGCCTCCTGGAGGAATGACATCAATGCTTAAAAGCCCAGGGACTACTAAGTTATCCAGGTGGGCTGGGAGGGTATGGGAGTGTGGCATGAGCGCTTGCTAGGATGTGGGCAGGAACAAGTGCTCCAGGAGCTTCAGCTCAGGCGTCAAAGGCTGTTTGGCTTTTATCCAGTGCAGGTTTCTCCTGGCGCATTCTAGAGTGCTGCGCTCCACAGCTATCTCGAGGCTACAGGACGGCTCGCCCTCGCATTTCATGAACTAAGATACTTTTAAGATTCAGTTTGTCATTTGCGTCATGGGATAGTGGCCTAACTACCTTAAAGGGTTGTAGTGTCATCAAAAAAGCATGTAAAACAATGAGTGTTCCTAAGCATCTTCAGCATGGCGATATTCCAGAGAAACAGTTTCCAGAGCCCTAAATCTCAACAATAATGTACTTTTATAGATAATTTTAAATCATCCTCCTCTCTTATGTCATGGTACAGATTTAAGACTTTCCTTCTGATCAAATATTGGAAGCAGTAATATAATCCTACAATGGAAAAATGATGATATAAAATATCATCCATGCCAGGGGATGTACTGTTTGGTATATACAGTCCAACACTGGATAGATAAATAAAATGTTCTGGAAACCGGGAGTCAGATACAGGAAGTCAAATTAACTCTTTGTGGCCCTGGCATCATGAAAAAGCCACTGGCCTCAGAATGAGAGGGTCTAATGCTAGCTACAGTACATATTGTGTGGACTGCTGAAGGCCATGCCTGAGATCTTGCTGAGACTGGTTCCTCATCTATAAATAAAGGTATTGGCTCATGTCCCACCTTGCTCAAAGTATAGAGCGAGAGCCAAATAAAAACCATAAAATTCTCTTATGTAGAAATATTACTGTCATAATATATTAAATGTTATAATTTATTCAGGTCCCATGGAAGGAGTAATTAATTAAATCTGATTTTAAAAGAACAGACATATTCAGATATGATTTGTATCACAGGATTTCAATTTTCTTAGCAGACGAGCAGTTCATTAGACCAAGAAGAGGTTTTTTCTGCATTTCCCGTCTGAATTAGAGATGGAGGATGACTCACAGTGGGTTTGAAAGATTTTTCACTCAATCTTGTGAACAAAGATACTGACACTATTTTTAAAATTATGACTTTCAAACCCAGACTGATATATTACCCAGATTGCATTCAGAAAAATATGACAAAAAGCCAAGAAGAAACCACTTCTTGAATTTCTTCTACAAGAGCTATTTAAACATATATTCCTATTTGCATTCAAGATATAAATCTCACTATAGCATCCTGTTGGAGCATGTCTCATTGAATAAAATGCTGGCAGCTGGTTTAGTGGATGATTACTAAAGAAAGACAATGCGTAAATCTCTCAATTCTCCTCACGGGAACTACATTGAGTCAATAATAATAGGCAATATTTGTATATATATATTGCAATTATGTACTTGGCATGTGTTGATTCACCTAAATTCACAATACCCATATAAAGGAGAAGGCAGTTTCCCTCTCACTTATGAGAGGAGTGCGTGGATGGGTCAGAGGAATTGCCCAAGGTCACATAGGAGGTAAGTGGTGCAGATATGTTCAAGTACAGTGTGGTCTGACTCTAGTGCTGGAGCTCCTGCCCCCTGTGCTCCCTCCCTCCCAGTGGGCACTGCTGGAGGAAATATATGTATTTTTTAATTAGCTGGAATGTTAAACACACAGTATCAAAAACTTCATATATAGAATACTTTTTTTGAGTTTGGAGAATTACTTACAGAAGCTTCTACACGTAAAGACTGAATCAACTTCAAAAACATCAGATGTCCACATCAAGCCATGTGGCTTTTGCCATAGCCATGCGAGAGCAGCCTTTCTCCTGATTGTTTTGACTATAATAACTAGTCTCTGGGGAAGCCTATTTGTGGTCTTATAATAAACCAGGCACCAGAGGGAAAGCTCCTAGTGCAATTAATCTGGAGCCCCAGGCTTCTTCCTTGATCTCTTCCTCTGACGTCAGGGAGCCTTTGCCAGGATCACTTCCACTACAAAGCCGCTTCTAAGCGTGCTCTGAGCCTGACCCGAGCACCCCTCAGTTTGCCATAAGTATGCCCACTGCAAAGCAGCCTTCACATTTCCAGTCCTATCTCACAAAACCTGCTGTGGGTAAGAAAAAAACGCTGCGCATTCTACCCAAATTATTTTAGACAACTGGACTCAGGTTCAAATAGGCATTATGGGCAGCCTTGATATGGCAAAGATATGGATTAACCTGCAAATGTCATAAAGGTTTTACACAAAGGAGAGAAGCAGCTTGCTATAGAGATCATAGAGTCAATCTCTTTCTCTCTTCCTGTTTTTCTTTAGCCTGAAAACATCACTATTTCACCATTATTTTTATTGGCTTTTTAACAGAAAATTCTGTTTCTTTTCACATTTGGAATTCCATTGTCTTCTGGTTGCCATGATTTCTGGTAAAAAGTCAGATACCTGTGTTATTTTTGGGTTTTGATCATTTGGCAACAGTGCACTTTTCTGTATGAAAATCTGTAATAAAAAAATTTATTATCCTTCAAGGGGAGCCCATCATTCTCTTTTCCAGGCCAAAGATTGGGACTAATCACCTTAATGCCATCAGGGGCTGGGGTGACTGAAGGCTGAGCTGTAGTTTAACAGGTTTTTCAGTCTATTTTGCACTTGCTGTACAGATAACTCCAGGGGCTCTAGCTCCAGTGGCATGCTCACCGTGACGCCCCCTCCTGGTGCAACCTCAGTGATGCTCTTTCCTTATCTTGCCCTCCCTGATAGAGTCTGCTTTTCAGACCCTTTCTCCTTGTTTTCTTCGCTTTCTTCTTTTCACAGTTTTGAAATTCAGAAAATGTCTGGAGTATAGAGTCCATTTGCCTTTCCTTCCTTTCTCTCTGAGATAATGGCTTATAGGTATTTTAATTATTGACTTTCACTGATGCGCCAACCCAAGAGGATAACTTTCCATAGCCACCTTCTTGCCAGACTCGTAAGGTGGATTTTCATCGCATCATATGCATGGCACATAGGATCACCATCTATAATCACTGACCATGTTCACCGATCACGTGGCCAAGTGGTGTTCACCAGACGTTATCCCCTATACATGTCCTTCCTTTGTCTCCTCCTGCGCTCTTTGGAAGAAAGTCACCAGGTGCAGCCCACAATTAAAGAGTGGGGGCTATGCCCTACCTCCTTGAGGGAATAACATCCACATAAATCATGTGAAATTCTGCATGGGGGATTTATCTGTGTTCTCCCATGTTTGTATGTATTTATTCAATCATTTATTTGCATCAATGTGGCCTCATGGATATTTATTTTATTCTTGGGTTATAATCCAATACTACTGTATTTATCTTGCTGCTCACATTTTTAGCTTTGACCATTGTGATATCTTTTAGTTGGCGTCTGTTGATATAGCCCCATGATTTTGTGTGTAGGTGGCTGGGTGTGAGGTGAGTGTTTAGCATGCCTTAGTTTCTGGAACTGCAAGATTCTCTAGGCTCATCTTGTATATTCACTGCTGCAGCCTCACAATCTGCCACTTCTCCAAGGAGCCCTGGTTCCTTTAATTGGAGAATGATATTAGAAACCAAGATCTGGGCACTAAGGGTACTTATTGCTCCTGCAGTGTTGTTGCTCCTAGGACTTCTCAGCTGACAGAGCAGGAAATATACGTGTGTCTATCAACTCATACATGTATGCATATCCATATATATTTAGCTTCTTTTTAATTAATAACATTTAATGAAAACCAAAGCTGAACATCTTGCCATCAGCCTGTTTCCGATAATTCCAAGGTACACTTCCTTGAATTCGCTGCAGGTTATTCTCAGTGTCGGTAAGCCTACAGATATTTTAAATTATCAGAATAAAAAAATGTAGGAGGTTTACTTATTGCAATTGGTAGATAGATATAGATATATAGAAGAGATAACAAAAAGTCTCTGATTTGCTGGGCGCAGTGGCTCACACCTGTAATCCCAGCACTTTGGGAGGCCCAGATGCGTGGACCACCTGAGGTCAGGAGTTCGAGACCAGCCTGGCCAACATGGCGAAACTGCGTCTCTACTAAAAATACAAAAAATTAGCCAGGCGTGGTGGCAGGAGCCTGTAATCCCAGCTACTCGAGAGGCTGAGGCAGGAGAATTGCTTGAACCTAGGAAGTGGAGGTCGCAGTGAGTCGAGATCGTGCCATTGCACTCCAGCGTGGGTAGCAAGAGTGAAACTCCGTCTCAAAAAAAAGAAAAAAAAGTATGTGATTTTTATTATGCATGGTGGCCTTTGGCTAGTGCAAGGGAAAGGTCAGCTGCAATTGTCCTTGGAGAATAGCTGAGGAAGGCATAAAGACGGCAGAGAGACTGTTCAAGACCATCAGTAACATGACAAAGCACACTGCTGTGCCAGTCAGAAGTCTTAGTACACTAAGCTGTGATCCCATTTGAATGTGATTTCTATACCATCCACCAGCTGTACTCATTAAGTTAGCCTAGCCCAATGCCTTCCAAACTTCATCATCATCAGATTCACCCAGAGGGGGAACGCTGACACCTGCAAGGAAGTCCAAGTAAAAAGGATGTGTCTGGGACAAGGGAACGCCTCATTTCCCAGTGCAACTGAAATGCCACTCCTCACAAAGTGCTAAACTTTCTGGGTTACTGCCACGGGTTAAATTGTATTCACCTGAAGATGTTAGAGTCCTAACCCTCAGTACCTGTGAACATGACCTTATCTGGAAATAGAGACTTTGAAAATGGTTAAGTTGAGGTCATGAAGGCAGGCTAATCCAATATGACTGGTGTTTCTATAGAAAGAGGAAATGCAGATACAGGGATCAACACCTCCAGGGAGAAGACAATAGAACAGAATTCACTTCCTTGAATTTGCTGCAGGTTAGAAGGACGTGGAAAGAATACTACCTGCAAGCCGACGAGAGAGGCCTGGAGCAGATCCTTCCTTCACGGCACTCGGAAGATGCCAAGCCTGCCATCTTGATTTTAGACTTCCAGCCTCCAGAACTGAGAGACAACACGTTGTTTCTGTTGTTTGAGCCACACAGTTGGTAGAACTGTTAAAGTAGCTCCAGGAAACTAATTCAGTGACTAATGTTTTTGAACAGTCTTTGTGCATTTTAAATAAACATATTTAATATATTACATCCAAGTCTCAGAATGTCATAAATAATATTTTTGATATTTATGTTATCCCAATAGAGAAAAATGGGTCCAGTCAAATAAATGCAGCTGTTTAGGGCTGTGCCCAAAGCATGGCGGGGCCAGAGTGGCCACAGTGAGAAGATGGTGGGAGGCGATAATGGACAGAGACCACCTCACAGGGCCTGGACTCGGCAATGCACCTGCAGGCTTCACATCTCTTTCTCCTGATTCTGAGGTTTCCCAAAGTGTTTCCATTTCACAGATAAGTTCCCTAGTAGAATTATTTACATAAGCTTGAAAACTTGGCACAATCATATCCATCCTTTTCAAACTTTACAACGACTTGTGAGAACCAAGTAGACAGTGTTGCAAATGCTTTATTCTTGGAAAAAAGGGATTATGTAAGTAAGTGTGTTACTGCCATAGTCATAATGTTGAGTTAGGAGATTGAGAAACAAGGAATAACATTTGCCTATAAAAGGGCATTTATCTGAGAGGGATCCTTTAAAATGCCAACACAGTCCCATGAGTGATCCTCCACATTGTGAAAATGTCAATCATTTAGCAAGCAATGGTGTTTCATGAATATTCATTAAACAGTGAACTGTTGACACTTGAATTGATGCTGGATATGGCCTGAAAAGCACACACGCAACAACACACCCCAGCTGCAGGCAGGGCGTGACTTCTCATGCTTGTGGGCTACAGCCACCATGCGTCCGTCCCGAGCGTATGAAATGGGAATTTTTTTATTATCCAAAGGACATTTTCCTTACAAGTGTAATTATACAAAAGATTGAATGTGGTTGTAAAACTTATTAAAAATATGACTTTAGAGATTGATTATAATTTCGTTAAGAGCCACAGTAACACCTAGCACAAGAATTGTTCAGACTGTTGCCTCAAATCTGTTGTCTCCTTCTATTTGCCACTTTTCTGAGCTAGTATTTGCTTGCAATCAGTTTCAAAATCCCCTGAGTTAGTTGGGTTCAGCTTAACTTTGCATTTCCTTTTGTTTTGAGAACACCAGGAAAGGCCTTTGGGATTTAAATGCTAGAGCAGTCCTCCCTGCTGCTTGGTGACTCCCTTCAGGCGGCCTTAGACCCCAAAGGTCTGCTGGTACATTGCAGCCTCTAAGACAGGGAATTACATTACTAAGGTAGGTGCCTCTTAATTGGGAGCAAGCATCCCAAAACGTTTCCCTTTGCGCTGCCTCCACAGTTCATTTAAATAAATTGTGGTGTTCCATTATTTAACATCGTCATTGTTTAATATTTAAACACAGATCCCATTTCTCAGATTTTCTACCATGACACTCATAGAGAATCTTTTGTTTTTCTCCCTTAATCAGGTAACTTTTTCAGAACTTTTCTTGATGTGTCAATAGCTCTCTATTTTACAGTTGCACCAAGAATTAAGACTGGGCTTTAAAGATATTTACAATTAATTCTCAAAACTGGCATCTTAATCTAGTCACCCATAAAATAAATTATTAGATAATTTGAAGACCCAACAAATTCTTCATACTAACAAATAATATCAGTAGAAAAGCTGACTCTACCCCCATCTGCACCCCACACCCTACCAAAAGAAAATCAGTTGTGAAATAGTGGACCCTAGGAATAATTAAATACCCAAAGCAAAAAACAACATAAGACATAAGACAAAAAGCAAAACAAAACACATTCACATATATTCATAGGCAGAACAACTCTTTTTATTTAATTACAGGATTTTGAATATGCATATAATGATCACTTCATAAAATCAAATTGGTAGGTAATTACTTTCAATCATTGAAAAAGAAACTCAAAGTTAAAGATAAAACTTAGAGTAAATAAAAGCAATTGAAACTCAAAGGACATATCACACCAGCTTCTTTTATGTGTGGATTCTCAATAATATTTGATTCTTCTTATGTACGTGGAAATTTGCAGAACTCTCCCCATCAGCAAAATTGGTTTATGTAAATATGGTCAGTAATGAGTTAGGTTAAGTTTATAGCTAGGTTTATAGACATTATGCAAACACAGCCTGGATTCAAAAATATGAATTATTTCTAACATCCCTCTCCCATACCAATTAAAACATGAAAACATAGTTTCACTTTGAATCACTTGTTTTGTCTCAAATATCACTTATGTATCATGGTTGCCCAAAAGGCTTGTACATTAAGGATATGACTACATATGGCCTTAGGCCTCTCTGGCTTTTGAGAGCTGTGCCTCTTTCAGTAAATTCCTACCTGCAGACGTTGTCACGATTTCTGTGGTGTTTCTGAGGCCCATGAAGTCAAACTGATAAAGCCGCCATGATTTCTGGTCAGCTGCCTCCACTGAATTTTTTCTCCATCTATAAATCATTTCTTCTTTGGGATAGCCATCTAAAAACACAGAGCAAACATTAGCACTTGAAGGTACACATTTATAAATCATTAAAGTGAAAATTATAATTCTGATCAATGAATTACAGGAGTTAGGAGTTAAACTTTTAGGCCATATGTGCACTCTCAATTTTCCTCCAAGACACAGAAACTTGAAAAATGAATGGCTAAATGCCACCTAATCCAGCTGTAGATCTTCACGAATGGCCAGGCACTCCACTGCATAGGCCTGGCCACTGACAACACACAGGGAGTGGTGTCTTCATTTCTTCAACCTTGGAGAGCCACAGCTGCCGTCGGCCTTCGAGGAGTGGAGGTGCTTGTCAATGGCTCCCAGACTCTGAGTCCTCGCCATGCAGATCTAACTACATGGCCCATGCCCACACACCTTCCATCCTTCCCCAAAATGTAGTCCATCCAGATCTCAGGAAAGAGGAGCTCACTAAGGTAATCACTCCAGGATTTGATAGACCCTTTCTCCTATCAGTCTTCAGCTTTGATAGGTGAATGTTGACCTGCTTCAGGGACCCCTTCTCATGTGGTTAATTATTCCAGGAAGGGTAAGCCTGGTGTTTCTGCTGCCTGGGACCCAGGTTGGTGACTGCCTAGATCATGACATCAGGCAGGTGCTCTGTCCCGCTCCTGCGGGCACTGTCACCAGGGCTCCCTGGCTCCCTGAGCCAGAGCTGGCTATTTGCCAGATGCCTGCTTTTCTACCTGCAACTGTACTCCTGGATTCCCCATTTCTGAACCATGCTTGGAACAACACCATCCCCTCTCTGCTGGAGCTCTTTGACCTGGTGCACCTGCTCTCTTTTTACTGCCTGATCTGCAGGCTCTGCAGCTCTGTCTGCCTCACAGGGCATGCCCTACTCTCAAGAACAGGTCTAGGCCTTATGTCATTGGCAACACGTGACAGCATTGGCATTCTCAGCCTTCATTGATTCATACAGACACTGATGGCATGGCTCTGGAAGAAATGTATGCACCATCTTGATGAGTTATGCTGAATACTAAAAGCACTGCCTTAGTGCACACATATGTATGCAAACATATTAATAAAGTGGTTGAAATGTGCTGATTAAACATTTAAATCAGTTTGCAAAATTCTTAGAGGCAATCTGCCTTCTTCATTTTTTTCCCTCTCTGCCTGACATTGCTGGCTTGGCTCCACCATTGAAAGACTAAAATAAAGTACAGGCACAGGCATGCCCTGCTTTCTGATTGTGGGTTGCCCGGTGAAATTATTGTCAACACAGCAGGGATACATGCTCTCCCTTAACTTGAAAATGCTAAGCTCAAGGGACCCAGAGCCAGTCTGAAGCATTTCTATGAAGGAATCAAACACTGTCCTTGGCCATTGGCCATGTCCCAATTGCTTCCTATCCCCATAATTACAAAAGGTGCTCTATGCTACAATTCTTCCTTTTTAACTTTGTTTTTAAATCACCTTTATTTGAGACATAATGCACATACATAAAATTCACACATTTAATGTGTCCAAATCAGGGTTTTTTTTTTTTCACATATTCTCTGAATGGTGGAACCATCACCCTAATCTAATTTTAGAATATTTTCATCACCAAAATGAACCACCTGACCAAGTAGTGGTCACTCCCCTTTTCCCCCCTTTCCTGCCCACATCCACCACCCATCTCACCTAGTCCTAGGCAGTCACTTATATATTTTCTGTCACTATAGTTTGGTCTATTCTGGACATTTTATATAAATGGGATCATACGATATGTGACCTTCTGTAAATAGCTTATTTCACTTAGCATAATGTGTTCAAAATTCACTCCTATCGTAGCACACATCAGTACTCCATTCTCATTTATTGCCAAATAATATTTTATTGTACAGATATACCATATTTTGTTTATCCATTCATCAGTTGATAGATCTTTTGGTTGAGTCCATTTTTTCACGATTATGAATGTTGTTATGGGCATTTGTATACAGGATTTTGTGTTGATATATGTTTTCAGTTCTCTTGGTTATACACCTAGGAGTAGAATTGTTGAGTCTGGGTAACTACATTTAACATATTGAGGAACTGCCAGATTGTCTTCCAAAGTGGCTGGAACATAAAATTCTATAGCAATGTACAAGGGTTTCTATTTCTCCATATCCTCTGCAACACTTGTTAGTTTCTGTCTTTTTAGTGATAACAATGGTAGCAGGTGTGACGTGGCATATCATCATTGTTTGATTTGTATTTCTCCAATGACTGATAATACTGAGCATATTCTCATGCTTTTGTTGGCCATATGTATGTTTTCTTTGGTGAGGTGTTTGTTGAGATCTTTTGCTGATTTTTTAATTGGGTTGTTTTTATATTGTTGAGTTTTAAGAGTTATTTGTATATTTTGGGTACAAGTCCTTTATCAGATATATGTTTTAAAATATTTTCTCCCTTTCTGTGGTTCATCTTTTCTTTTGAAGCGACTGGAATTTTTTTATTGTGGTAATATACACATAATGTAAAGTGTATCATTTGAATCATTTTTGAGGGCACAATTTGGCGGCATAAAGTACATTCGCAATGGCGCATCCATCTCCAGAATTCCTTTTCTTTCTTTCTTTCTTTTTTTTTTTTTTGTGACATGGAGTCTCCCTCTGTCACCCAGGCTGTGGAGTGCAGTGGTGCGATCTCAGCTCACTGCAAGCTCCGCCTCCGGGTTCACGCCATTCTCCTACCTCAGCCTCTTGAGTAGCTGGGACTGCAGGCACCTGCCACCATGCCCAGCTAATTTTTATCTTTTGTATTTTGGGTAGAGACGGGGTTTCACCATGTTAGCCAGGATGGTCTTGATCTCCTGACCTTGTGATCTGCCCGCCTTGGCCTTCCAAAGTGCTGGGATTACAGGTGTGAGCCACTGTGCCCGGCCTCCTTTTCTTTTTAATAGAATTTATTTTCGAGTGTACTTCTAGGTTCACAGCAAAACTGAGTGGAAAGTTCAGAGATTTCCTGTATACCCCCTGCCCCACACATGCACAGCCTCCTCCATTGTCAATATCCTGCTGCAGAATGGTACATTGGTTACAATTGATTAATCATGTCGTTATTACTAAGAGTCCATAGTTTACCTTAGGGTTTCCTTTTGGTGTTGCACGTTCTATGGGTTTGGACAAATGAATAATGACATGTATCCACCACTGCAGTATTGTACAGAGTATCTTTCCTGCCCTACAAATCCCCTGTGCTCCACCTATTCATTCCTCCCTCCAACCCTTCCCTGCAGCAACTACTGATCCTTTTACCGTCTCCATGGTTTTTCTTTTCTAGACTGTCTTAAGGTTGGACTCATATAGTATGTAGCTATTTCAGGTTTGCTTATTAGTAATATGCATTTAATTTTTTCCCTGTCTTCATGGCTTAATAGCTCATTTAATTTTAGTGCTGAATAATTTCCATTATCTAGATGTATTGCATTTTATTTATTAATTCACCTACTGAAAGCCATCTTGGTTGCTTCTACATTTGGGCAATTATGAATAAAGCTGCTACAAACATACAGGTGCAAGTTTTTTGTGGATGTGACTTGTCTTTTGATTTTTCCTTTGTTTTTTGAGGAAAATTTTGCTAGGAATATAATTACTTGTTGACAGTCATTTCTTCCAACACTCTGAAGGCATGATCTAATATTCTTAATGGCTTCCATGGTTTCTCATTAGAAATCTGCTGCTAATCATATTGTGACTCACCTGTAAGTAAATATTGCTTTTCTCTTGCTGTTTTCAAAATGTTCTCTGTCTTTAACATTGTTAGTTTGACTATAATGTGTACAGATGTCAATCTCATTAAGTTCGTTGGGATTTGTTGACATTCTTAGATGTAAAAATGAATTGTTTTGTCAAATTTTTGGCCACTATTTTTTCAAGTAATTTTGCCCCTGCTTCTCTTCTCTTCTCTTCTCCTCTGAGATTCCCATTATGTGTTTGTTGGCATTCTTCATGATGTGCCACAGGTATATTCATTTCTGTATATTTTTCTTCATTCATTTTTCATTTTGTTCCACTCACTGGATAATCTCCATTGGTCTATGTTCAAGTTTGCTGATTCTTTCTTCTTTATACTAAGATCTGTTATTATGTCAACCCAGTGATTTTTTTTTTATTGCAGTCATTGTACTTTTCAACTCTAGAATTTCTACTGGGTTCTTTTTAACAATTTCTACCTTTTCACTGATATTGTCTACTTGGTGATATCTAGTTGTTATACTTTCCTTTGATTTTTTTAAGGCATGATTTCCTTAAGTTCTTTACACACATTTTTAAAGTGTTTGTCTGATACATTCAATATCTAGAATTCTCCAATGATAGTTTCTATTAATAGCTTTTTCCTTTGTGTGTGGCATGCTTTTCTGTGTCTTTTAAGATTTTGTTATTTCTTTGTTGCTTTTAGACAACATATTGGAACAACTCTGATATCAGATACCTTCCTCCACTCCAGAGTTTGTTGTTGTCCCTATTTCTGTTGTTTCTCTTCTTGCCACTTATTTGCTAAGTGACTTTCCTGGACTAATTTTATAGATTATGTGTTTGCTGCAGTAGCCATTGAGTTCTTTGCTGGCTTTTTGTGGTTGTTGTTGCTTTTATGTTCTTTTGAGCCGGGTCTCCTTTGGTTCACCTTGGTTCATTATAATGTAGTGGTCATCCAATAATCAGCCACAATATTTCCTCGAATTCCTCGCCCCTACTTCTTCCTACCTTTGTCATCATCAGTGTCATCATCACTACAGTCACCACCACCACATCACTATTAACATTATCACCACCTCCATCATCATCACCATCACAATCATCAATACCATCATCACCATCACCATCATAATCATCATTACCATCATCACCATCACCACCACCACCATTACTATCACCATCATTGTCACCATCACGATCATCAATACCATCATCACCATCACCACTACCATTATTACTATCACCATCATCATCACCAACACCACCAACATGATTACTATCACCAACATCATCACTATCACCATCACAATCATTACCATCATCATCACCACCACCATTATTACTATCACCAATGTCATCACCATCACCACCACTGTTACTATCATCATACCATCATCATCACCACTATCACCATCATGATGACCATCATCATCAACAATATCATCGTCACCATCACCACTACTATCATCATTGCCATCATCATCACAATCATCGCCATCATCATCACGGTCATCATCACCATACCACTGTCCATATAACTGTAATTATAGTCTACGAACTATTCCAAGGGCTTTCTATATGGTAAGTCTCACAATAATTCTAATGACATAGACATTACTGTCTCCATTTTACAGATAAGAAAGCTGAGGCACTGAGACACTAAGTAATGTACATAAGGAAGAGACAGAGTATAAGGTTAGGATGTATGACTCTAGTGTCCATCCCTTCACCCGCTGCACAACACTGGTCTCCATCTGTTCTTCTGATTGTCATGTTCCCCAAATCCAAGTTCCTCAACTTAGACAGATTTTTTTTGAGATGGAGTCAAACTCTGTTGCCCAGGTTGGAGTGCACTGGCGCGATCTCAGCTCACTGCAACCTCCACCTTCCAGGTTCAAGCGATTCTCCTGCCTCAGCCTCCTGAGTAGCTGGGATTACAGGTGCCTGCCACCATGCCCAGCTAATGTTTGTATTTTCAGTAGAGATGGGGTTTCACCATGTTGGTCAGGCTGGTCTCAAACTCCTGACCTCATGATCTGCCTGCCTCAGCCTCCCAAAGTGCAGGGATTACAGGCGTGAACCACTGCACCCAGCCAGCCACCCTTTTTATAAATCCACTTTTCTCAAGAGTAGGGAGGTGATTGTTTCCAAACTGCTTATTGTCTTGACCTTTATGGAAATACAGGTAATGTTTCAAAAGAACATTAAGATTATCAATCATTTAAAATACAGCCTGTCTTCCATAGTTTTCTCAAAGACTTAATAGAAACACTTTTGTTCTTTGCAGGGCTTTTTATAAAACACTTCCTACTCTTGAGAAGGCTTCAGGGTCCCCAAATCAAGGTCGTGAATGCATTTGATCAGAGATTGACATGCCACTAAGCTAATGAAGCTGGGAACACAGAGCCCTTGCTTGCAGGGGCCCTTCCAAAGCGCTGGAGGGACACAGCAGCTTTTTTTGTGGATAATTTTGAATCATTAGAAAAGACCTCCTGTCCCATTTGTTTCCTCTCTTGGTATTTTTTGTTGGATGTTTGACATACTGAATTTTAGCATTCTTATATTAAATTCATCATTAATTTCTATATTTATCTTTGTATTTATGTTTAAGTAATACTTCCCTGAAACATGCTCAGATATTTTTATATTTCATTTGTTAGTCATTCTGAAATTATTTTGGTCTGGGCCTTTCTACTGACTGCCAATTGGGTATATTTGTGATATTAACAAATACTACTTGTCACCAAATTTTTGAAGAAGAAAATGCCTGTGTTTAGGAAAATGAAGTCTTCATATCAGGTAATTCCTAATCTGCTCCATCAGTCTGTCTGTCTAGCCTCATGTGGTGGGTGGTGTGGCTGCAGTCAGCCCTGAGAGCATGGCCGTGATGGCTGGACCTGTTCAGGCCTGCTCCCTGGCTCTTGGGATAGAGAAGTCCCTCTTCAGGGCCTCTGTGTAAAGCCTATGAAACAAGGCATTTCCTGATTTTTGAACCTAGAAACCAATATTAAGAAAACTTTAAGACAGACAAGACAGAGTTTAACCCTTACATATACTTTGTGTTAACTTCATGGTTGCCTTGTGTTTTCATGAAAGTGAAGGGATACTGTTTTTAACTATTAGTTCTTCCACACACATCATGAGATAACAGGTTAATTCCTAAATTATCAGTTTGAGTGTAATATTCACTACAGCATCGCAGAGAAATCACAGTTCTAGTCATAATCATAGATTCTTTTGGAAACCTGATACATTTCATCTATTACCTGACTTATCAACCTATGATAAAAATATGAAAGCCACTTCTTTTTTCTTAAATAACAATAAAATATACAAAGTTAGGCATTTGAAAAAAGAAAACTAAAAGCTGATCAGCCAGCTTATTAAATTTAATACTTCATAGATTAAGTAAAACTATCAATGATTTTTGGACCAGACGTTTATAATTTCAGTGGCTGGTCAAATCTGTCAGAAAGGTAATCATTTCTAACTACCTTCTAACACATTCAGTCTTAGTCAACACACTACTGAACAATTACATAGCACTTTCCCCTGTAAAAAATTGCACTTTACTAGTTCTAATTCTCAATGACAGGTGTATTTCTCCCCTTTTCCATAGTTTCAAATTTCCTTGCAAATCAATTTGGGTCCTATAGAAGAAACATATAAGGGCTGCAAAAAGAGGGCAAGTATGAGAAAGCACCAGGCCAATGGGTATGCAGGGAATTCTACCAAACCTTTAACATTCAGATGCTGTTAGTGCCATTTCAGCCAGCCCAGAGAGTAGGAAATGCAAGAAAAATATCTAATTATATTTTTATATAGTGAGTATTACAATGATATACAACCTAATAATGAATGCACAAGAAAAGCATTCTTGCTTAAAAATATGAATGTAAAATCTCACATAAAATGATAGTTAACGGAATCCATCAGCACATTCTTTTAATACATTAATATATTATGATCTAATAGGATTTACGCAGGAATGAGAGTAGAAATTCATGAGTATAATCCATCATACATTCATCTCCATAGAAAGCAAAACATATTTGATAAAATGCAGTGTATGTTTGTGTTAAGAACACTGATTAAGCTAAAATATATTAGTCAACATACATATATACATACATACATATGTATATATGTAGAGACAGAGAGAGAGTACATATGTTCCTAAGATCCAATAACTTAAATTAATAGGAAAATAGAGTTCCTTTTCCTTTTAAAATTGAAAGCAAGATCATATCCATTGCCTTCCTTACTATTTGTCATTACGTTGTACATATTAGTTAACATACTCTTAGGAAAGTAAATAAATAAATATATAAAACAATTAGAGGCATACAGACTAGAAAGCAACATATGTTGCCAGGAGCGGTGGCTCACACCTGTAATCCCAGGGCTTTGGGAGGCCAAGGTGGGCAGGTCATTTGAGGTCAGGAGTTCAAGACCAGCCTGGCCAACATGGTGAAACACCATCTCCACTAAAAATACAAAAATTAGCAGGGCATGGTGGTATGTGCCTGTAGTTCCAGCTACTCAGGAGGTTGAGGCTGGAGAATCGCTTGAACCCGGGAGGCAGAGGTTGCAGTGAGCTGAGATTGCACCACTGCACTCCAGCCTGGGCAATAGAGTGAGACTCCATTTTCCAAAAAGAAAGAAAAGAAAAGAAAAGAAATGTTTACATATCCAGAAGACAGAAAGGAATTAATTAATAAACTAGTAGAAATATTTTCCTAAATTATCATAAAATACCCAGGCATAAACTTAAAAAAAAACATTCAAATCCTATGAGAGGAAGTTCGTAAGTTATTACTGAGCCAAACATAGATTAAAAAAATGTAAAGACACACTATATTCTTGCATAGGAAGACTGTATGACATACAACAGAAAGATGCTGATTCTCTCCAAGTTTAATTATGAATTACATGTGATCTCAATAAGAAGATTATTAACTTTTTTTATGTTTCCAAAGTTGATGATAAATTTTATTTGTAAGAACAATCAAGCAAGAATGGCCAGGAGAAGTACAGTGAGTGGGGCTAGCTTTTCATAGGTTATTAACTATTATAAAACTCTACACTAAACCTATTGTGTATTGGTGCTAGACTGATCAAAGAAACAGGAAAGATGAAACTTCTCTTGGGATTAGTTTATGATGAAGGTGGTTACTTAAATTAGTAGGAGGAAGAAGGTGTTTATGATCAGTGGAAGCCATATGAGAAAAAATCAATTTGGATCCATTCTTATATCACATATGAGAATAAATTCTGAAACCACATTTGCAAAAATTATAACAGCAAGAAAATTATGATAGGGAAACAGATATGACCTAACTGACTCCACCTTGCCTTTAACCTCCAAGCTGCCTGTGTTCACCTGAGCATGGGCTAAAATAACTTTGGGGAAAATTTAGTTTATAGTTTTAGCCCTTGCCAAAACTAAACTGCCTTTATGAAACCAATGAAAGACCACAAGTTTAGGATTATGAGAGGGGCCTGAATTCTACTAAGATGTAGGTGTAGTTAAATGATAACCAGGCATTGTCTGGAGGTCACAAGATTTGTAACTTCAATTACTCCCGTAAATAACATCACTATAGTGGAACCTAAGATTGGCCCTTTGAGATGTCTTTTCAGACTTTTGCATTTCTGATGCCTGGATGACTCCACTGGGACCAGCCACTCCTCTGGTGCCCACACCTAGAAGCAAACTCAGCCTAGGAGGACCACTTTCCACAACCCTATGATTTCATTCCCTACTAATCAGCAGCACCCATTCCCTAGCCCCCACCCCCTAAACGATCTTTAAAAAACTCTGGCCTCTAAATTTTGGGAGAGGCTGATCTGA
This sequence comes from Homo sapiens, assembly GCF_000001405.40. Classification (NCBI taxonomy): domain Eukaryota; kingdom Metazoa; phylum Chordata; class Mammalia; order Primates; family Hominidae; genus Homo; species Homo sapiens. Next base: position 27,471,090 of record NC_000015.10, on the reverse strand, counting down.
GTAATAAAACTCTGGTCTCTTGTTCAGCTGGCTCTGTGTGGATTAAAATTAAACTCTTTCTCTAATGCAGTTCCTCTGTCTTGATAAATCACCTCTATCTGGGATGCAGGCAAGATGAACCCACTGGGCAGTTACAATTCCAAATGGATCAGGGATCTAAATATTAAACAAACAAACAAAAAAAACAGCCATATACTAGGATTTGAGAAATATGAATAAATTCCTTTATAGCTTTGGCTTTGGAAAAACTTTTCTAGCAATGACTCAAAATCTAGAGGTAATTAAAAACTATACTTACAAAATTGTCTACATTAAAAAAATGATTTAAAAAAAGCATGGCAAAAAAGTACCCTATAAGAAAAGTAAAAATGGCAAATAACAATTTGGGGAAAACAGAGTTAATATGTAACAGGAAAAGGACTAATTATGCTAATAAAGAATGATTTATAGGCACAAGAAAAATAAGACCAAAAATCCAATAGGATGAAAAGGTAGAAACTGTGAATAAACAGTTAACAAAGGAAGAAATAAAAATGGCCCATAAGCCAATAAAAAAAAAAAAAGGATTACACCCTCACACCTGTAATCCTAGCACTTTGGGAGGCTGAGGTGAGTGGATTGCCTGAGCTCAGGAGTTCGAGACCAGCATAGCCAACACGGTGAAACCCCATCTCTACTAAAATACAAATTTAAAAAAAAAATAGCTGGGCATGGCGGCGTGCACCTGTAATCTCAGTTACTTGGGAGGCTGAGGTAGAAGAACTGCTTGAACCCAGGAGGCGGAGGTTGCAGTGAGCTAAGATCGCGCCATTACAGAGCGAGACTCCGCCTCAAGAAAAAAAAAAAGAGAGAGAAAGAAAGAAAAAAGAAAAAGAAAAAAAGACACCCAAATTCACTCCTAATAAGAGAAATGCAAGGTACTGGGCACCAACAAATCACACTGAAATTTGATAAGTAAAGGGAAAGAATTAAGCATTTTCCCTGTCTTTCCTGTAGATACTGAATTTCAGGCTAAATAAGTACTGATGTGCAAGTTTTTTCAATAAACAAACCACTAACAAATGCAGGAGGAATGATATAATTAGAATATGCCACTTCACAGCGTCCGATGAATCTGGGAGCACCAGAGGCCAAGGCTGTTACCCACTGAAGAGTCTGTCTTATGTCGTCAAGGCAGCAGGAACAGATATTATGTTCTTTCCATTGTAAGGCAAAGAATTATACAGGGCTGCCTATGATATGTTCTTATCCCAAGAGTTCAACTTGAAGCTAAGCAAAGTTCTAGAATTAACTACTGTTTACAGAAAATGTGGGGGATAGAGAAACACCTTACATGACACCATGAGAATATAGTCAGCCAAACCTAGGATGTGTGAGATTTGATGGGCAAAATGGCCTAGTTTCTGCCCAAATAAATAGAAGGAATTTTTATTGATTAAAAGAGACTTGAGGCCAGGCGCGGTGGCTCACGTCTGTGATCCCAGCACTTTGGGAGGCCGAGGCAGGCAGATCACCTGAGGTCAGGAGTTCGAGACCAGCCTGATCAACATGGTAAAACCACATCTCTACTAAAAATACAAAAATTAGTCCGGTGTGGTGGTGGGCGCCTATAATCCCAGCTACTTGGGAGGCTGAGGCCGGAGAATCGCTTGAACCTAAGAGGCAGAGGTTGCAGAGAGCCGAGATTGTGCCACTGCACTCTAGCCTGTGCGACAGAGCAAGACTCCATCTCCAAAAAAATAAAATAAAATAAAAAAGAAGAGAGACTTGAGAGAAGTATTAGCAGGATGTGATGTGTAGATCTTGACTGGTACTGCTTCAAACAAGCCAACTGTAAAAAAGACAACTGCAGAAATGGCACGTGGGCTGAGTGTTCTATGACAGTAAGGAACCCATACTAACTTTGTGTAATTATGACATTGGATTAACAGAGGCATGTCTGTTAGAGGTAGCTAATGAAGCACAGCAGTCCCCTGCAGTAGCCTCCATGGGGGATATGTTCTAATACCCTTAGTGGATGCTGGAAACCATGGATAGTGCTGAATCTACTGCTGTTGGTTGGAAGGTGTTTCTATTTATATCTTCCGCCTACACATTTAATGCCTTATTCAGCTCAACTAAGAATTTATCATGCACTATGGCTGTAACTTTTGCAGTTTGAGGTGCAACAGCAATACTAGCACAAATTTCTTTTTCATTGTTCACAATTTCATGAATAGAAGATTTTTTTTACTGCAGATATTAACAACCACAGCATATGATTTTTTTTCTTTTCTTATTAAGCTGATAACTTTCATCTTTTCTCTTAAAGGAAGCACTTCATGGCTTCTCTTTGGCATATCCAAATTGCCAGCATCACTACTCTTGAACTTTGGGATCATTAAGTCAAATAAAAATTATACTTGAACACAAGCCCTGTGATACTGAGACATAATAATACAGTGAGGAGTAATACAGTGTGGTCACAAGAGAATAGAAAATCCAGGCAGTAGTTTCACATCATGAGCAAAAGGGAACTTGCAATAGCTGCAGATGCTATGAGCTGATAAGACCCTGAAATACCAGGATGTGGACCAAACTGGCTAAGACCAACTGGATCCAACACGGCACTGAATTTGACTTAGGTTTCCCCTAGGACCTCATTATCAACTCATTAACACAGTAAACCACACAACCACCAACCCCATGACAGTTCCAGGAACACCCATATTTGTTGTAAAAATGGGTGGCACCACAGTTCTGAGAAGTCTCCACGTTTTTCCAGGAATATTCCACCACTTGGTTAAAGAAACCCATAAAGATAAAAGCCCCAAATCCCATGGCATGACTCTCTCTTGAGTATGCCACACTCCCCTTTCTTGAGTGTGTACTTTTCACCTTGTGATAAATCTCTGTATTTTCACTGTATTCTGACTCATCCTTGAATTCCTTCTCACGATGGTGTCAAGAGCCTGGACACCGGCAGGGGTGGAGGTCCCACAGGTGTATGGGGACTTCCCCTGACCCGCTGGTATCAGTACTGTGACCGTTGATTTGATAACTGTACCGAAGTGACTAATGGGTGGACAGTGTGTACACTGTGGATACCCTGGAGAAGGGGACGATTTGCATCCTGGGTGGGATGGAGCTGGATGGTAAGAGACTTCATCACACTACTCAGTGTGGTGCCCAATGTAAAACTTATGAATTGTTTATTTCTGGAATTTTCTGTTTAGCATTTTTGGACCCAGGTTGACTGAAGGTAAGTGAAACTGCAGAAAGCAAAACGTGGATTAGGGGAGACGACTACATTTCTAGGAAAATCCATACAATGTACCATTTACTTTAAAGTACTCTTTCACAAATATGAGAGGAGATACATGCAGCCAAAATAGAAGAAAGTTGATGTGGAATAACTGGCACATGAGGTTTCATTGCACTCTTTTATCCATAAAAAATAGAACTAAAGGCTATATTTAGCCAATGAAATAGCTGTTTTAATGCTCAAAAAGTTTATCAACATAAAACAACATAGGTAGGCCCCAAACAGCAGTACCTGCAATCTTAGGCCCTGGATTCAGACTCTGTCCTGTACTCACAAGCTGTAAGACTACGATCCCATTAAGTAATTCAAGACCTTTCTAGATCTCAGACCTCCTGTCTGTGAACTGCAGAGAATGTGGACGGGACTCCCACCTCCTAAAAGTGCAGTGGTACTGAAGATGGCATGTAACTATATGCTATGGTCTGAACATCTGTGTCCCCCCCACAAATTCATACGTTGAAGTCCTAATCCCCAGTGTGACGGTATTTGAAGGTGGGGCATTTGGGAGGTTAATGAGGCCATGAGAGTGACCGGATGGGATTAGTGCCATTATAATAAGAGATATGAAAGAGATGATGTTTCTCCCTCCGTGTGAGGACCCAGCCAGGGTGCACATCTGCAGGCCAGGAAGAGGGCCCTCACCAGACACCGGGTCTGCTGACACTCAGATCATGGTACTTCCCCACCTCCAGAACTGTGAGAAATGCATGTTGGTGGTTTAAGCCACCCAGTTTTTGGGTTTTTGTTATAATAGCCCCAGATGACTAAGATGCTATATTAAATGCACAGCAGTGTTCCAGGCCAGTCATTACTGAGTTGATGTTAACTGTAGTGTTTATTGTGCTGCCAAAAAACATAAAAACTACATCCCTTACTCAAAATACCATATTAAAAAGTTCTTTTCCCTTTTCACTGGGCTCTCTGGAAAGCTCTCCCTCTATGGGTCTCCAGCCCTTGGCTGCTAAAGAGGGTGGTGGGGAGGCTTGGAGAGCAGCAGTCGCCCCACTGCCACCATGCTTACCCTTGGGGTCCCTTCCTCTTCCCTCTGCCACTTTCCTCCTCTCTCTGTGCTTCCAACTAGGATACAACGGTTTAAGAGGAGCAGCAGCCTCAGAGAAAAATTACACTGTGCACAGCCTTTTGTCTACAGAAGAGTGATATTTGTTTTGAATGATAAGTGTTAAGTGGTAGCTTCCCGGTCTGTTGCATTTGACCTACTTTGAGAAATGTTTAGAAGGAAAAGAAGACAAGCATTGATTTAAAAGATGCAATATCAAGCTGTTCCAAATTTATTTTTGTTTCTGTGCAATAAGAAATAAGTTCTGCTTTGGAAATTGGGATCATTTTCTTGTCTGTAGTTGTTAATGTGTCCAAGTATAATAATAATTTTACTGATTCTATGAACAATGCTATTTTCCCCATGCATATGTCACACCAATGTCCCAGGGCTTGGAATTGACTCAGGGGAATCATCAGTTACAAATTTACCACTGTTGGGGGTAGGAGGCTCTAGAGATTAAGAGACATTGTAGATTCTACTGAATATTCTGTGGTCTTCTATGGAATATTGTAAAGTCTGCTGCTGGGTCACAAGCCCTTCGCCCACTGTTTAGAAACTACGCCAGACTCTTCTTTAAATTTCTTCAGAGATTTCTCAACTCAGTGCGGTCTGGCATTCAGTGTTTTTCCTTATGAAATAAGGGGCCTTGAATTGAAGCCTACAGGTTGTTTAGCCTCAGCTCCTTCTTTACCAGGTTTCTAGATATTAACCAACCCACTCAATCTCTTGGGGCTTTATCTTTTTAAAATACAACAGGGTGGTCTACAACAGTATTTTTGAAACACTGGGTCTTTAGAATCAGTTCAGTGGATCATGTCCAGCATTTTAAAATGAAATACAGCAGAATACAAAAGAACATATCAGAAGGCATCATGCAGAGTGCCAGTAAATATTATTTTGTGTTATTTTCACTATGTGTATATAACTGTATGTATCCTTGTTGTGGAATGGAAAATGTCTTTTCCAGAGAGATTTGGTATGAGCCATTGAAAGAGACTACCTAGAGGTGAATTTGCAAACTCAGTGCAGGGAGGATAAATAAGAGATTGGGTGACTGGAATGAAGTGTAAGTGCCACAGGGACCTGGAGCCACTGCCCTAGGCAAAGCAGTGTCCCTCCTCTCTGGAAAGAATCTGCCTATGGTCACGAAATCATCTGGCCTTTCAAAAAGAGGCAGAAATAGGGAATTCGGTATAAAATCTCCTGACTTTTAAATGTTGGCCACTGACTCATCTTTTAAAAAACAAGCAAAGTGTGTCCTTGGAACGGATGCTGCATTGTGGGGCATCAGTTGGCACAAAGGAAAGGTTTTCCAATTGTGTTCCCTGAGGGAAAGCAGCTGAGCTGGTAGGAAGGGGTTAGTCACGCAGAGACCTTACGTTTGTATCCATTTTCATGTAATTTTTCAGGATTTCAGTAGCTTTAAAAACGTGAAAACGCAAGTCTAGACATGCTTACACATTACTCTCTTTAGTAATTCTCCAAAGAGTGCCACTGATCCTTGGTCCCATCAAATGGGAGAAAAATGGGCTCTGCTGAGGCAAGTGGGCTGACGTGGCAAGGGGAGACCCCCCTCCACCAGCAGCTGAGAGAGGCAGCAGCTTCATCACCCTTGATCCGTGCAGGCTGGGGAAACATTCACGGGCTCTGTGCCTGGAAGCATGTGCCTTCTTAAGTCCTCTGAGGTTTACTGCCTTGGTAGTTGTGAAAATTAAGCTATTCATAAAGACTTACATATTTATTAATTTGAAATTGTTAGCTTTGTACAATTTTAATAATCCACAAGATTAAAAAAAGTCAATGCAAATTTAAAAGAGTGCTGGCACAGAATGAGAGAAAATATTTCCAAATCATGTATCTGATAAGATATTTTCACCCAGAATATATGAAGAACTTTCACACGTCAACAATACAAAGACAAATAGTCCATTTAAAAATGGGCAAAGAATTTAAATAGAATTTTTTAAAGGAAGATATACAAATGGGTAATAAGTGCATGAAAAGATGTTTAGCATCATTAGTCACCAAGAGATGCAAATAAATAGTACAAGATATCACTTCATACCCGCTAGGATGGCTAGGATTTTAACAAGGAAGTACAGTATTTGAGGGGTTAGGGAAAATTAGAACCCTCATACCGTGCTGGTGGGAGTGCAAAATGGTGAAGCCACTTTGGAAAGCCATTTCACAGTTCTCTAAAATATTAAATGCAGAGTTACCGTAGGACCCAGAAATTCCAGTCCTACATGTACACAATCACACCAAAACTTGTACATGAAAGTTTACAGCAGCAATAGTCATAATAGCCAAAAAGTGGAAATAACCCAAGAGGTACCAATGGAAGAATGGGTTAAGTAAACCACATAATGTATAATTCACTTTATATAAAATGTCCAGAATAGGCAAGTTTGGAGGAGCAGAAAATAGATCAGTGGTTGCCTGGGACTGGGAGGAAGGGGATAGGGAGTAACTGCTTAATGGGTACAGGGTTTCATTTTGGGGTGATGACAATGTTATCAAATTAGGAAGTGATAATAGTTAAGCAATTCTGTGAATATACTAAACACCACTGAACTGTACACCTTTATGCCAAGGTATAAAATTGGTGCATTTTATGGTATGTGAAATATATCTCAATAAAGCAGTCATTTAAAAAAACCTGGAGTAGTATGAAAATGCGGAGTGCTGGTGCTCCCACAGCTGTTTAGGGGGCCACGATGCATGGGTGACACCAGCTCGTTTTCTCACTTGCACACCCACACACAGCTGCTCATGTGTGACATGAACAATGATGCCTTATGGGAGGGGCACGTGGGTTTGCTGGTCCTGTCTGAACTGAGCCCACTCCCTGAGAGAAGAGCGAAGAGAGAAGTTGGAGTGATGTAGTGAACATCTAGCTTTAAGGAGCAACAGAACAGCTGTCAGCCTCCCCCTGCACAGTGCTTCTAAATTGCCAAGCTTTTCATGGCACCCCCAAAGGAGCAGTGTCTGGACTCGGCTCCGTGTCTCCAGGAGAAGGCACAGCTGTGAAATGCACACACTTCTGAGCTCACATCCTAAACATGGACACAGCACACCCCCACAGAAGAAGGTGCTAGGGAGGCCACTGGGAAAGGGGCAGGGCTGGTCACACAGCATGGTTTCAATATCTCACTTTTGCAAATTGTGCTAGGGCCTCTCCCAGGGTCTTGGAATCAGCCGTGTGAATGAGGGCCAGGGAGTTTCAGCTTTCATCTTCACAGTCATCTGCTTCTGGCCCACTGTTAAAGATCCACACTTCGGTGATACCAAAAAATAACACAAATAATTTTAAAGAAAAATTGGAATTCTGATTGAAATATTTACATACCAAATTAGTGATGGGAGGTCAGATATCTTTGCAATATCAAATCTTTCCTGTCAAGAATATATGCCTATCTTATAGTACTTGTTTCACATTCTTCAATAGAATTTTAACAATTTTCTTTATATATATCATGAGTCTTAGAACATATGTTTGCTTTTGCTTTCCTTTTTTGTCTAATATAAAGAGGTGTTTTATTTACATTTTTATACAATGTTTGTAATTCAAATAAAATCTGTTAAACCTTATGTATTAATTTTGAATCAAGCTCACTTCAAAACATATATTAATTTTAATAATTTTAGTAGCATGCATTATTTTTTCAAGATATCTGATCATATCATCTGTAAACAATAATATTAACTTTTACAAAACTTGTGGTGCTTATTTTTATTTCCTTCATATATCACTAAAGCAGAGACAACGTTCCTGATACCTGCCATGTGTTTTACATCCAATATTTCTCTCTTTAATACATAGTGTTTTTATTGAAATAGGTCACTGAATCATATTTTAAAAATTTCAATTTGTTTATTTAACAAATTATTTTGAAAGATATTCTAATGTTGCATTATTGTCATCTTTCTGGAATTATAGTATGCCAGTTTTGGGATAAATGCCGAATTAAGCAGACAGTATATTAATCTTTGCAGATTTAGTAGGATACTAAATTGTGGTATGCCATGTATTTCACATTGTAGCACAAAAGTTATTTAAAAACCCTCTATATCAAGTGATAGGAGAAGTTAACACTGGAATAAAACACAGTATTTCAACTTACAATTTTAATTAGAATAATAAACACTGGTTTCTTAAAAGTTTGGTAGAACTTATCTCTAATACTATATATAAGACTAGGGCCTTGAAATAATATACACAGAATATTATATATGAGTATCATTTCTGTGTTCTTTCATATTTTAGACATTTCTGTTTTACTTTTCTCTATCCAATCTGCTGGGGCTTGGCTTTTATTTAGCTTCCTTCCAAACCCAGAGTTCCGGTTATTTATTGGTTTTGCTCTGTTTCCATTTTAGTCAGTTCCTGGCACATTTCTAAATGCTGCAGAAATAACACGGATATAGCAAGGTCCCTGCTCTCCTGGGCTTATCCTTGGGGGACAAGATTGCACACAGGCAGATGCTGATAAGCTTAGAGTGGAGGCAGGGGATGAGAGTGGTGGGAGTGAGGAGCCGGCTCAGAGGGGAGGTGATCCAAAAATTCCCTATAAGACCCGGAAGGAGATGAGGACTTCTCCAGGAAACCATCAAAGACGGTGAGCAAGGGGCTGGGTGTGCTTCAGGAAGAACGAGGAAGACAACTGAGCAAGGGCAGATGAGGGAAAGGAGAACTGGTTCTAGAAGCAGCAACTGGCCAAGAAGCATGGCAGACAATGGGCATGTTCACCAAGAATCCAAGAGTCAGGGAAATGAAAATAAATCAACTGAGGTTCACTTTTCTCGTGAGATGGGCAACTTTTAACACATGTATCGAAACATCCAGTGTAGACAAAAGTGGTGAAAAAGAAGTCTCTCTACACTGTTTTTGGCTCTAGTATTGAATGCAAAACCATGGTGAGAATTGAAGCCCGCTGGGCTTATGGGTCTGGCGGGGACTTGGCGAATTTTTCTGTCTAGCTAAAGGTTTGTAAATGCACCAATCAGCACTCTGTAAAAACCGACCAATCAGCTCTCTGTAAAACGGACCAATCACTCTCTGTAAAATGGACCAATCAGCTCTCTGTAAAATGGACCAACCGGCAGGATATGAGTGGGGCCAAATAAGGGAATAAAAGCTGGCCACCCATGCCAGCAGTGACAACCTCCTGGAGTCCTCTTCCATGCTGTGTAAGCTTTGTTGTTTCTCTTCGCAATAACTCTTGCTGCTGTTCACTCTTTGGGTGGGCACTATCTTTAAGTGCTGTAACACTCACCCGAGGGTCCGAGGCTTCATTCTTGAAGTCAGAGAGACCAAGAACCCACCAGAAGGAACCAATTCTGGACACAATGGCACGGAATGCAGCACTATCAGACTAGTCAATGTTTGTAAACTTTGATTTGTGAAATTTGCATGACAGAAATACAGTGCCAGCAAAAAAAAAGTAATAAAAATAACGCACACATGTGGGTTGCTGTGCTATTTTTGACAGCTTGAATGAAGGCAGGAATTCTGCATCCTATGGGAGAGGATGATGCCATTAATAAGGAAGCAGCAGCAGCAGTGCTCTGAGTGGGAAAGGCGCCTGCCGCACATCTTGAACTGCGGGACCCTGAGTGGTGAGGAGGGAGTGAGTGAGTTCATCTTAGCAAAAACAATCTCGTGTGTACAAGTGGGAGAGTAGATATGTTTGTATAAGTTTGCATGAGCAAACAGATGTACAGGAACGAGCAGAGACCTGTTTTAGGGCCTACCAAACCTGCAAAGCATGGAAATAAAAATCTTGAGTCCCTTTGCGGGATATTCCAGGCACCTAGCTATCTAGCCCTGAGAAGTAAATAAGCAACCTGATGGAAGGAACCTGGACCCCCACCAAATGGATGGGCTGGAAGGCAGACCTCAGGGACAGGAGCTGAGGGCTGCACTCTGACTTTGCTCTTTGTTCCCAATTTCTTCCTGAGGGGCCTGGAGGTAGTCATGTCCTCGGGCCAGATCTTAACATTCCTTTCTGTCCACCCCAGATTTTTTAGACAAAGTTTCACTTCCTTAGCCGATCACAAATCAGAGAGTCTCTGAATCCACCTCTGACCTGTAAGCTTCTGCTTCAAGATACCCTCCTGCCTGTTCAGGCCAAACCAGCATGTAATCTCCATGTATTATGTACTGACTTGCAGTTTTGCCTGTAACTTCTGTTTCCCTGAAATTTACCCCTGCCTTTAAAAACTCCTGCTCACAATCCACTGAGGAGGTCAGGTCTTCAGTGTGAGTTTCCTGGTTCTCCTTGCGGGGCGCCCTGCAAATAAACACCCTCCTTTCTCCTGCAGCAAAACTTTGATGTTTGTGTTTGGCCTCAGTGCACCTGCCAAGCAGACCCCAGTCTGGCTCAGTCACACCAACCATGGCTCAGCCTCCAGCAGGGACACGGGTGGCATGAAGAGGAGTGGAAAGTTTTTACTCTGCTTTTAGACTTTGTTTGAATGGTTGCAGTATGCAACTTACCACAAAAAAGGCTTGAAATATTGTTTTTGTTGTTGTTGTTGGACAAAAATATTAACAACTGTGATGTATTTGAGGTACTTCCGGTTATAATACTATTATAATACTTAAATTTATCCAAAGGTTAGCATTTAGGTAAACTCAGTCTTCAGGAATGCAGCTGTGGCTTCAGAGACATGGCCTTCGAGTAATGACAACAGTAATAAGGCAGTCCAATTCCATTCAAAGGACCACCATTACGACATAGAGGGACTCCTGTAAGTCAGCCAACCACACTCACCTTTCCCTCACTCTCAAAATCCAGAAACAAGCGACTATAAATAAATGAAAAAAATGCAAGTTCAACTCTTGGATGATAATGAAAAGTTACACTTGCTAGCAAGAAATGAGAGGGAAAAACTTCTGAAAATTGAACCAAAAGGAAATGTATATCAGTCTGAGGTATTTAATTTTACTTACAAGGAAGTGTGGGTGTGTGTGCACATGCGCAACCATGAAATTGCAAAGACCATCTAATGACCAGTGTTGAAATTTTCACTTTGATCAAGTTTCACTATGCTAATTATATTTTTTTATAGTTTCCTTTTTCTTTTTTAAAAAATATTTTGTCAGGTTTATTGAGATACAATTTACATTAGTATAATCATCCTTTTCAGGTATACAATTAGATATGTTTTTTAAAATTTTATTTTACTGCAGTAAGAACACTTAATATGAGCACATGAGATCTGCCTCTTAGCAGACTGTTAAGTGTGTAATTCAGTAGTGTTACCAACAGGCACAATGCTGTTTCCCAGTTTCATTTTGCCTTTACGGAGGTAGAGGATGACATGGTTTGGGTGATGATACCCTAGAGATGAATTTTTCTTTCCTTTTGGAAAACTCCTGAATTGTCACCTGTGCCACTTGAGGCATGCAGCTGTCCATGCATGCGGTGATGTGTGCTCACCTTGATGCTCAGGGACTCCCAGCAGCAGGAACACAAGACTCTACTGTATGGGACCGAGCCTGCCAAGGCTCTCTTTCTCACCAGGAGAGCAGCATTTTGGAAAGACATAGTCCTCTAAGGTATCACACATCACATCGAAACCTTGTTGAGACAGAGGGCAGGAAACAATCGGCTTTTGAGGTTCACAAACACATGCTGACGGGGGAAGTATTTCTGGGGAAAGGTGGAGAGAGAAGACTTATGGGTGTTGGAAGAATCGAAGAGAAGACTTAAGGGTGTTGGAAGAATCGAGCAATGATGCCTGCAGAGGATGGGGCACACCACAGCCAGAGAGGAAGAGAATGTGCCGGAGACGGGACAGAGACACTGACCAATGGGCCCAGGGCCTGAGGCCAGCTGCACCCACTCCTACATGCCCAGGGCCACAGGAGCCCGAGCTCATCTAGAAGACTGGGCAGATGAGGCTCTCGTCATTGCAATTGCAGCCTCTGCTGTAGTAACCTGCAGCCATTTTTATCTAGCTAGCTCACATTAGAAATTGCCTCTGGAAAATAAGCCTGGATTTTTCTCCTTTTGGTTATTTTTTTTTTTGTCAGAGGCATATGGAGAAAGTGAGCCCTGCTCAGTTCACAGAGCCTTCCCTAAGAGGGACACGTTATTGCCACCCAATCTCTGATTCGAAGGCGCCACCAGGCATTGATTGCCTCTCAGCTGGATAATGAGATGGAGCTTGCATCTCCTCAAATTGCGAGGCAGCTGTGGATACCTCTCCAGACTTGACGAGCTTGTGAACAGGGATGCAATTTCAGGGAAAGATGATTACATTCCCAGTAACCAAGGCTGTATTAAATTAGGCCATTTCGACTATTTCAATCAGGGTGAGAATTGGCTAGACACATGCACGTCACCAGTCAAAAAGTACTATTATTAAATGGCCTTGCATTTCCTTCCCCTAAAGTGTAATGAAGATAAACAGCGTCAAGGCCAATACAATTTATGAGGATGGAGCGATGTCATATTATGTGTCAGTTAGCAGCTTTGAAGAATAGGAGAGACACTTCTCCTACAAGCCGCCTTTTGGTGGCCGCACTTATCACGATCTGCGGGTGCTTTCGGTGAAGATGCGGCCTGGATGTGTGTGCACTGTGTGTGCGCCAGTGTCCAGCATGTGCCACACAGCTGACCAATACAGGGAGGGGGGACTGAGACAGGTGGGGACTCAGAGGAGAAGAGAGAACCCAGAGTCGGGGGGCCTGAGCATAGTTCCTGCACCGTCCAAGGAGTTCACGACAAAAGCAGATGGTCACAGGCTGTTTCTGCCTCCTCTTTCAGCTACATCAATAAGGTCCCACGAGAGACCCCAAAGCCCTGGAGCCTGGAAGCTTTGTTTAAAGATGTGGAGTCAGGAGAACACTCCAATTGAAAGCTGATGGTTTCCCTGAGTGGGAGTCACTGCACAGGTGCTTTGACAAATACATTCTGTCCTTTAGAGCCCCTTGTGAAACACAGGCAGAAAAAGCAGTGGGTACTCGTTATACCACTGGCCAGAAAACACGGCGACTGCAACCATCAGGTCAGAGTAAGGAAGGCTGGACCAGGCGTCTAGGCTGATGTGAGGCTGCAGACTCCAAGGAGGCAGCCCGTCCTAGAGAGGGCAGGGCTGGTACAGTGGATCAATCCTGGCCAAGCCACTTTAGATACGGGGCAGGGAACGTGTCCGTATCTAATCGCAGGTCCTCCTCTGCCAAGTGTGAAGCTCTTCATTTAAAGCCCAGACCCATTGCTGTGTTAAAAGATTGTTTATCTCAAGAAAGAAATGTGCCCAAGAAGATTGTCAGTGAACAAAGATAGAGAAGGATGAAAGAAAAAAGGAACAGGTAGCCTTTGGATGGATGTAGGTCTGAAGGTGATGTTTCTACAAACGCAAAAAACAAAACGTCAAATGCTAGCAAGGACTTAGTCCAAATATCTTCCAAGCCTCCTTCCTGTGAGATGCAAGTAGAAAGGAAATGCCTCCTTTCTCTCCACCACCCCGCCGGCCCTGCACTGTACATCTGTCGGAGCGTGGGCAGTTCTTGCAGCCTTGCAGTCACTCCCAGTCCAGCTGCATGCCGCCACTGTGGTCTCTAATGAATGCTACAACTCCCCACCCTCCACTCACACCCACCGTGTTGGTGTCAAGCTGCTGGAGAAGGTGAGGCCTGCAGCTCCCCTCCTCCAGCTCCTTCTACTTCCACACCCCTGCTGTCACAGGTCCTTCTGAGGTCGGCGTGGTAGGTGGAGCTCGGGAAAGTGGGGAGCTCTTCTGGGGCTGGTAGGATGGCCACTGTGCCTGTGCCTTGGGGCTGGCTCCTTGATCTCTGGGCAGCACTGCAGGTGCCTGTGGTAGGGAGGGCCCTTCTTCCTGCTGCTGCAGGTGGCAACCCCTCTGAGGACTTTGGGCTCCTCCTGGCACGGGCAGCAAGCCTCCTAGGGAGGGGCCCTGATCAAGGATTAAGGAGCAGGCTCTCTTCCAGGCCCACAAGTATCTGAGACCCAGGAGACGGTGGGTCCCATCACCCAGTACAGCCTGCCTATTTCCTCCGCTATGAGCCCTGCAGTCCCCAAACTCCAGGGCAGCCCTGTCACTCTTTCCAGATTGGCCGTTCCTTGGGAAGACATCCTCCTTCCTTTGTCCGTGGGAGGGGAGGGAATGCTGAACCTCTGCATTCTCGACCCACTGGTGGACTCCTGGCCTCTTCTTGTATAATGTGCAGCAGGAGCTGAACTGAATGCATCACAGTCCCTCTGCGGGTCCTTCCCGGGGGGGCCCAGTGCCTTTATTTGGGGTGTGAATAAAGCACAGCGCCACTAAGGATGCCAGGGGACTCACACTTCACCTTCTGCACACCATGCTGGTCACTCAGCGACTCTTGGGAATTAGCAGTTGACCCAGTGTTTTCACAGACATTCTCTCATCTGTGGGTGTCATGACCAACTATTGTCCTACAGTTCTTGAGATCTACAGAGGATGGCAGCTGTCATGGGAAGGGGTAAGACTTGAGGCCTGGGTTTCTACCTGTCCAGGGCAGTAGATGTGACAGCCCAGGCCCAAGCAGGCAGGGAGGTGACCACTGGGAGGCCCAACAGCAGTTACTGGCACCTGGTCATAGTGAGTCAGAAAACAGAATCACCTGCAGGACCAGAAGCAGTGCGGGACCATAGTCACCCAGTTCAGGGCAGGTCTCAATCATAGAAAGCTAAGGGTGGGCCCCAGATGTCAGAACACACTGGGGTAAGATGGCTGTGGACTCTCAACCACAGGCTTCTCAAATTCATGTCCAGTGACCAGGCTTATCCTAGAGTCTGGACACGGGCAAAGTGGGACAGTGACCAGAGCCCCAGGGGTCCCAGAATTGGAGGCAAAGCACCTTCAGAAAGTGTTTACACACAACACACACACATCACACACACTCACAAACCACCTACGGCATACATATACCATGCACATATATACAAATGCACACACACATAGCACACATACACACCACACACACACCACACACAAACTCACAAACCACACATAGCATGCACACACCATGCACATATACACAAATGCACACACACAGCACACATACACACACACATCACACACACAAACCACCCACGGCATACATATACCATGCACATATATACAAATGCACACACACATAGCACACATACACACCACACACACACCACACACAAACTCACAAACCACACATAGCATACACACACCATGCACATATACACAAATGCACACACACACAGCACACATATCACACACATACCATGCAAACTCACGAATCACACATGGCATACATACCATGCACATATACACAAATGCACACACACATAGCACACATACACACCACATACACCCCATACACGAACCACCCACGGCATACACACACCATGCACATATACACAAATGCGCAGATGCACAGCACACATACACACTAGTAGATTAAAGGGCGGAAGGTGTAAGGTTTTGCAGCAGCCAGAGCTGACCTAGTCTTGGGGCTGTTTACCAGCCCCTCATGCTGCTAGCCCACAGGACCGTGATAGCCAGGAGTGTCAGCAGTGTATCACCTTCTAAGACCTCACAAAGTCAAGATTCTGTTAAGGGAAAATGACTTCAATGAAAAGAATATTCTCTTTAGACAGTTTCAGGCCTCAGGAAGAACATTATTAAAATGATAATGGAAAATGTTTACTGAGCTACCTTAAGATGCCACAGTAAATGCGAATGATGCCTATGTTTATTGAAGTCAAACGAATGCACGTAGAGCTAACTGCCTGAAGGGAGAGAAAAAGAGATGAATAATGACCGTGTAACATGCCAGGCATTGTGGTTCATACAAGATTTGGTACAGAACTGAATGAACTCATTATTGCTTCCTGCGGGGGTTACTGCTTGCAGTTTTCTACTTTGTCAACGTACGTATGTGTTGACACTGAAGTTTCTTTGCAAGAGGCAGAAATGAGCGCTTTTCCAAATGTGGACAGGGATGACTTACTTGCTAAGGACTGAAATGCATGAATGGAATACCCATCATAATACAGTAGCTGCTTTGTTTCTGTGGCCTTACTGTTCCAGATAGCTAAAAAACAAAATGTGATGTGTGGGTTTCACCTTTCTGAATCCTCCCAGCATGAAAGAAATGGCATTACATCAGCAGCACTGGGCGTCAGGATGGTGATGCATTACTGAGTCATGAGGCGCCTTGGACTCTGGGACCATATCATTCACTCTGCTGGAGAGATAGTCACACCCGTGTCACCAGGGTGGTCAATGACCTTTCTACCATGTTTTTCAGTTTAGAAGCAACGTTATTAAAAATCCATTACTCAACTTTCCTGCATGTAGACCTCTACTATCAAATCTCCCAGGACAGCCTTGTAAATGCTTAGATAAGGCGTGGGCTTATGATGCTTTGTGGCTTTTCTCCCATTTCTGTGCAGGCAGAGGGACAGACTACAGAATCCATTCATGTCCATGTTGGACCACACGCTTCATTTTTCTGAAGTGTTCAAGGAAATGGTGTATAATTCTTGAGAAAATATTAAAGGCATACCAAAAGGCATATCTTAAAGACAGGCACATACTGGAGTCACATAAACAAGGTACAACCCCAAATTGACCTTGTGCAAGACTTTTTCCTCTAACTTCTGGGTGAGCCTGCTCAGTGTGGCAGCTGCCTCTGTGGAACTACCTCCCGGTGTGGACATGGAGTGGACTGTGGAGCTCTCTAGCCTTAAGACAGGACCACGGAGGGAAGCACACAGGCATAGCTGAGAAACAGTTAAAGGGACAATGGGAATGCTGGACAAGGGAATGGAGAGAAGGGCTTAAGAAGTTGGCTGGGTGTGGTGGCTCATGCCTGTGATACCAGCAATTTGGGAGGCCGTGGTGGGCAGATCACCTGAGGTCAGGAGTGGAAGACCAGCCTGGGCAGCATGGTGAAACCCTGCCAGTACTAAAAATACAAAAATTAGCCAGCCATGTTGGCAGGTGCCTGTAATCCCAGCTACTCAGGAGGCTGAAGCAGGAGAATTGCTTGAATCTGGGAGGTGGAGGTTGCAGTGAGCCAAGATTGCGCCATTGCACTCCAGCCTAGGTGACAGAGTGAAACTCTGTCTAAACAAACAAACAAACAAACAAGAAAAGAATAAAGTCTGTGTTGTTTTGCATTTAAAATCCTTTGAAGGATACTGTGAGATTTCAAAGGTTACTGAGATAATTAAATGAATATGCTTTAACTTCAAGACACATGCAACTATTCTATTCCTGAGTATATGAATAACATGTATTTTCATATTCTTCTAGCTTTATATAATTGACAAATAAATATTGTATATATTTAAGGTGTATAACTTGAGATTTTGATATACATTGCAAAATCATTCCCATAATTAAGCTAATTAACATATCCATCACTTCCCATAGTTACCTTCGTATGTGAGTATGTGTGTGTGAGGAGAATGCTTAATATCTACTCTCTTAGAAATTCCAGGTGTACATTATTGCTCACTATAGTCATGGTGCTGTACATTACATCTCAGAACTAACCCCGCATAACTGAAGTTTTGTACAGTTTGACCAACATTTTCTCACATTCCCTGCCCTCAGCCCTTGGCAACCACTATTCTAATCTCTGCTTCTAGGAGTTGGACTCTTTTAGATTCCACATATAAATGAGGTCATGCAATATTTGTCTTTCTGTGGCTTATTTTACTTAGCATAATGTCCTTCAGGTTCATCCCATGTTGTTGCAAATGACAGGATTTCCTTCCTTTTTAAGACTGAATAGTATTCCTGTGTCTGTGTGTGCATAGACATTTCTTCATCCATTCATATGTGTATGAACACTTAGGGTGACCTTGGTTATTGTGAATAATGCTGCTGCAATTAACATGGAATTGCAGCTACCTCTTCGGCATACTGATTGCACTGCCTTTGGATATAAAGTGGACTCTTGCACAACATGGGTTTGAACTGCACAAGTGCACTTACACATGGATTTTAGTCTGTCTCTGTCATCCCTGAGACAGCCAGACCAACCCTTCCTCTTCTTCCTCCCCCTCAGCCTACTCAATGGGAAGACAATGAGGATGAAGACCTCTATGATGATCCACTTACTTCCACTTTCTGGTTTTCTTAACAACATTTTCTTTTCTCTAGCTTATTTTGTGGTAAGAATCCAGTATATAATGCATATAACAAATGAAATGTGTGTTAATTGACTGTTTTTGTTATAGGTAGGGCTCTCAGTCAACAGTAGGCTGTTAGGAGTTAAGTTTCTGGGAAGTCAAAAGCTATACATGTATTTTCCACTGTGGGGGTATTGGCCCCCACAATCCCCATGTTGTTTAAGGGTCAACTCTATATTGGGATTGCTGGATCATATGACAGTTCTATTTTTAGTATTTTGAGGAACCACCATACTGTTTTCCATCATGGCTGTATCAATTTACAATTCCACCAACAGTGTGCAATGGTTCCCTTTTCTTCACATGCTCACCAACACTTGTTATCTTTTGCCTTTTGGGTAACAGCCATTCTAACAGGCGTGAGGTGATATCTCACTGAGGTTTAGATTTGCATTTCCCCGACAATTAGTGATGTTGACTGTTTTTCATATGCCTGTTGTTCATTTGGATGTCTGCTTTTGAGAAATGTTTAGGTCCTGCGCACTTTTGTTCAACTTAAAAATTTTCTTCCAATTTGACATTATTTTAGGCTTAAGAAAAGTTATAAGAATAGTACAAAGATCTCTCAGATAACCAGCAGATCACCAAATATTATGACAACATTTTACTACATTTGTATTGTCCCTTTCTCTCTCCATCTCTCTCCACCAGATATGCTTATATTTTCTCCATCAGTCAAGTTGCAGCCATGTGTCCCTTGGCCCATTTTTAATTGCTTTTGTTGTTGAGTTCCTTTCATATTTTGGATATCAACTTCTTATCAGGTGTGTAGTTTGCAGATATTTTCCCCCAATCCATAGATTTTCTTTGACTTTGTTGATTGTTTCCTTTGCTGTGCAGGTTTTTAGTTTGATATAATCCCAGTTGTTTATAGTTGCTTTTGTTGCCTGTGCTTTTGGGTTCATATTTAAAACATTATCACACAGATTAATGTCATTGAGTTTTCCCCATATGTTTTCTTCCAGAAATTTATAGTTTCAGTTCTTACCTTTAAGATTTTAATCCATTTTGAGTTAATTTTTGTATATGGTGTGAGATAAGGGTCCAATTTCATTCTTTTGCATATGTCTATACAGTTTTCCCAACATCGTTTATTGAAGAGACTGTCCTTTCCCCATTTCATGTTCTTGTCATCTTTTTTTAAAAATTAATTGACCAGAAATGCATAAATTTATTTCTGAGTTCTCTATTCTGTTCCATTGGTTTGTGTTTCTGTTTTTGTGTCAGTAGTATGCTATTTTTTAAACTGTAACTTTATGATATAACTTGAAATCAAGAAGTATGATGCCTCCAACTTTGTTGTTCTTTATGAGAATTGTTCTGGATATTTGGGATCTTTTGTGGTTCCATATAAGTTTTAGGATTTTATTTTTCTATTTCTGAGAAATATATCATTGAAATTTTGATTGGGATTACACTGAATCACTTTGGGTGATCACTTTGGGTAGTATGAACGTTTTGACAATATTAATGCTTCCAATCCATGAACATGGGGTATTTTTTCATTTATTTGTGTCTTCTTTAATTTCTTTCATGAATATTTTATAGTTTTCAGTTTGGCTACATTTATTCCTAATATTTTTGATGCTATTTTAAATGAGATTGTTTTCTTAATATCCTTTTCAGATAGTCCATTGTTAATGTATAGAAAGGCAACTGATTTTTGCATGTTGATTTTCTGCCTCACAACTGTACTGAATTTGTTTATTAGTTTTAACAATTTGGGGGACTAGGGTTTTCTACATATAAGATCATGTCATTTGCAACCTGAGACATTTTTAGTTCTTTTTTTCAGAAGATTTGGATGCCACCCCCCCACCCCCGACATTTTTATTGCCTTATTGCTCTGGCTAGGACTTCCTATGTTGAACTGAAGTGGCAAGAGTGGACATCCTTGTCTTGTTCCTGATCTTACAGGAAAAGCCTTCAGCCTTTCACCATTGAGTGTAATAAATGTGGGCTAGTCATATATGGTCTTTATTATTTTGAGGTACATTTTTTCTACACCTAATTTGTTGAGTTTTTTCATGAAAATATGTTGAATTTTTGGCAAATGCTTTTTCTGCATCTGTTGAGATGATCATAAGGTTTTTGTCCTTTGTTCTGTTAATGTGATGTATCATGTGGATTGATTTGCATGTACTGAACCATCCTTGGAGCCCTGGGATAAGTCCCACTTGCTCATGGTGTACGATCTCTTTAAGGTGCTGTGAAATTCATTTGGCTAGTCTTTTGTTGAGGATTTTTGCATCTGTGTTCATCGGGGATGTTGGCCTGTCAGTTTTTCTTTGTATTTTCATATTTTGAAGCAACATATGCGGTAGATTAAACACGAAAAAAATGACGGCAGGAGAGGAAGTTGCAAAAGACAGGTTTTTCTTGTGTGGGGAGGGTGTCAGGCCTATGAAACTCCACCCCCACAAGTGTGTGTCTGCCAGAAAACAGCTCTGCTCTTGTGGAGCGGGCAGTTTCTCTGGAATCTCCATTTATAAACTGAACATTTATCCAGGCTTTCTGCAGTGCAAAATGACAGATAGCAGGGTGAGTTTACAAAATCATGTTTCATATATTGTGAATATTTTAAAAGAGTGACATATGTACACCTATAGAAAAAGTACATAAACTTACCAGCACTTTCATATACCTTAAGAAGTGCATTTCATTTTCTACTGAGAGAGTGCAGCAAGCATTTGAGAACACAAGATTATTTCTAATTGAACTTCACACAAATTGAATTGATGAACTTTACACAAATTGAATTGACTGCCGTACGACTCAGCGTGTAGGTGTTTTAATATTTTTAGAGTCAGCCTTCATTGTCATTAACCATGCCAACACCCTAGTACATGTGGATAACTTTTCTTTTACTACTCACATAAACAGACTCATTCTTCTGGAGTTAGAGCCAACATAGCAATTAAATATTTCTTTTTGTTTTTCACTATTTTAACCAGATTGTCTGACTCACCTTGGACAACATGGAGGAATCTCAAAATAATGAAACTCTTTTCTGGCTTAACTACCATCACAAAATGTAAACATTTTTTACATCTTCCTATTTTCATGGCATTTATCATCTTAACTTCAAAATGGAGATTTTTATAAAAATTAGATTTCATTATTACAACCTTATAGAATGGCTTGTCCAAAATAGGGTCAGAGGATAAGGAAACCTTCTGCAGAGCTGGGCTCTTGCTGATTGAATTCTCCGGGCTTCACCAGCCTTCCTGAGAGAGGTCAGGAGTGATGCTAGAGAGGTGCCTGGATGCGGGAGGAGGTGGCTTGGCTGGAGCATGAGGAAGTGTGGGGAGCTGTAACATTCCAGTGCGAGTATGCACAGGCAGAGTTCTGTTGGAAAGGCTACAGCTCCCAGAACACTCCTTTCCTTCACTTATTGGTGCAGGGAGGCACCTATTTCAGAAGAAAAGCAGGGCAAGGATGAGGGATTAGCACGAAAAGAAAGGAAGTCAGACCATGTATCTGTCACAAACACATTTTGGACAGGGCACCCACTCTACTCCCCTCTTGGAGATTCCAATACACTATTACACTGGAGGCTCTTAAAAGACTGATAGTAAAGAAACTTACTAAATTTATTATCCAGCTGTTTCCTGAGTCTGCCTGAAAGAACTGTGAAAGACAATTTGGGAAATCCCTGACCTAGACCATACAATAAGGTGGCTACTTTTAAATAATTTTTATCTGTTTTTTTTTTAAATAACTTCGTAACTTATTTTGTGTGTGTGCATGCACACATGCACACATGTACAGGCATGGCACTCCTATGTGAAATACTTTCTGTAGTTATGTATTTTCTGCTTTTTGTGTAGTTTTGTAAGTTCTTTGAGGCAATCATTTCAATCAACAAACATACATTTTCTGAATATCTTCCTTGTGGAATCTATGACATAGGGCATAACAGAAATCCCTACCTTTTCTTTGTAATACTTTCCCTGGCAGGGATTACATAGTGTGTATCCATCAAAACTTGCCAAACTGATTTGAATCAAGTTTCTTTAAAACAGAATATAGTATCATCACATCCCAGTGCCACGTAAGTGTGCTCATATTCTATTTTTTCAGGCATAATCATGTGAATAATTACGTCATGAGTGGTATTCACATGAAATGGGTTGCATTTACACGTGATTCCTCCTTGTATTCTTCCATGCCATGTCTTCTACTTCCTGGGAAATAGTGCCTTCCAGATCCAGCCCCAGTCACGTGAATTCCAGATCCCATTTGTGCCCTCCACGTCCATTGGGAAAGGGGATGGACAATTATTTCAGTGTGTCTAAAACCAAGTTTGTTCTCTTTATAACAAAATCGTCTTTCCTTCACTACCCCTTGGGTAAATATATTACAGTTTTCTCAGATATGCAGGTAAAAAATATCAGTTGTCACCCATTTGTCCTTTTTTTAAAAAAAACGTGTTTGGTGTTTTACTTAATACATGGCACCTTAATAACAAATGTAAGTTCCTCTATCTTTCTCTGTTACCAGAGACCTAGCTTTGTTTTTATAAATATTTATTTGTGTATTTTATCTTATTATACTTTAAGTTCTGGGATACATGTGCAGAACATACAGGTTTGCTACATAGGTATACACGTGCCATGGTGGTTTGCTGCACCCATCAACCTGTCATCTACATTAGGTATTTTTCCTAATGCTATCTCTCCCCCAGCCCCCTTACCCCTGACAGGCCCTGGTGTGTGATGTTCCCCTCCCTGTGTCCATGTGTTCTCATTGTTCAACTCCCACTTATGAGTGAGAACATGCAGTGTTTGTTTTTCTATTCTTGTATTAGTCTGCTGAGAATGATGGTTTCCAGTGTCATCCATGTCTCTGCAAAGGAAATGAACTCATCCTTTTTTATGGCTGCATAGTATTCCACAGTGTATATGTGCCATGTTTTCTTTATCCAGTCCTTTTATCTCATCATCAGCATGTGTAGGTCTGTGTCAAATCTGTCCCCATCTCTCAGCCCTGTCATCTCTGGCCTAGTTCAGATCCTCCCTAACTCTATTCTGGACAATAGCAGTCTTCTAATTTCTCACTATAATTATGGCATCTCCCCCACTTGGACACTTCAGGTTTATTCACCTTAAGAAACCCTAATTATACAATTTTTCTGACTAAAATCCTCAGTGACTCCCCATTTCCCATAGCATAAATGTCCCCTTGCTAAGCGAGGCCACCAGGCCTGTGAGTATGTCTGCCTACATGCCCAGTCTCAGCCATGCTCGACTCCTTTCCCTGGGGTGCTGCAGGTTAGTCTGATGCTTCTGGGACATGCCTGTCTCTTTTGACTCTGATTTTGCCTATAATTATGTCTCTGGTTGGAATGGGAACCTTCTTCCCAAGCCTTGCCTTACTCCTCCACATAGAATTAGTTGTTCCGTCCTCTGTGCTGCTGGAACATTTTATGAACATTGGGATTGCTGCCCTTGTCTACCAGATGTTAATATTTTGCAGATGTGTCTTCCCATGTAGGCTTTGTGTGGGGTTCATCCCTAGACCCTCAATGCATAGTACTGCCCCTGGTGCATGGGAGGAGCATCAGAGAGGGTGGGAAAGCTAACTCTGTGTGGAGAAGTAAGGCACAAAGTGTGTGAGTCGGTGCGGGCATGAGTATATGTGTGTGAATGTGTGTTGGGGGTGTATGTGTATTCTCACAGAATGCCATATTTCTAGCTTCCTCTGTGCTTTTTAAAACTGAGCCTCAATGGAGGGCCACTGACTCCCCTGGATTCAGAAAGTCTTTCTGTCTCTAAAAGAGTCATCCATCCTAGTAATACTTGAGCACACCTGTCCAATGAGATCAACAAGAATTCCCAAATTGTATTTATATAAACAACAATACCATTCCAAAAATAAAATTAAGAAAACAATTCCAGTTACAATAGCCTCAAAAAGAATAAAATACATAAGATTAATTAAACAAAATAAGTAAAAATTTTATACTCTGAAAACTACAAAATTTTTTTTTCTGCTAGAAATTTTTATGAAAACATATAGATAATGTAACAGTCTTGTCTCATTTAAATGAATATTTTCCTTCATGCTGATATATGGACGGTGGCTGAAAACAGCAAGATAAGAAAATTGCTTTCATTTGGAATGCTATTGCACTTGTGTTTCCTAAGATATTTCAGGGGTCGGTCTGGTGTTAGGACATTAATTCAATCTTCAATCAAATCAGAAGCACACGAATGTCCTACAAAATATTTTAAAGAAATTAAAGACCTAAATAAATGAAAAGGTATACTATGTTCATTGATCAGAAGATTTAATATTGTTAAGATGATAATACTACTCAAAGTAGTCTATAGATACGATGCAATTTATATGAAAAGCTTAGCTGACTCTTGTGTAGACATGGACAAGATTATTCTAAAATTCATATGAAAATGCAAGAGACCCAGAATAGCTAAAACAAAGAAAAAGAAGAATGAAGTTGAAGAATTCACAATTCTCTTATTTCCAAACCTAGTGGCAAAGTTAGAGTTATTAAAAAAGTGGTACTGAAATCAGGATAGAAATATAGATCAACAAAATAGAATTGAGAGTTCACAAATAAATCCTCTTATTTACAGCCAATTAGTTCCTACAAAGGGTCCCAAGACTATTCAATAGGAAAAAAAAAAGTCTTTTCAACAAATGGTGCTGGCACAATTGGATATCCACATGCTAAAAAGAATGAAATTGGACTACTTCATCTCACCATATGCAAATATGAATTCAAAATGGGACATAACTGGTACTGCAAAACTTTCAGAAGAAAACACAGCAATAAGTCTCAGGTTAAAAAAACCCTCTTAGATATGACACCAAAGATATAAATATAAAAATACACTTTATTAAATTTTAAATTTTGCACCTCAAAAATTATCATTAAGAAAGAGAAAAAATGATGCTCAGAATGGGAGCAAATGTTTGCAAACCACATAATCTGATAAGGGACTTCTATATAGGACATATTTTAAACCACTACAACTTAGTAATAAAAGACAAATAGTACAATTTTAAAATGGTCAGCAGATGGGAATAGATAATTTTTCCAAAGAAGATGTACAGGTGGCCAATAAACACATAAAAAGATGCTCAACATCAATGACTATGTAGGGAATTTAAATCAAAACCACAAAGTGATGCCACTTCACACTTACCAGGATGGCTCTAATAAAAATCAAAAATGAAAACTGCTCATGAGGAGGTGGATAAATTGCTGGTGGGTATGTAAAATCATATAGCTACTTTGGAAGACAGTCTGGCAGTTCCTCAAGAGATTAAGCAAGGAGATACTGTATGACCCAGCAGTTTCACTTCTAGCCAAGGTAAAATAAAAACATGTCTACATAAAATCTTGAACATGACTGGGCATGGTGGCTCACACCTGTAATCCCAGCACTTTGGGAAGCCGAGGCGGGTGGATCACCTCAGGTCAGGAGTTCGAGACCAGCCTGGCCAACATGGCAAAACCTCATCTCTACTAAAAATACAAAAAATTAGCCAGGCATGGTGGCAGGCGCCTGTAATCACAGCTACTTGGGAGGCTGAGGCAGGAGAATTGCTTGAACCTGGGAGGTGGAGGTTGCAGTGAGCCAAGATTGCACAATTGCACTGCAGCCTGGGTGACTCTGTCCCAAAAAAAAAAATCTTGAACATGAATGTTCTTAACAATATTATTCATATAGGATTAAAGCTGGCTTTGGAAATGTGCATCAATTGATGAATGAGCAAACTTCTAAAGTATAAAAGATACTGTATAACTCCCAATAGAGAGTGAAAGTAAACTGACGAAATATAATCTATTCAAAAGAAAGTAGGAAGAGAATAAAGGAGGAGAAACAGCAAAGTGGAGCAAATTAAAAATTTGATAGTAAGCTGGCAGATTTAAGTCCAAACATATTAGATATATTAAAAAGGACTAATAGCTATAATTAAAAGACAAAGATTATCAGATTGAACTTTGAGAAATCCTGAAAATCAACAATATACTATTTTCAAGAAACATATTTAAAACATAAAGATACAGAAACTTCGAAGTCCAGTGAAGGTAAAAAATATATCATGACATCATTAACCAAAATAAAGCATGTGTACCCATATTAGCATTACAATATATGGACTTTAAGAGAAAATAAATAATATTTAATAGTGGTTAAATATTTTAATTTGGGGGAGTTAATGATAATTCTAAATTTGCATAAACCTCAATGGACAAAATCACATGTAGAAATAGAGAAATCCTCAATCATTTTGGAAGATCTTTATATACTTTTTGAATAAATAGACAAAAAAATCACTACATAGTAAGAAGATTTGAAAAACATGATTGATGAAGTTGATCCCACTTCCTAAGAATTCAGAAAAATAACAGTAAATTCTTTCACTCAGAAGGTTAACATGAAAAGTCAACTGTTTCCAACAAATTTTGTGAGGATAGCATTGCCATGACACTAGAACCAGATAATGATATTTCAAGAAAGGAAATTGACATGAACACTTCAACAAAATATTAACTATCCGAATCTAGCAATAAATGATAGCAATAAATGATTACCCCAGGAAATTACTATAACATTTGTTGATTAATAGATATGTTTTACCTTATTAACAGAGTAAAAGAGAAAACAGTATGATCATCTCAATAGATGAGGTAAAAGCATTTCCCAAAATTTGACACCGGTTCATTATAAAACCTCCAGGCAAATTTGAAATAGAAGAAATTTCTTCAACTTGATAAAGGGTACCTGACAAAACCCTCCAACTAATATCACACTTAATGATGAAAGGCTCCCAACATTCCCTCTAAGATCATGAATAAGAGAAGGATATCTTCTCTTGCCACTCTCATTCAGTGTTATGCTGGACATTCTAGAAAGTTCAATCAGACAAGGAGAAGAAATAAAATGCAGGTGTTTTGGAAAAGAAGAAGCAAAACATAATCCTGTATGTAGAACATATTTAATTTATCTATAAAAGGTTACTTAAATTTATGTGACAGCTTAGCAATGTCACAGGTACAAGGTCAGTAAACAGAATATTAGCAATATATGATTCAAAATGAATTTTAAAGTGCAATACCACTTGTAATAAGCATGAAAATTTTATGGATAATTTTAACAGAATGTGTGGTGCAAGACCTGTATACTGAACACTGTTTAGAAAAATTAAAGAAGACCTAACTAAATAAAGAGATATACCAATGTAGCACATGGAAAGACTCATTGCTTTTGAATTCTCAATTCTTTGCAAATTGGCCTATTAATTTAATGCTGACTCCTTCTGAGGCCTCTCCCCTTGGCTTGAAGATGGTCGTCTTCCTCCTAGGTCCTCACAGGGTCTTCCCTTTGGGTATATCGGTGTCCTAATCTCTTAAAAGGACACCAGTTTTATTGGATTAGGGCCCACGCTCATCACCTCATTTTAACTTAATTTCCTCTTTAAAGACTCTACCTCCAAATATAGTCACATTCTGAAGTACTGGGGGTTAGGGCTTCAACACAGGGATTTGGGGGACTGACCGCATTGCAGCCCATAACCGACTTTATTTGGGGAGGGCCAAGCTCTGGTGCCATAAAGGGCCCTGTCCCCGCTCTGATGGCACACAGAGCAACCTCATTGGAAGGCTCTGGCATTGGGCAGCTGATCTGCCTTGCTGAGCTGATGCACTGACCTCTTGAAGTTCTACCCCTTGGAAGAAAATGATTGTATGTATGGACTATTTTTCTCTATTCCTCTGAAATATAAAAATGTTATTAGAATTGACACCCTCACCATTTCAACTTCTCTGTATAAAGGGGTCAGATTGTAGAAAAAGTCGAAAAAATAACTTTGAAGTTCCTTGTAGGAGGAAGAAAACTAGAAGACACGGCAGAATATGTGGAAGAGATCACTTGACTGGTTTCCAAAGTGCGCTTTGCATAAGGGGACTACATGTGGGCTCTAGCTGCCAGGGTGCCTGGTTTTGTTCAGGTGGCTTGATGAGAAGCCTGGACTAGGATGCGTGTATGCTGGGCACCTTTGGTGGGTTCCTCTCCCCAGGGCTTGTGCCGCCCGGAGCAGCAGAGCTGTGGAGCACACATCTGTGTGTGCTATAAGGCGGACATGTGCACAGGAGTGTATTCTGTCACTCCTTTGGTCCGTCTCTCAGCCAGCTTCTCCTCAGAACTGCCCAGGCATTGCCCATCTTCCTGAGGCTGTGGGTATGGAGTGCATCCCTCTTGTGGAGCTCTCAGGGGAAAGTGGTGTGTATAAGCCACTTCAGATGAAGGGGAGCTGATTTAGCTGAATCCTGGCTATGGGGCCTGGCTGGGGAGTAGGAGCTGAGACCAAGAGCCCGGCTTGGTGCATCACCTGTGCCCTCTGCCAAGGCTGGGTGTGGACTTGCTCCCAAGCTCCCAGCAGCCCCAGGAACTCAGATCTCCCAAACCCTCAGCTCCTGGCAGGTCCATGGCAGGGAGGAACACTGGAGACTGGGCTTCTCTGAACCTGGCCATGCTTCAGTAGGTCTTAGCCTTGGGTTCAAGGTGTCCCATAGTGTAAGCCCCACCACTGCTTTTTTATAAAGGGGTCTGTGGCAACATAATTTGGGAAATCTGCACATTATGCTCTCCAACATTCACAGCTGGTGCGAGTAATCCTGAAGTAGCAAACCTTGTTGAAATGTGTTTAATCCAGTGGTTGCCAAGCCTGATCACAAGCTTTAAAAAAAACATAACATTAAATCTGTGAGTGTCATGGGAACAACTCCGTAGACTGTGTGGGCATGCCTGCTTCTCCCCAGGAGGTCAAGGCGCAGAGAAGAAAGCACAGGGGAAGGGTCTCAGTGGTGGCCCTGGCTGGCCTGTCCTGCCTCCCCCAATCCCCCTGATTTGAACAAGCTCTCAGGGTAGATTGGAAGACCCCAAGATTTTCCAGATCAGGTTTTGGTTCTCATCAGAGCGAATGAAGATGGGTCTGCAGGAATTGCTCTGTGATGCCAGGAGAGGAGAAGAGACATGATTGATCATCATGCTCCTCTTGGGACTAGGCGTTGGGAATACCTGATTGCTCTGCAGTGGGAGATTCAGGGACACAGGTATCTTTCCAGGGCTGCTCTTCATGTCAAACATGAAGAAACAAAACCATCTCAAAAGCTGTTCTGTGCTTTGCTGGCTAAATCTAGAGCCAAGCAATAAAATACCTGCCACGTGGTTTACAAGGATCAATAATTTAACATGATAAATTTAGGATGACACAATATATTCCCTGCTAGAGATTTAAGCCTACAGCAGGTACAGGAAACTGACAGTGCACAAATGTTCTACAGTATTCCATTCCTTTGAAAAAGAAAATTGCAGCAATATTTCAGAAGTCATGCAAAGTGGATGCTTGAAATAAATGCTCAAGACAAATTAGAAGTATCTGCCCTATTTTTTGCTGTACCTTTGTATAATAATTTTAAAAACAAACAACAACCCCTTGATCTTTTTTTCTCACTTGGGCTTCTGAGATAGAGGTGGGGATGGGATGGCATATTTTGAACTGAAACAGACTGTGGAGATCCCTCGCTGTGATGAGTAGCAACTTTAAAGTTGAGGTCCTTTACACCAAGGCAGGATTATCTCTAATCTCATGCCCTCTGTGCTAAAATCTATGGTTTACCCCATGGGTATACTATTTACATCATCACTTAACTTCCATTGTAGGACAGCTTTCAGTAATGGAATAATTAATCGAATAATTATGATCTAGTCTTAACTATGTTCCATTGATATTGCCTTTAAGGAGTAACTCTAATTCCATCCTTGCCTTGGACAAAATAATGAATCTCTCATCTCAGCTACTGTAACTGTAAAATAGAGAAGGAATATTACAAATGCAGACCTCATCGGTGTGATACAAGGATTAGGTGATAATGAATATTTAGTATGGTTGATCGTGCCTGGCCCAGGAAAGGCCCTGCCTCAATATTAGCTGTTATAGGAACAAAGATTCACACAGGCCTATGAATGTTTAGCCAAGAGAAGTGCCACCAACAGATGGACTTTGATATTCCGGATGGCATCAGGTACATTCCAATGCCCATGAGAAAGCTAATGATGAGTACTACTGAAAAGGAATTTGGGAGCCAGAAGGCGCAAATGGTTCACCAATATGCCTAGCTTGGTGGAGAAAAAAGGTTCACTGATGAAGACCTCAAATATATACACATGAATCGCAGGGGTCACAAAAATGTTGTCTAGGCAGGTAGAGCTTTTTAGCATGAAGGATCACAATGGCTCAGGAATATCCTCCGCAGCTGGTTTGTTCCCATGTACAACGCGGAAAGATCTTTCATGGTTATTCTATGAGTTAAGACGGTGCATTGCCCTGTCAGGGAAAGCCCAGAGGAATTTTTGAGAGTGTTGGGGATGGGGGAAAGGGTGGCAGGGCCGGTGCCTGTAAAGATCAGCACCTCGAAGCACTGTGTGTGCAGATGCCCAGGATGGGTGGGAATCTGGAGAGAAGTGGGACGGGCAGAGGGAGACACTTCAGTCACAAAGTGCACCATTCAGGGATGTGCACATAGGCCACAGACAGGCATAATTCATACATGACAGAGGTCTAACACATGCAGTGAGGGATGCAGAGGCATGGGAACGCAATAAGGTCTCTGGTGCCAGATCACACATGTTATGCCCTGCGGGTTATACTGGTGCCGTCTACCCCTAAA
Source organism: Homo sapiens (assembly GCF_000001405.40). Classification (NCBI taxonomy): domain Eukaryota; kingdom Metazoa; phylum Chordata; class Mammalia; order Primates; family Hominidae; genus Homo; species Homo sapiens. Next base: position 27,439,843 of record NC_000015.10, on the reverse strand, counting down.
TGACGAGATTTATCACCTGGACTAATAACCCAGTGATCTGTCTGGAAATAGAGTTGGGAGATCCCAAATTCCAGTTGCAATCTCAGAGAGAAAAAAATAGAACGTGCCTGCAGCTATGATGGCTAGAACTGTGTTGTGTGCTGTGTACACTGTCTTGAGCAAGACCACGTGGAAACAGCACAGCTAGCAGAGGGTCCAGAGACTGCAAAGGCCTAGGGCAAGAGACTACCACTGTCCAGCCAGCCCTGGGAGGATCATGGACCACAATACATACATGGACCCCCGTGGGAATCACTATTTTTGATGTCAGTTCATAAACACCTGAGAAATGGTGTAGGGAATGATTCTGAGGTAGTGTTTGTCTGTAGGGGGACAGATGATCAACATCAATCTGCAGTAAGATGACTTGTGTTTTGGTTTCTCATTTCAAACAGTGTATTATCTACTGGAAATGAGAGTTACATGCTTTAGCCCAATGTAATCATATAATCAAGTGTTTTCAATAAGACTTTTCGCTTCCACCATCCACCCATCTCTCCTTTGTCCAACTCTACTTTTTAACCAGAAAATGCAGTTTTCCTCTCATGCTGTTGAGAAGAAAGTCGCACCCCAGGGACCTGACTTGGGGGAGTATTGTGATTACCATGATTCATCTCCCGTTTGGAGGAGTTCCTGTTAGCATCAAGATCAACCACAGGAAATGGAGGCTGCTGGTTCTGACCTTGGAGGAGGCCCTTGCATTAGAAGTAGAGAGGAGGAGGAGAAAGTTAACAGCAAAAACAAGGTGGCTTTTCCTGTTGGCCTCTTTCCCCAGGTATTCAGCTCTCCCCAGGCTTTCTCCACCGAATGCTGTGTGCACTCTGAACATGCTCCCAGCACTTAGTCTGAAATTCCAGCACTGGGCTGGGAAGTGCTTCCCGGAGCAGAGCAGAGTCAGAGCCACCAGGGAGACAACAGACACCTGGCTCCTCCAGGTGAGGCTGAGAAAGCTCCATGGTGCCCTGGGCCAAGCACCCTGGCTGGGTGTCACGGTCCACTTGTTATAGAAAATCATAATGTACTCATGATGATTTTTGAGATTCAACAGTGGCTGTTTTGAAGAAAAACGTAGCTCTTGGCATTCTCTTGGTGATTCATCTTCTGGAAGTGTGCATCAGGCGGTAAAAGAGATCTCCAAGGCAGAAGGACACCCGGAGGAGCAGGAGGCGGGCTCCCTGCAGTCTCCTGTTCTGAAGGTGATGCTGGCATGCAGAGAGACGTGTTTGCACAAATGTGGGCTCTGAGCAGACGGCAGCCCTCCCCTGCCTCAAGCAGAGATGTGGGGTGACTGTTCCAGAGCTGGAAGCATTTCGTAGTTTTCCCAAGTTCACTCCGACTTCGTAGGCAATGCCAGCCTATGTATTACCATTAGAAAGTTAGCACAGGACTTCAAGGTATTTATTTTACTTTGACTTTTAAGTATTATTTACTTTTTATGAAATTCTTCATAAAAATGTAAAATGCACATAAAATTGTTAGCAAGCAGCTTTAAATTTAGCTAAGCTATTAAGAAAATTCTAAACAGGTCTCTGGTGAATGATAAATTTATTAGAAGTAAAAAATTCCAGTGCCAGTTAAATAATCCCACGCTATTTTCAGGAGAGTGGAACCTGGCTGGCTTCTGACTTAGCGTACAGAAATCCTGTTCATGCAGGAAGACTGTCTCCTTCAGCAGCCCATCTTGGATCCCTGGAGCTTCTGATATCTTTTGGATATTTGTCCCCTCCAAATCTCATGTTGAAATCTGATCCCCAATGTTGGGGCCTGCTGGAAGGCGTTTGGGTTGTGGGATGGATCCCTCATGAATGTCTCAGTGCCCTCCTGTCAGTGATGAGCGAGTTCTGGCTATACTTGTTTTGGAGAGAGCTGGTTGTTTAAAGAGCCTGGAACCTCCTCCTCTCTCTTGCTTCTTTTCTCACCATGGGATCTCTGCACACATGGACCCCTCTTACCTTCTGCTATAAGTGGAAGCTCCCTGAGGCCCTCAGCAGAGGCAGATGCTGGTGCCATGCTTCCTGTACAGCCTGCATAACCATGAGCCAAATAAACCTTCTTAAAAAATAAATCACCCAGCCTTAGGTATTCTCTTACAGCAACACGAATGGATGAAAACACCTACATAGGCCCAGATCCTGTGTTTACTTCTGCATCTTCTCCAGACTGGCAGCTTCGCTGAGTAGCAGTGACCATGTCCAGTTTTCTCCAATGCATGTCTAGTTTTTGTTGTGGGCCAGGACATAATGGGTGCTCTATACGTATATGCAGAACAAAAGAATGACTGGAAAAAAAATGCTTCTACTGGAAGTGAGCAGGGACAAGGAGTAGAGGGAATCTGAAAGTAGAAAAAGATCTGTGGAAGAAAAAGCCATTTTCCTCTGTTCTAAGTGAAATGGAATTCCAACCAATCTATTTTCCAGATAATAAAGAAATTTGTTTGTACCAAAAATACCAACATAAAATAAAATTTAATTTTACTCCATTTGTTAATTAGAGACATGTTTAGGGGTTCTGTGTTCAGCAACTCTAAAACATATAAACTTGTTTGCCAAATAAATTGAATCATGTGAGCAGAGAGCAGGTTCATTCTAAAGTTTGAGTTTTGATTTTTTTTTTCAATTTCTCTAAGCAGCTACAATTTTAACAGGTTAGCATGTGTGTGTCTGTGACGAATTTAAAAGATGCTTGGTGATAACCAACATTATCCAAGCTAAGCCATTAGAACATGGAAACAAACAAATATCACTGCTGATGTCCTCATGAGAATGTGGGCGCTCTCTCTCTCTCTCTCTCTCTCTCTCTCTCTCTCTCTATTTTTCGGAGAAGGAGTCTCACCCAGGCTGGAGTGCAGTGGCATTATCATAGCTCACTGCAGCATTGAACTCCTGGACTCAAGCAATCCTCCCACCTTAGCCTTCTGTGTAGCTGGGACCACAGGTGTACGCCACCAAGCCCGGCTTGCCCCTGGTTTTTTTCTCCCAACCCTCTGAATGTTCTCTGTTCTTTTCTTGCCATCCCTTGCACTGCTCTTTTTGGCCAGTTCATGCTGGGAAGCCCAGCCATGGTCTTGGTTGCTCTGATCTGCACTAGGAGCCACATTCAGTCCCATGGCTTTAATTCCTAAGGATGTGTGGACAATTGTCACATTATTTTTCCTTCAGACTCTTCCAGCCCTCCAGGTTAATCTACCAGTGAGTAACTCAGCATCTCCACTTGTATGTTTAACAAGAGTAATCATGTTACCATGTTACTATGTCCAACATGTTTGACATTGCCCCACAAACCTATCTACCATCTCAGTAAATGGTAACTGTACATGTCCGGTGTTGAAGCCAAAAGTGAATGTGCAGTACTTTTTATTCATCTCCTCTGTAACACCCATCTCTCATTTGCCATGGACTGAATGTTTGCATCCCTCCAAAATTCATGTGCTCAAATCCGAATTCCCAGTGGTATTTGGAGGTGTTACCTTTGGGAGGTGACAAAGTCATGAGGATGCAGCCCCTTCCCCCCACAAGTGGGATTAGTGCCCTTATTATAAGAAGAGACAGAAAGAGCTTGTTTCCTTTCTCTGAAGACAGCCATTAGCAAACCAGGAAGTGGGCCCTCACCAGACGTCTAATCTGCTAGTGCCTTGATCTTGAACTTCCCAGCCTCCAGAATTGTGAGAAATGAATATTTGTTGTTTAAGCCCCCCAGTCTTTGGTATTCTACTGTAGCAGCCTGACCTGACGAAGACACTCATCAGCAATTGCCATCAGGACTAATCCCCATATCTATATTGAATCTTGTCACTGCTTTCCATCTCTACCGCACTATGCTAGTTGAACAAAGTCCCATCACCTGGTACTGGTAACACCACTCTGGCCTCTCCCTGACCCTGTGCCATTCCCAGAGCCCAGGGAATAGAGCAGCCAGAGGCAAGTTGGATCCTGCTTTCCCCACCTCATACCTGATACAGGGGAGGGGTCACAGGACTGTTTATGGAATTTCTAATAAATGTTTAAAGAATGGCTAATGGACATAGCTTAGAGGCATGAAGCCTATAAATTCTGGATGCTAGCCTCTCTCCGGGTTTAGAATAATCACTTTAGTAGGCCTCAGTGGTGATTCCAATACCGTAAACTTAAGTTACTTGACCCAGATAAGATAACGAGAGACTAGCATAAATATTTTAATATTTAAAGTACACCCTCTATTCATTCCTCATACACTCAACCTATTTATTGAGCACCTATATTCTGGTGGTCAGAGACAGACAATTTAAAAACAGCAATAATCCTCAGTGGCAGAATGTGCAAGCCCAGAAGCAGGGTCAGTGCACCATGGCTGTGTGCAAAATCTGGTCTCCACTCATTTTTTGTAAATAAAGTTTTATTAAAACAGAGCAACACACATTTATTTATTTACACATACACTACAATGGCAGAGTTCAGTAGTTGCAAGAGAGACCATACGGCCCAAAACGGCTTAAAAAAGTAAATAACAATATTTACTATTTTACCATTTGTAGACACTTGCAAAACTCTGCTAGAGGGAAAAATAAAATAGTATAAAAGGGGGAAGAGTATATAAAATAGTATAATATAATTTATATAATTATATATAAAATATAAAAGACTATATAAAATAGTATAAAAGGACACTGATCTGTTATATAGGGTGATGGGGAAGACCCTTAGGACAAGGAAAACTTCCAGAAGAGACCTACAAAAGTGGGGCACAGGTCCTGCATATTCAAGGGAAGAGTGGTCCAGAAAGAGAGGGGAGTGAGCACAAAGGCCTGGCACAGAGAGAGCTTGGCATGTTGCGTGAACAGCTGGGGTATCAGGGCTTCTTGGCCTGTTGGATTGGAGAGAAGTGGAAAGATGAGAGCAGGAAGGAAACTGAAGTAAATGCATAGATGGACACATGGCTAACCTTCAGTCGGACTCCAGCTACTTGCCAAAGGGGAATTATTAAGGCAGGATGCAGGAAGATACCTTTTCTCCTGTTAGACGTCAAAGAAGACCCTCCAAACCAAAGCCACCAGAGGGGAGGCACTGCTCCTTCCACTCCCTGCCTACTCTATGCCTCATACTGCTGCTCTGGCCAGGTGTTCACTGCCCTCAATGGCCAGTGGCACCGGCTCTGATGGAATATGAAGGGACTGTTGTTATTTCCACAGACTTATACTTTATTTGGGTAAGTTATATTATGTGCTATCATTTGTTTTCATTTTAAGAGGTAGTCAACATGAATTAGATTATTTCTGCATTCTGGATTTGATAATTATATATATAATGTATAATTATTTATTATGAATTATTTTATGTAAAATATGAAATGTTTCAAATCATTCACTGTTCACTACATACTATAAAGGCCAAAAAGGCTGAAGAGATGGAACCCAGGTGATCAATGGTATAGTACAGACCTCTTTGTGTAAGTTAAACGTTTCTTTTGCTCTGTGCTTGAATTCTGCCGGTTCTCAAAGGACAAGTTATTTTTTAGAATTTTATTTGACAAAATGATTATCCATAAATGTTCATTGTCCCACCATTTTCATAGCCACAAACACAAACTTAAAACACACTAAATGAATCTGCTGTTAACATCTGCATCAATATGCTGTGCATTATTCTGGGCCACTTATAACGTGTGTGAATATAGTGTCACTCCAGCAATTTCCATGTTTATTAAAAAGCTTTAGTGAAGCCAGAAATCAGCTGCATGAAATTTGCTATAAAAATGTATTTCCTGGGTCAGATCACGGCCTTTCCATAGCAGCGCTGACATGGATAACTAATGAGGAAAATGCTACAAATAAAAGAGCTCGTGTAAAGTCCTATAAGAATTGTGTTTCCTAAACATTTGGGGGGAGGTAAACATTTGCTAGAAAATTATTAATCTTAGCTTTTTAGTGTTTGTAAACAGGACACAAGGTCGACTTGAAATTCACCTTTTTCAGAAAGTTTGAGAGTCTAATAAATGATTTATGACTGTGATTCCCCAGAAAGTTCAGAGTCAGCATCTTTGGAGGCAGGTGGCCTGTGAGGATTTCCACATACCTTGTACTGATTTATTCAGCAGCCTCTTTCCATAGCGATAGAGCAATTGTTTGCCATATGAACCATATCGACACACATACAATACTAGCCCTAAACTCATGGAGGGCTACATGGCATCTGTTGAATTAGGGGATCATTTTGATTAATTAGATTTAAAAAGAGCCACCAGAGGGGAAGCTCTTCCAGAATGACAGAGTAAAGACGTCTGAAAATCCACTTCTCCATAAAGGCAAAGAGAACATTGGCAAAAAATATCAAAATCAACCTTTTCGGAACTCTGAAAATTAGCCAAGGCCAGGCAACAGCTGAAGGAGAATGTCCAGGGGAATGTGGACAGCCTCTAAAAGCTGGCAAGGAAAGGCATCTCCTAGAACCTACTGAAGAAACACAGGTTTCCTGACATGTTGATTTTAGCCTGGTAAGAGCCATTTTCGACTCCTGGCCACCCAAACTGAAAATAATAAATTTGTGTTGTTTTAAGCCACTAAGTTTTTGGTAGTTTGTTACAGGAGTAATATGAAATTAACACATATTTGGTACCTGGAGTGGGGTTCCGCCTTTGGGCATGGGCAAAAACTAGAAGCATTTTGAGGACCACGTTAGAAAAAGCCTAGATTGGCCTGGAAAGATTTTGAGTACCAATATGGTCACTAGCAACTCTGGTAATGAGGACTCAGAGGAAGTGAGGAGCACAGTAGAGAAAATCTACATCATCTTGGAGTATACATAAATCATCGTAAACACATTCTTGGTAGAAATATTGGTGGTGACAGTGCAGAAAGAGATGAAGAACATGTTCTTGGAAACTGGGGGAAAAGACTTCTTGCTGTACAGTGGCAGGAAGCTTAGCAGAACTGTGTTAGACTGTCATGTGGAATGCAGAATTTGTAAACAATGAGTTGTATATTTAGGTGAGGAGATTTCCAAGCACAGTTAGAAAGAAGCAACCTGTTGAAGGAGCAACCTGGTTTCTTCTTGATGCCAATAGCAAAATGTGATAGGAAAGAGATACATTGAGGAGATAAACTGCTAAGCAAAAAGGAACCAGGATTTCATGATATGAGAAATTTTCAGCACATCCAGATTGCTAAAGATGCTAAATTTAGGAAATTCAGTCAGAAAAATGTGTTCTGGAAAAACCTGAGACTGTGGCTGGACTATCCTTTGTACCTTCTAAACATCAAAAGGTAGAATATTCAGTCACACAGAGGCCTCTCTGAGGTGATCAGGCATGTGACTCTTGGATCCACTCAGCCATCTCAGCTAATGAAAGAATGCTAGACAGAAATTCAAATCCACAGAGAGAAATAAAGAGCACCAAAGGCTCTCTGAGGGGCAAATGTAAAAGACAGTGTAAATGTATTCTGTTTGTAACACTTTTCTTTTCCTGTCTAACTTGAAAGGCAACTACATAAAGTAATAATTACATAAACGTGTTTATGGGCTTATAATATACAGATAAGTGATTTCTATATAATTAATAGCACGAAGGTAGGATGAAGGAAAGCAGCTAGCCATATCGAAACAAAGCTTGTATATACTATACTGTCAAAATTAAGTCAATATTAATCCCAACTACATTGTTTTAAGATGTTAATTAGCCTAACAGACATATATAGAAATCATCACCAAACAATAATAACACAATACACGTCATTCTCAAGCACACATGGAATATCCTACAGGATGAGCCATAGACTAGGCCATAAAATAAGCTTCGATAAATGTAAAATTATTGAGACCATGCTATGTATGTTCTCCAACCACAATGGAATGAAATTAGAAGTTAATAATAGGAATAAATTTGGGAAATACACAAAAATGTGGAAATTAAATACTACACTCCTAAAGAATAAAAGGTCAAAGAAGAAATCCCAAGGGGAAAAAGGAAATACTTTTAAACAAGAGCGTGAATGCAAGGTTGGTTTAATATATGAAAATCAGCTGCTATAATACACTCTTAATAGAATAAAGGATAAAAATAACATCATCATCTCAAGAGATTCACAACAAGCTCAGCAAAACAAACACACATTCATGAAAAAAGCAGTCAGGAGATATGGAATAGAAGGTACTTTCCTCACAGTGATAAAGGGTGTCTACAAAACCTCACAGCTAGCAGCAAATGGAATGGTGCAAAACGGAATCCTTCCCCCTTCCAACAAGACAAAATGCCTGCTCTCAACACTTTTATTCAAAACCGAACAACAGGTTTAATACAAGACAATTAAGCATGAGAATGAAATAAGAGACATGCATATGGAAAGGAAGAAGTAAAACAATCTCTATTTATAGAGAGCATGATATCATATATAGAAATTCCTAATGAATCCACAAAAAAACGATTAGAATAAAAAAGTTCAGTAAAGCTGCAGTTCACAAGGTCAAAATACAAAAATAAATTGTATTTCTATATAATAGCAATGAAAAATCTGAAAGGCGAGTTACAAAAATGATGCAATTTTTAAAACTTCCAGATGGCACTCACTTTCCAGAAACTGGAAATCTTATTCCAAAGTTCATATGGAAATTCAAAGGACCCAGATTAGCCAAAACAATCTTGAAAAAGAAAAATAACATTGGAGGACTCAAACATCCCAATTTCAAATCTTACTAAAGAGCTTCACTAATAAATATAGTGTGCTACTGTCATAAGGATAGATGGATAGACAAGTAAAACAGAATTGAGAGTCTAGAAATAAACCCTTATACTACTGATTTATTTATTTATTTATTTATTTATTTATTTATTTATTTATTTATTTATTGAGACAGGGACTTGCTCTGTCACCCAGGCTGGAGCACAGTGCAGCGATCTCGGCTTACTGCAACCTCTGCCTCTTGGGTTCAAATGATCTTCCTGCCTCAGCCTCCTGAGTAGCTGGGATTACAGGCGCCTGCCACCACACCCAGCTAATTTTTGTATTTTTAGTAGAGACGGGGTTTCGGCATGTTGGCCAGGCTGGTCATGAACTCCTGGCTTCAGGCGATCCACCTGCCTCAGCCTCCCAAAGTACTGGGATTACAGGTGTCAGCCACCGTGCCCAGCCTAGTCAATTCATTTTTGACAAGGGTGCCAAGACAACTAATTGGGCAAAACAGTAGTCATTTAAACAAATGTTGCTGGGACAATGGGATATGCACATGCAAACAAATGAAATTATATCTCTTCCTCTCATCATATACAAAAATTAATTCAAAATGGATCATATGCCTAGATGCCAGTGTTAAAACTATAAAACCCTTAGAAGAAAAATTAGAAATAAAACTTCATGATCTTCACTAGACAATGGAATTTTAGATAATACACCAAAAGCAAAAACAAGAGGAAAAAAAAGGTCAAATTATTTTTAATTTAAAATTCCTGTGTTTGTGATTCAAAGGATACCATTAGTAAGTGGAAAGTCAACACACAGAATACAAGAAACTATTTATTTACCATACAATATGATAAGGGAGTTGCATCCAGAATGTGTAAAGATATTTTACAACTCAACAATAAAAATGATAACCCAATTGAAAAATGGGCAGAGGATTTGAGTAGACATCTCTTCAAAGGATATATATGAATGGCCAATAAGCATCTAAAGAGATGCTCAACATCATTAGTCATTAGAAACATGAAAATCAATCACCTTGAAATAAATACCACTGCACACTCATTGGAATGCCTAAAATAGAAATGACAGGCAATACCAAAGTGGTGAGGATGTGGAGAAATTGAAACCCCCTTACACTGCTCATGGCCTTGCAAAATGGTGAAGCCACTGGTAATTTCTCAAAATGTAGACATATTGTTTCCATAGGACCACAGAATTCTCCTGTTAGGTATAAGCCCAACAGCACTAAATAAATAATCAAAACCTGCACATGAATTTTCACAGCAACATTATTTATAGGACCAAAATGTAAAAACAATCCAAATGTCCATCAGCCACAGAATAGATCCATGGCTAATCACATTGTGGTATATCCATGCGATGGAATATTACTCAGCAATACAAAGGAATGCGGTACTAATATAAGCTATGAGGTAGACAAACCATGAAAACATTATTCTAAGTGAAAGAGGTCAGTCACAAAAGGCCATATATCACATCGTCCATTTAGACAAAGTGTCTGAAAGGAAGCAAATTCAAGTACCGAGCATGATTGCCAGGATCTGGGGAAAGAGAATGGGAAGTTAATATGTATACTGGGCTTATTTTTAGGGTGATGAAAATATTCTAAAGTTAGACAGTGGTGACAGTTGCAGAATTCTGTGAACATGCTAAAAATTACTGAACTGCATACTTTAAAATGATGAAATTTATGGCATGTGAATTATATCTCATTAAAGTTGTGACTTGAAAATGAGTCACCAGACCACCAGGTTATGGGAGACTTAGAGCCCAGTCCAAGCCCTTCTGCTAACTCTGAAGGACTCATCGCCATGTAAGCCTACCCAAGGTCAATCATGAATATATTGTCTTCATGTAGGACACGGAAAGGTCAAACAAGGGCATCTCCTTTCCTTCCATTTCTCAAGACTATAATAATATGAATGATTTATCTCCAAATCTTTACAATATACAACACATACAACAGTTGTGTTTTGAAACTATTAGTGTGGTCAAGTAATTCTCACTCCTAGATTTCAATTTCTAAGTAAATGAAACAATTAGGAGACTCAGTGAGATCTGTCATTCTAGATTGCAAAGATCTATTTGAACCTTATCTATATGTATAAAACTATATCTTTTAAAATATATTCATCAGTATGTTTTCTGAACATGGCAAAGAATTTGGCTTCACAGATTCGTACCTGACTTTCCTCCCTGAATTGTAAACTCTGAGAGGTTTAGACAAAATGTAAGCATGTCACCATTTAGTTATAGGAAATCCATTTGCAAACTGATACAAATTTAAATTGACCTAATTTTTTTTCCCTCAGCTCCAGATTCTTGTTTGTTTGTGTGCTTTTTCACTCAAGACACCTAATACCACATGCCCTCCTTGCTGTCAGCTAGCAAAATTAACTAGGCCTGTGGTGAAGGAAGACTTCCCCCCATTAAGTTTGTCTCTGCTTCATTTTTGTCTGGTGGACAAATTAGAAAATATCAGGTTAAACTGGGAGGGACAACCCCCCTAAAAATGAACAAGAAAAGTTCAGCTTCTTACATATGTTATTTTTGAAAATTACACAAATTCCTCAAATAATAAAAAAAGTGTCAATAAATTGGCAGAAAATTGTGCGTGGTCTCACTGGAGGTTAGCTCCTTCTCTTGCCCACCTAATTCACATTCATGTGAAAACAGGTGGGAGCTAGGGCTCAGCTTATGTTCTGTCAAATAGTTTCAGACAGAGAAATAATACATTCAGGATGAAAATAACCCTTGGCGATATATCTCTGGTGTGAATTACATGACAGTACTCTTAATCATGCTTCTCAGCTATATTTTCACACTTAGTGGGAACTGTGCATGTTATAATCACATTCCCTGGTAACAGTTTTCAAATTGAAGCCCTACCCACCATCCTAAAACTCACATTTTAAGGGGTTATTTGCTCAAGTCTTTAAAATTGCACAGTCCAGGAGCAGTGTCTCATGCCTGTAATCCCAGCGCTTTTGGAGGCCAATGCGGGAGGACTGCTTGACGCCAGGAGTTTGAAACCAGCCTGGGCAACATAGCAAGACTCCATCTCTACAAAAGAAAAATTAAAAAAAAATTAGCCAGGCATGGTGGCATGGGCCTGTAATCTCGGCACTTTAGGAGGCTGAGGAAAAGGATTGCTTGAGTCCAGGAGTTCAAGGGTGGAGTTAGTGATGTTTGCACCACTGCACTCCAGCCTGGGAGACAAAGCGAGTCCATGTCTCAAAAATAAATAAATAAGTAAAATACATAAAATTGCAGAGAAGTTGAAATTAACAAGCCACTCCAGAGGATGGGAGGGATGTATCTTGATTTATGAAAATATTCAGGCATGTATGACAAGAATAAAATTTCCAACATACTGAAGAGAAAAAAATGAACTACTTAATCCCTGTGCTTGATTCCAATTTGTTCTGCAAGAATTTGTAATTTGGAACAAATGATTAAATGAGAACTGAACATAGAGGTAGGGCTTTGAATCCAAATCTTGTAAATGACATTTGTTAGATATAGATCTGGGGCCAGCTGCTTGCCACATGCCTAGTAATGATAACAAGGAAAATAATAGAAGCATTAATTACATACTTCTTCTGTGTCAGGCCTACATGAAGCTGTTTATATGGTGTACTGTGTTTAAACTACATCACAGCAGAAGGTAGGATAATTCCCCATTTTACAAAGGGCCTAGAAAAGTGAAATAGCTGATCCAAATGCACAAGGCGGAACCTGAACACAGACTTTCTAATAGCAAACTCTTGGCAGCCACACTGCACTGTTTATTGCCAACTTCATTAGGCTTTAGGTTCCTTATCTACAAAATGGACTGGAAAATATATACCTCAAATTTTTTAAGATCAGATAAGATTGTGTATATAGAAAGTGCTTTTGGATGAATTAGGACGAGGCATTTAAAATTATTGCACATTAAATATTAAAGGATTAAAACTCAATTACTATAAAACACAATTATAAAATGATATTGTTGCATAACACCATCATAAATCCTATATAAAGGAACATATTTAGTCTCGCACATTTGGATCATTTCCCAGAAGACAGAGTATTGAAACAATAGAATTTTATTTCCTTTTCTAATGGAGCCCAAACATCAGATGTTTGGTTGTCATTCAGAGCTCTTCAAAAAACATGAATGCTACTAAATGCTAATGTAACAGGCCTGATTCCAGATGGCCTGGAAAATTTATGGGACTGAAAGCATCATGCAGTGCAAGCCACAACCAGAGAAGCAGCAGAGGAACCCTTGAGAAACTTCAGAACAGCTTTCTTTTGAAATTTCTTTTGGAGACAGAGTCTGTCTCTGTGACCCAGGATGGAGTGAGGGGCAGCATCATACCTCACTACAGCCTTGGGCTCAAATGATCCTCCTGCCTCAGCCTCCTGAGTAGCTGGGACTACAGGTGTGTACCACTATGCCCAACTAAATTTTATTTTTTATTTTTTATTTATTTATTTTGGTAGATATGAGGTCTTATTATGTTGTCCAGGCTGGTCTTGAACTCCTAGCCTCAGGCCATCTACCTTCTTGACTCCCGAAGTGCTGGGATTACTGGCATGAGACACCACGCCTGGCCAAGAAAGGCTTTGTCTTTTCTTTCTGTCATTTTTATAATTTGGCACGTGTGTTTCGTACCTCATGGCTTTGGCTGAGTTAGAGGTTGTCACTGGATTTCCCATGGGACTGCCTGGCATATGTCCTCAGCTTGGACACCAGGCTTCTGCAAAGTTACGTCTTTGGAAGTGTTAAAATAACTAACTCTTTTTTTCCTTCATGCCCTTTTGTGTGGGCAAACCCAGACAAGCACATTATAAACCAGGCTTAACAAAACGAGGCCTGCTTTATCAGGTGGGCAGAGTCAAAGGAGATGAGTTTTGTCTCTTTTTTCCCACCGCCCATTTTCATCATCAGCTCTTCTCTTTCTGTGGGGAGGAGGCACTTGGTGATAGACTCTTCATCTTGGACCAGAGCTCTGATATCCTTAGTTCCTTGCAGAGATTCTGACATTTTTATTCTAGGAGAGGAATCTTCAGGTATATCTGAGTATTTGAATTCAGTATTCAAATTGGTGCAAACTCAGACTGTGCTAACGAGTGATTGTTCTATAACATTCTCCATTGCCATTGTAGCCAGATGGGAGAGGGTACTTACCACACTCTACCAGCTTCTTCACTTGTTAAGTCAAGCTCTTTTCAAAAAGTGAACCACTTTCTTGTGTGTTTAACAAATCAAAGTTTCAAACATTGAATAAAAGAAGAAGATTTAGAAAAGAGTTATATCTAATTTACTAAAAATAGTCCATTCCAGGCCTAAACCTTCATACCAATTACACAACAACAATTACATTCTCCAAGGAGAAGTAATAAGAAAAGATTCTCTCAAAAGCCTTATTTGCACCAACTTAGGAACAACTTTTAAGTAGCTGATGCAAGAATAAATAGATTTTAGGCTTTATGAAATACAAAGTTTGAGGGTTCCATCATCACTTCTTTTTTTTTGAGATGGAGTCTCGCTCTGTCACCCAGGCTGGTGTGCAGTGGTGTGATCTCAGCTCACTGCAAGCTCTGCCTCCAGGGTTGACATCATTCTCCTGCCTCAGCCTCCCGAGTAGCTGGGACTACAGGCGCCCACCACCACGCCTATTTTTTTTTTTTTTTTTTGTATTTTTAGTAGAGACACGGTTTCACCTTGTTAGCCAGGATGGTCTCAATCTCCTGACCTCGTGATCCGCCTGCCTCGGCCTCCCAGTGGCCACCATCACTTCTGACACTAACTGCAAGGTCAGGGATCCCCAAAACCATCCCCAGGTTTACAATTCACTAGAAGGACTCAGAACTCAGTCAAGCCACTTATACTCATGGTTAGAGTCTATACAGCAAAAAATGCAGACTACAGTCAGCCCAGGGCACAAGTACATACGGCAGGGTCCAGCAGTCAACAAGCCAGGGGCCTCCAGCTGTCGTCTCCCAGGGGAGTTGTACGGACAGCTCTTACTTCTTTCAGCAAGATGTATGAAAAGACAGCTGGAGTACTGCCAATCAGGGAAGCTCACCTGGGCCTTGATGTCCAGAGATTCCACTGGAGATTTGTCTTGGAGACATGGTCAAGTGCAAATGTGACTGGTTGAGTCTTAGCCCCTCCAGAGGTCAAGCTGATATCGCATGGCCCTAGGCCCCTGCTATGCTCTGAATGTGTCCCCGTAGTTCATACGCTGAAATGTAATCACCAATGTGATATTATTAAGAGGTGAAACCTGGCCAGGTTCGGTGGTTCACGCCTGTAATCCCAGCACTTTGGGAGGCCAAGACGGGCAGACTACCTGAAGTCAGGAGTTCGAGACCAGCCTGGCCAACATGGTGAAACCCCATCTCTACTAAAAATACAAAAATTAGCCAGGTGTGGTGGCAGGCGTCTGTAGTCTCAACTACTCGGGAGGCTGAGGCAGGAGAATTGCTTGAACCTGGGAGATAGAGGTTGCAGTGAGCTGAGATCATGCCATTGCACTCCAGCCTGGGTGACAAGAGTGAGACTCTGTCTCAAAAAAAAAAAAAAAAAAGGTGAAACCTTAGGAGGTGATTAAGTCATGAGAGTAGATCTCTCATGAATGGGATTAATGCCCTTATGAAAGAGGTACAAGGGAGCTGTCTCCCTCCCATCTGCCCTCCGACCCTGCCATGTGAGGACACAGCAGCTAGGCACCATCTAGAAGTGGAGAGGGCAGCCCTCAGTAGACACTGAACCTGCTGTCACCTTGATCTTGGACTTCCTAGCCTCCTTAACTATGAGAAAGAATTCTGTTATTTATAAATTACCCAGTCTTGGGTATTTTGTTATAGCAGCACAAATGAACTAAGACAGCCCTAGCTACAAATCACACTATTTGCATAGGCTATATGGTGTGACCCAAGACCCCATCATAGATCACACTGTTAGCATAAACTAGCTGAAGTGGCCCAGGGACCCCAGGTAAGCAAAGACGTTCTCATCAAGCAGGACATTCCAAGAGTTTAGAGATTACCTTCCAGGAGCTGGGGGCAAAGGTTTGCTCCTTTCTTTGGGCAAAGTTAACTCTTTCCTGCAGGAGAATATACTAGCATAGTAAGTTGAGCACTACTGACATTTATTGTCTGTGTATTATGTTTCAACTTTATGCTGAAAAATTCATGCCAATTAACTCACTTGGCACTTAACTGCATATGCTAGCTACTATCATCAATCCTATTTTGCAAATAAGAAAATGGAAGCTAGGTGTGGTAGCTCACACTTGTAATTTCAGTACTTTGGGGGACCAGGTGGGAGGATTGCTTGAGTCCAGGAGTTTGAGACCAGACAGGGCAATATAATGAGACATCATCTCTACAAAAAAAAAAAAAAAAAAAAAAAAAAAGGAAAAGAAAAAGCCAGGTGTGGTGGTGCAAGACTGTAGTCCCAGCTACTCAGGAGGCTGAAGTGGGAGAATCATTTGAACTCAGGAGGTCAAGGCTGCAGTGTTTCGTGATTGTGCCACTGTACTCAAGCTTTGGCGACAGAATAAGACCCTAAAACCTCGTCTCAAAAAAAAAAAAAACCAAAAAACAAGAAAATGGAGAAGTAAATGGATTGCTCAAATTCTCACAGATCATAATAAAATGTTGAGTCCAGATTTGATAATAGACTGCATAATGCTCCTTTCCCTACATATAGGAACTCACTGTGAACTGATGTTTAAAGCATCATTGATAACACAAGCTTAAGGAAAGAGTTAACAGAGCAGGTCTCATTTCTCTGTATTTGTGTGTCTTTAAGGAAGCCTGAAAGCATGACTGATTCTTGCCCAAGGCTTGGGAATTTGGCTCTCTAGAGGTTTTTTTTTTTTTTTTTTTTTTTATCATAATGACTTTTTTTTTTTTTTGTATACCTGGGACAATGAACCATGCCATTCCAGCTTGTCAGGATTCCTTTGCACAAGCATAACTCTTGATGATGTACACTGGGTTTCACTGTTGGGAGCCCTGAATTTCAGTTACCCTGGCTGGTCATATAGTAAGATGTGTCTCTGTGGCCAGCCCTTTATAAAAGCCCTGGACCCCCAGGTTCACACTGGCTTCCCTGAGCAGAGACATTTAACTCATGCAAGAGAGAAAGCACTCCTGTGTGGCCCAGGATAGGGGTGGTCTCAGAAGCCAGTGCTTGGCCACTTTGGACTTCATTCAATGCATCTTTCCCAGTTGCTCTTGCTCTGTATCCCTTGGCTACAATAAACCTTAGTCGTGAGTATAACCTGCTCTTTTGCCTTGTGAGTTCTCCTAGTGAATCAGCACACCTGGGGGTGGTCTTGAGACCCTCAAACAAGATTAAACCCCTGCAGTCTTCTCTTTAAAGTCACTGATTTTTGTCACATTATTGATATCAATGTTGAACATTTTAAGCCTCAAAAAACAAACAGTATGACAAAGAAACCCAGTGGGGGAAAGTAACACTAGAAAAGATGAGTGTTTAGTGTCCTTAGAAAACTCAGTGTTGACAGAGAGATAACCCACTCCCATGGATGCCTCAGAACACTCAGTATTGGTGGATACAAAGCCCACTCCCATGGATGTCTTAGAGTACTCAGTATTGGTGGATTTATAGCCCACTCTCATGGATGCCTTAGAACACTCAGTATTGGTGGATATGCAGCCCACTCCCATCGATACCTTAGAACACCCAGTATTGGTGGATACGCAGTCCACTCGCATGGATGCCTCAGAATACTCAGTATTGGTGGATACGCAGCCCATTCCCATGGATATCTTAGAACACTCAGTATTGGTGGATACGCAGCTCACTCCCCTGGATGCCTCAGAACACTCAGTATTGGTGGATATGCAGCCCATTCCCATGGATATCTTAGAACACTCAGTATTGGTGGATTTATAGCCCATTCCCATGGATATCTTAGAACACTCAGTATTGGTGGATATGCAGCCCACTCCCCTGGATATCTTAGAACACCCAGTATTGGTGGATATGCAGCCCACTCCCATGGATATCTTAGGACACTCAGTATTGGTGGATATGCAGCCCACTCCCATGGATATCTTAGAACACCCAGTATTGGTGGATACTCAGCCCATTCCCATGGATATCTTAGAACACCCAGTATTGGTGGATATGCAGCCCACTCCCATGGATATCTTAGAACACTCAGTATTGGTGGATATGCAGCCCACTCCCATGGATATCTTAGAACACTCAGTATTGGTGGATATGCAGCCCACTCCCATGGATATCTTAGAACACTCAGTATTGGTGGATACTCAGCCCACTCCCATGGATATCTTAGAACACTCAGTATTGGTAGATAAGCAGCCCACTCCCATGGATATCTTAGAACACTCAGTATTGGTGGATTTATAGCCCACTCCCATGGATGCCTTAGAACACTCAGTATTGTTGGATATGCAGCCCACTGCATGGATGCCTCAGAACACTCAGTATTGGTGGATTTACAGCCAACTCCCATGGATGCCTGAGAACACTCAGTATTGGTGGATTTATAGCCCACTCCCATGGATGCCTTAAAACAGTATTGATGGATACGCAGCCCACTCCAATGGATATCTTAGAACACTCAGTATTGGTGGATTTATAGCCCACTCCCATGGACGCCTTAGAATACTCAGTATTGTTGGATACGCAGCCCACTCCATGGATGCCTTAGAACACTCAGTGGATATGTGACACACTTACATGGATGCTTCTTTTGGGGAATATTGTATAGGTTAAAACTTTGGGCAAATTTTCTCTTCCACAGTGTTTTCGAATGATGGAAACAGAATGAGATGAAGACTGTCCATTGATATAAATAGTAACTCATTATTTTTCCTCTTTGGGAGTTACTCCTCTGTCCTCAAAGCTAATTCAATGTGTGGGCCTTCTTTCTGATGAGCACCAGGGAATTGAGACATTCTTCTTGGCCTTAACTATCAGCTCAGCAGTGGTGAGCAGCATGTGTCATCGGTCGAGGAGCCAGTATCCAGGGAAACCAGTCTTCAGATGCAGTGTGTGCCCTTCACGAGGGACTCAGAAGGTGAAGCACCTGAACATAGACTTTTCCATGCTTTTCCACAAAATTTAAGAGTTTCTTTTTTGTTTGTTTTAAATTCGAGTGGCACAAAACAAGGCTCCTTAACTTTTCTGAATGAGTGAAGAGTGTAAGAAGGTGTCAAATATCCACAAGCCCCGAGCACATTTACTTATCACACAGAACTGTTTCTTCTTTTGTGTATTTCCTTGGCACTACTTTTATTTTTTAACTAAACTTTTTAGTTTTTCTTTGCCACATAGTTTTGTGAATGATAATGTGAGAAACTATAAATTTAGTCAAAGTATCCTGCCTGCACCTCTTTAATAATCACCAACTTCTTACCATTGACTCACTTATAACCGTTTCCAGATTTATGGAGGTAAAATTACAAATAAGTTACATACCTTTAAGGTGTAAAACTTGACGTTTTGATATATGTATACACTGTGAAAAGATCACCACAATCAAACTAATTAACATGTCCATCATCTCACACGGTTACTAGATTTTTTGTGTGTGCGGTG
This sequence comes from Homo sapiens, assembly GCF_000001405.40. Classification (NCBI taxonomy): domain Eukaryota; kingdom Metazoa; phylum Chordata; class Mammalia; order Primates; family Hominidae; genus Homo; species Homo sapiens. The sequence goes on along the minus strand of NC_000015.10, from coordinate 27,420,536 downwards.
AGAACTCTTAAGATCTACTCTCTTAGCAAATTCCCGGTGTGGAATAGGCATTACTAACCATAGTCACTGGGTGTCCAGAACGTACTCATCTCGCATAACTGAAATGTTGAACTCTTCAACAAACATCTCCCCATTTCTTTCATACCCCAAGTTCAACTGTTTTACATTTCACTTATAAATGAGATCATACAGTATTTGTCTTTCTGTGTCTGGATTATTTCACTTATTTGGCTACATTTGATAGCATATTTTCTTCTTTTTCCTGCATTTTTCTTAGTGAGATTTATATTATTTTAATAATTTAAAAATCTGTCTTTCATTGTGTTTGAGAAATCTAACTGAAAGTCTATTCAGAGGAAAAAGAAAGAAGTTGAGAGAAGGAGTATTCTAAAAAAAGGATTTGCACGGCAGGGTCTACCCTCTACAGAAATGCTGCATTGAAGTAGTTGATTGTTTTTCTTTTGTTTTCAAGGAAAGAAAACAACCCTTGGTGTTCTTCACAGCCTTGGCTATTACACCCAGAATGGTAACACCCCAGTGTTTAAGTTAGTGGAAAACAGATTATGATTTTTTTTAAAAAATCAAACATTTGAAATATATGTCTCTTGGAGTGTTTTAAAGACATCAAAGAAGTTTTGTTCTTCCAGTCTATCCTATACATTTTTGTCAGCAAGTTCCCAACCCATTTGTCAGAAGAGCAACTTGATATGTTGCAATTCTAAACATCAGTGATCAAAATTCAACATGGTTTTGAGCCACCCTTCCGTTACTTGAGTGTGAAATGGGACTGGAATCTTGCTGACTACCTGCTAACCATCTCTTACCTCAAAGCTGTATTTTCTCCTTTAGTGAAAATCATAATGGGGCCATCTTTATGTTTAAGTGGACAAAGCTGCCCATGTGGTGTTCATGATTTGGCTACGGAGGAGTTATTGAAAGTCTCAATAATTCTCCGTTTAGTACCTTGCTTCCTATGACACTCGGAGGCTCCATCCTTTGGTAACAGCAACTTGTATTTCCTCTTGTGAGTGCAAATAATTCTAGGCTAGGCAGCCAGGATTGAAGGGCAGCATCCAGAGACCATGTGGAACCATTTATTCCTTAATGCTCATCAGTTTAACACAAAAGACTATGCTAGACAATTGAGATGGCTTAAAAGGAACAGGGGACAGAACATGAAAAAAAAGTTAGAAGAACCAAAGGTCAAAATATCAAAAAGCCTGAGGGCCGGGTGGTCATGAAAGCTGTGGCGTGGGTACCTGGAAAGTTGGGAATTGGTCAAGGACAGGACCATCGAGAAGGCCAGTGGGCACTGTAGGGCCAGAGCTGGAAGGTGCAGGAGGTGCAGGGGCCCTTCGTGTTTAGGCAGAAGGCAAATCAGACTGTGATTAAATGAGCCCTTCTCCCTTTCCAAGGATGAAGACCTATCGTACCAATGTGGCAGTTGAAAAGTGAATTGCAACACAATGAGATATATTCACATTAGGAGAGGAGCAGTACCTGTGCATTCAGAACTGGAACTGCAGGTGTACCATTACTGTTGATAGAGGCATCTCCTGCCGCGGTCCACCCAGCCTGAGCTGCCAGCCTGCCTAGCTTCTGCAAAGCCCCGAGTTGTCATGGCAACCACTTCCTGAGACTTGATACTCATGCCTGCAGACTCTGGGTCCTGACTTAAATAGTTTTATTTTTTTTAAAAAGGCATAAATTGATAGTGCAATAAAATCTGGTTTAAAGATTGCTTCCATTTGTGCCACAATTGCTCGGAGGTTCCCCTTCCCCCAGGTTGAAAAAGAAAACATTTTATTTTAGGTAAAAACAATGGCTTTAAAAATTATTATTCATATGTTTACCAACTAATTCCTTAATGCACTCTTTCTCTAGAAGCTAACGGGGGATATGGGACTCTCTGGGGCTCACTCTGCTGCACAGGCAAAAGCCTCACCGGTGGGGGCCATTGGAATGTGCCTGTGGCCGGGGGTGGCTTGGCTGCACAGTGGCAGCTGAATCAGTGACATCCTCAGAGTCAGGGCTGGTGCCTGTCTCTGCGGAGGGCACCATTGCCGTACCCTTGCTGCTTTCGGGTAACTCCCTCCTCACATTATGAATGGAGGAGCTCAGGTGCAAAGGGGTCAAGGAAGAGTCTGGGTGGCCAGGCCTGCTTCCTGAGGCCACGCACCTCTCCTCCTGGACAGCCTTGCTGTGTTTTGTCTCTTAGTGTGAAATTAATTCCCAGGAGATTGCTCCTTCCCTTCCCATTTTCCCCTCACTACATCAGAGCAACACCATCTTCCAGCTCTGCTGCTATGGCCTGGAGTACTTCTTGTTGGAGCCAGCACTGGGCTCACAGGGTCCCCTGGCCGGTCATCAGGCCTCCTTCCTTCATATTCATCTGAGGCAGGGCTGCTGCCTTCCCTCTGTTTCTCCTGTGAGCATTCAGTGCTTTGTAGGAGTTGCTTTTGCTCATGCTGATCTTCAGTGCGGGCCAATCCACAGCATCTCAGGCACATCTCCTGAGCCTCTGCAGGTGATGGACCTTTCCCACTCACCATATTGTCTGATCCTCGCAAAAGCCCCACAGGAAATAGGATGACTCGAGTATAGGCAAGAGCCTAGGCCCAAGGAAGCTAAGGGACTAGTCCAAAGGTAGTCACTAGGAGATGGAGAGATGGCTTTAGCCCATGCCACAGCTTGTGAAGTGTGCACCAAGCCACCAGCTACCGCATATCAGTGACAGGCACCTGGCAGATCTGATACAAAGGGAACCCCTGCCCAGTCCTCGCACGAGAAGAAGGGGAAAAACGAAAAATACACTTGACCCAAGATGATCTTGTTGCTGAAATGACAGAGGTAGAGACCCCATCAGAGACAGTGGCAGTAACCAGAGTGAAGGAGCATTTGAGGGAGCTTGTGGGGAAATAGGTTGACAGGAGAGAAAGCGGACACACTGTGAAGGCCGATGAGCTGTGGACCTGAGGGCACCTGAGCCCCGGGTGATGGAAGGATGGAAGTGGGGAGAAGCAGAAGTGACTTTTAGAGATGGAAAACATGACCTGCTAGCAGAAAACTGCACCCAGCACCCAGCCAAAGCTGTGGAGCTGGAGAGAGAAACACCAACAGGGGTAGAAGGAGGATTGGGAGCCATCAGTCACCTAGAGGTCATCGAAAATACATAGGCCAGATACTGTCTATTTTAAGAGGGATGAGTGTCACCCACATTAAGTCATCTCAAGAACGTCAACTAAGAAGTATCCTGATGGGGCCAGAAATCTCAATTTTGAGATAATTAGAAACATCTCTGGGCTCTACCCACTGCATACCAGCAGCACCCACAGCTCCTGGGCCAGAAATCTCAACTTTAAGATAATTAGCAACATGCCTAGGCTCTACCCACTGCATACCAGCAGCACCCACAGTTCCCAATTGTGACAAGAAAAATATCTTCAGATACTTCCATATGTTCTTTGGGATGGTAATATCACCTCCAGCTAAGAACCACTGCTCTAGAGAATTCCATTAAGGGGTTGATTACTTTATTTTATTAAACAGCCACCCTTCATTGAACATTTAAGTCATTTCCAATGATTCTTTGTGATTAGCAGCTTTGGATATACATACCTCTTATTATTTATATACATTCTTAGAAAGAGAATTGTGAAAAACAGGTAAAAAGCTGAGCAAACTGAAAATCAGTAACTCTTCTTGGATTCCTAAGAGAAGTGAGGTCACAGGGCAAAACCACCATCCCTGAAATGGACAGGCTGATCGGCACATAGGAAGAACCGCAATTTACCGGGGCAGAAACCCAGAGGCTAAAACCTCTGTGGGAACCAGTGCCAGGGCAGGGAAAACTGAACCATCATTGATGGACTTGCTGGAGGCTCAGTGTGGCAGATTCTGAGAGAGAGAAACTCCAGGGGGACTCAACCGTCGAAAACCCCCTCACTTTTGCGAGTTTTACCTGCCGAAGCTCTACCTTATTCTTACAGTGAATATCAGATAGGAGGCCCCTCATGCTCTGGCAGAAGGAGAAGAAAAGGAACCATTTTGAAATATGCCACAGCATCGGTTCTTCTTAGCAAAGGCTGCCCTCAGCAGATACTGTTCAAACACAGCCTAACCTGCTGGGGTCTTATCAGAGCCCTACTGACCTGAGGGCAGGGAAATACTCAACTCCAGCCCACCAAAGGCCATGCATCCCACCTAAGCGGGGAAATTCAGTCAAGTGGCACAGGCTCATTAAAAGCCTGAGACCCAATCACAGGACTAGATGAAGTTTCCCCACCCACACCTTACCACCATATGATTAGAGGCCATTTTAAAGCAGTTTCTCTTACCCGGTACATCCTGTCTGACTATGAAGAAAAAAGTACAAGACATTCTAATAGGCACAGTTTGACATGTAAGCCAAAAAGTATCTGAGACAGGTCTCAACCAATGTAGGAGTTTACTTTGCTCAAGTTAAGGATATTCCTGAGACACATGCCTGTGCCTTTCTTCGAAGATGATTTTGAGGGCTTCAACATTTGAATGGGAAAAGTGGGCTAGAAAGAGGGGGGGTATGGTAATCCATATGTTGCAAGAGGAAAGGAGCAGGTAGGGAAATACTCAATTATGTATTTATCTCATGCTCAGTAAGGTGACCATAGAGTAGCTACCTGTGAAGATCTTTAACCTTTTATCTGTGGCTATTTGCTTAGGACAAAAGGAAAGGCTCTTTCTTGCATGGCCCCACTTCCAGCTTAATCTTTCTTTTGGCAGAGTGAATTGGGGTCTTAAGTTTTCCTTTCACAGAAGAAACAGAGCAAGAGTCAGAATGAGACTCAGCTATGGAAGGGCTATTAGAATTGCTTGACCAGGAATTTATTTATTTTTTTAAATGTCAGTAGGTTTTGGGGAACAGGTGGTGTTTGGTTACATGGACAAGTTGTTTAGTGGGCATTTCTGAGATGGTGGCGCATTCATCACCTGAGCAGTGTACACTCATCCCCCTCCCACCCTTTCCCCCGGTCCCCAGAGTCCATCATATCATTCTTATTTAGGAATGTAAAACTACAATGATGAATATGCTAAGAGATCTAATGGATAAAGTAGACAACACGCAAGAACAGATGGGCGATATAAGCAAAGAGATGGAAATTCTAAGAAAGAACCAAAAAGAAATGCTCCAGACCCAAAGCACTGTCAGAGCCATGAGGAATGCCTTCAGGAGTTCACTAGGAGATGGATACAGCTCAGGAGAAACATCTCTGAGCTTGAGGAGATAGAAATAGACAACTTTAAAACTGCAAAGCAAAGAGAAAAAAACAGAAATAATGGAACAGAATATTCAAGAACTATGGGACAACTATAAAAGGGGAAACACATGCATAATGGGAATATGAGGAGAAAGAGAAAGGAAAAGACAACATCTTTAATACTTATTTAAAATTAATTTACTTTTTAATACTGATTTTGATAATCAAATTAAAATATTGACTTGATAATTTACCCAAATTAACGTCAGATACGAAACCACAGATCCAGGAAGCTCAGAGGACCTTAAGCAGGATAAATGCCGAAAATAAAAATTTCACCTGAACAGATCACTTTCACACTCCCGAAAATCAAAGATAAAGAAAAAATCTGGAAAGAAGCCAAAGGAAAGGGAATTGCTGTTATTCTGAAGACTTTGACACCTACTTTAGAGAGCTAGGAGGGCAGGGTCACCCAAGCTTCTGAAAAACACGGGGCAGGAAAATGACGATAAAGCAAAGACGTTTCAGCAGGAGAATGTTGGAGCCACTCTGGACAGTAGATGTTCAGAGTCTCTGACATGGGACATGACAGCTCATGAGAGTGTGGTCTCTGTGATGCCAGATAACTTAGTCACAACCATCCAGTTAAGCAAAACTATGCAGAACATGCCAACAAATTCAAGGTATTAAATGCATTAAGTGGATGCTTCATCAGTACCAAGCCCTCCCTAGTCCCTGGATTTCCTTTGAGTTCCCCATCTGTAAATGCTTGTTTCATTTGTTTAAAATAAGCAGCTTTTATTTGTTTAAAATAAGCAGCAGGACCTTCCCACTTAAAGCATCACAATAGGTAGAGTCTGGGCCTCTTCCAGACTTGGAAGAAATCCGTCTCCCAATGAAACCCCTCCAGGCTGTTAAGAAAGCCACGGCTCACTAGAATAAAGAGTAGGCTGCCCACAGAGGTGACCTGAGAGCACAATAACAGCACGGAAGAAAGAGGCAGGTGACGGCAAGAAGAGCCAGAAAGAGAGAAACCATGAGGGCTTTGGGACATTCATGAACCAGAAAGATAACATGAACTGATCCCAAGGGGAGAGAAGAGGTAGAAATAAAATGTTTACATCATTTGCTTTAAAAATATTACACATACTTATTCCATAAACTTTAGGCAGCTTGAGAATAAAACTTCAGTTCAGTAGAGGTTACCTAGTGTTTGAATCAATAATTCCACATAAGCACTGAAATCTACAATTCCTTCACAATTAAAAAAGAAAGGCTGTGAGCATTAACATCTCTAAGGAACTCCACCTTGCACATTTTATCCATACAAATTTAATTTTCTAGAATAAATCAGAGACCTAACAGATGCCTAGTAGAGCACTTTATTCAAATTAGTCCTTCTAAACATGAACATTAATTAACTGAAAATATTTGAGAGAAAAATAGGAATGTAGAAAAATTGGTATCTCATTCCTTCTTTCCAAACCAAAGAAATAGTTGTTCGAAAGATGAAAAGGGTGCATCTTGAGTTAGACATAACTGCAAAATTACAGCCTTGGATGAATAAATAATTTTATTCTGGGAGCAAGCTTCAGCAGCTGGGACTTACATTCTCAGCTCCCTCTGCATTCTCCGTCTTAAAATCAACCACAACTTATACACACTGATCTGAATGCAGTTTTAAAAAAAAGGGCCCAATTAAATGTGAAAGTATGCATTAAGTTATCTACTCAAATGTGATTTAAGCTGTAACCACAACTTGAAAATAATGATTTTTCGTGTGCTACATCAAGCACAGGTGACAGCTCATTTCTAATGTTATCACACACGTTGCTTTTTCTTTTCAAAATACCGTTTTCCCCCTAAACTATGCAATCTGCATATAATTGTAAATCCTCTCTAATATCTCTAATTCTAGTGAAGTTTGTTTTACTCTAATTGACCTTATTAACCTTGGTCAAGCTTTACTTCTACATTTTTTGCCTTAAATAATGGCAAATTTGAGATGTGTAGTCTTAAAATAAAATGATATGGTAGACTTGTTGTAATTACTTCATTGAATATACTTTAATCATGAATTATTGTAAATAAAAATCTCCTGTAACTGTACATTATCTATAAAACTTTTTTTAAACACTGCTAAAATGGATAAAGTATGATTTATAATCTATTGGCTTACTTGCTGTTTGTTCTAAAGAGATTATGCATCTTTTCATTTTTTTGGTTGCTTTGACTTGAAAAAATAAATATAAAACAAATTTAGACAAAACACATTAAAAATAACTTTGCAATTAATTATATTTATTTCCACAGTGATTTGCAATAAACAGGAAGCAAAGAAAACTGTTACTTTACTGTGAATTTTTTTAAGAGAGCAAATATATCATTTGTAACTGGACATGCAAGGTTAAAATTTGGAGTAAAAAATACTGAAGCAAAAATAACACATTAATTTTTTATTTCCTTAAGGGAAGTCATAATATTTGTTTTTTTCCTTCAAAGAAATGATTTATGATACAAAATCCTAGTCCTTTACTGAACTGTTACAGGAGGAGAGATGAAAGCCAGTGCAAATACAAAACCCTGCAGGGTGGCTTTGCATTAGAATGCTCAGCACAAAGGTCTAAGACCACGCTGCCTCTTCCACGTTCAAGCGTGTGAGAGCTGCCAAGAACATCTGATTTCCTCTTCCCATTTTTACCACCTACCTCTAATCCATGAGCTTAGTTCACTGATTTATGTTCTGCGAATGGATGACACAATATAAACACGCTTTATTTATTTAGGACAGAGTCAAAGAACAATCTGAATGAGTATCAGATAATTCTGCTGACTGAAAGTAAGCCAATTCGAAAAGGTTACATCTGGTATTATACCATTTATATATGGTTGAAATGCCAAAATTATAGAAACAGAGAACAAATTAGTGATTTCCAGGGGTCAAGGACAGGAGGGAGTGAATGTGGCTTAAAAAAGGGCAGCATGAGTGATCCATAGGATGGTGGAAATGTTCTGTGTCTTGACTCTATCAGTGTCCATGTTTTGGTATTGTACTATCCTTTTGCAGGATGTCACCATTGGGGAAATGAGGGAAGGGAATGTGGAAGCTCCTGTATTATTTCTTACGGTTGCATGTGACTCTACAGTTATCTCAAAATACAAAGTTTAATTAGGAAACTTGCATGACTGAAAAAAGTGAAGGAGAAATACAGACTCACAGAAAAATGAAAAGTTAGGGAACAAAATGGCAGCAGACCTGCCCAGAAATAAATATTATACGAAGTTCTTCAAGCAGAAGAAAAATAATTTACAAAAATGCAAAATTAAACCTACATAAAGAAAGAAAGAGCATTGGAGAAAGAAGAAATTAAGGTAAAGTAAAATCTTTTATTTTTCTTATTCACAATTGATCTAAAATGTAACTGTTGAAAGTGATAATAGTAATAATGCACTGGGTGTAGCCATCAGTACATAAAGAACAAGAGGGAGAAGCTGAGGATACACCGGGAAAAGGCACCTGAAGTACATGTTAAATGGTATGGTGTTATTTGAAGGGGAGCTTGGTTTATTTAATATGTATATTGTAAATCCTATGGCAACCACTTAAAAACACAGGAATACAGTAAGAGAGAAGCAAAAAACTGACTCATATAAAAGCCTTTGAAAATCCCCCCCATAAAAGCAGTAAGAATACTGGTAACAGTAGCAACAAAAGTTAAAATCAAATTATTCAGAACTTTGAAAATTAACCAGACACTTGGAACAGTTGAAGCAGAGTTCATGCAGGAAGAATGGCTGGATCTCAGTAATGCAAGGAAGCTATGGGGTATTAAATATTTTAAGTTGGCCAATTCTCATTCCCCATTTCTCATTTCTGTGACAGCCTTGAATTGAGGAACTTTATAACTATGGTAACCATGAAAACCAGCAGCCTAGCAACAAGTAGCGGGGGCAGAATGGGTTAGGAGCTTTGGAGGATTGTCTGGCCTCTTCACTCTGTCAGAAAACCTCATTCATAGGGTTTATTTTTATTTGACCTGAATCAGAGCTTGTTCAGTGAAGAAAGCCATATCCACAGAGTGTTTGTCCAAAACTACTAACCACAGTCGTTTAACATCCTGGATGCCTGAGGTGGTGACGCTAGTCGGGCAAGCAAGAGGCAGGTGAAAATCCTTAAATAAATACCACGGATGATGAGATTGTAAATACAGTGCTTCGAAAAGCTCTAATATCTAACTGAAGATCTATAAGGGCATACTCATGTGCAGGGCTGTAGGCATGCCCAGAAAAGGCACAAATGGTCCTAATGTCTCATCGCTGATGGATCTTCAATATCTGTGAAAGACGAACTTTAGAATGAAGGTTAAGGCAGGCCTGTAAATTATCTGCCAAAGCACTGAAAGCATTCCAACACACACACACACACACACACACACACACACACACACACACACGAGCGTGCGCACGTGTGCTCTCTCTCTCTTTCACCAACCTGCTCAACAAAGTGCTAAAGGAAAAAGACTGCTAACCAAGAATTCCACAGTCAGCAAAAATGGCTTTGGAAAAAAATGAAGGAGAAATTAAGACATTCTCAGATAAACTAAAACTGAGAGAATGTCACTAGTAAGCCTTCTCTACGGGAAATACTAAAGGTTAAATAAAAGGATAATAGACAGTACCTTGGATTCACCAGAAGGAAACTGTCAAATGTCAGTCAATATAAAATAAGTAATCTGAATACTACTCTATTACACAAATTAAATATATAATTTTTAAACCTTCTGGAAAAGAAGGCTTCATGCTCTGACAGCTTTAATGGAGGTTTCACCAAATATTAGCATCAATTCTGACAATATTTGTCAAAAACAAATAAGGATGAAATAGTTCCCACAATATTTTATAAGGTCAATATCACCTAAATACCAAGCTAAACTAAAAAAGTACAAAAAAACTATAGTATCTTTTATAAATTGAGATGAAAAATGATTTTAAAAAATAGTAAATTGAATCCAGCCATTTGTTAAAAGGACTATACAACCCCAAAATGGGATTTATTCTAGCAACAGTTCAATGATTAAATATCAATGTTATCCACCGTAACAATAGACTAAAGAAGAAAAACTAACATGATCTTATCATTTGATAGATAAATGCTTTTGACAAATTTAATATCTACTTATAACTGAAACTCTTAGAAAATTAGGAATAGAGAAAAACATTCTTGGTTTTATAAATAAAATATTTCATCTAACATCACACTTCATGGTTGAAGACTAAATGCTTCATCCCCAATATCAGGACCAAGGCAAAGATGTCCATTCTTACCACTCTAGCACAGTACTGGAAGTTTAAGCCAGTATAATCAGGCATAAAAAGGAAATCAAAGTCATATGGATTGGAAAGAAAGAAAGAAAACACTCTCTAATTGTCTACATACAAAATTCCCCAAAAATCTATGTAAAAAAACTAACTCCTAGAACAAATGAGTAAGTTCAGCAAGGTCATAAGATACAAGATCAACACATAAAAATCAGTCATTTTTTCTACATATTTTTCTACATACTAATAAAGATATAAATAATGGAGAGATGCACAGTGTTCCTGTTTTGGAAGACTCAGTATAACAAAGATGTCAATTCTCCCTGGTTCCTTATAAAATTCCAGCTAGAGTTTTTTTTGCTACATAAGATAAGCTATTCCAAAAGTTATATGGAAAGGTAGAGGAATTTGACTAGCTAAAACAATTTCAAAAAAGAATTAAAATGGGGGAAGCACTCTACCTGATGTTAAGATTAATTATATAGCTACAGTAATTGAGACAGTTTACCATTGGTGGAGGGTACATACACAGATCAATGAAACAGAACAGAGACTCCATAAGTAGATTCAAATATGTCTAAGCGATTTTTTTTTTTACAAAGGAGCAAAACCAAGTCAATGGAGGAAGGATAGCTTTCTCAACAAATGGTGCTTGAAAAATTGGACATTCATAGCCCCCGCACCAAACCTTAATCTATATTGCATGCCATGCACAAAAATTAATTCAAAATAGATTTAAATATAAAACTATAACTATTTTGGAAAAACATGGGAATAAATCTTTCAGACAGCAGTCTAGACAATGAATTTTTAGGTATGATATCAGAAGCAAGACCCATTAAAGAAAAAAATATTAAGTTGGATTTCATCAACATTAAAATTTTGCTCTGTCAAAAACCCTGGTATTAGGATAAAAAGATAAGCTACAGACATATTTAGAAAAAAAAAGGACCAGAAAGGTGGGTCTGGAAATATTCCCATTGTGTAGAAATCCATTTAATTGGCTTAATACTTTAAACATTGTTTCTGTAAAGTTGTATAATACATACTGTACAAGATGATTTATGGAAACTTAAAATATCTTCAAGCTTGATGATGGGGCAAAAAATCACTGCACCACCCAAGGTCTTAAAGTGCATTACCAGCAGAAGCTGAAAAGAAGGCAATGGGTCCAGTTTCCTGTCTTTTTTGAATGTTTATCTTATAATATGTGCAGGCAAACAGACTTAGTGACATCTGGAAGTCTGAAGGCAATTAGGGCTCAGCAGGTGCCTTGAGGAGGAGAAATTCTATTGTCCTCTGCAGTCACCCCGAAGTAGAAAACACCACACTGGAAGTCTCTGGAATTCCAAAACATGGCAGACCCGCGGCCCTCACAGCTATTACCGCTGCATTTCTTACCTTCTCACCTGCTTTGGTCCCGGGGTTTGCTTGTGTCAATGTTCATTTCTTCATGATAATAGGATCCATAGGTCCATTAATAGTTAGAAATAATTTCAGAACTATAAAGCAGCCATTCCTGCCTCTCCTGAGGGATTTTGAGACCTGGTTTCTGGTTGTAGCTCAGCAAACAAATAGCTGCACGATCACTGGCTTTTCATTAATTTTCTGGAAACAGTGTTCTCAACTATATTTTCATTTATATGTATCACTAATATTCAATACATCTGGGGGCTCTTACTAAAAACACAGATTCCAAGGCCCCAGGGCAGTCCTCTTAAAATACAATTTCTGAGACCTGGCAAAAAGTCCCTGGAACCTGCATTTAATAATTTTCCAGTGTTTCTGATACTTACTCTTGTTATAGAACCACTGGTGTGAGATTCAACCCAGATCTACTAGTCTGTGATTTTTTTTTAAGACTTTATTTTTTAAAGCAGTTTTCGGGTCACAGTAAAATTGAGAGAAAGTTATAGAGATACCCCATGGAGGCCCTACCCTACACATGCATGGCCTCCCCATTACCAACATCCCACACCAGAGTGGTGCATTTACTACCGCATTGTTGTCACACAAAGTCCGTGGTTCACAATAGGGTTCACTCTTCTTGTGTACATTCTATGGATCTGGACAAACATATGGCACATAGCCACTATTGTAATATCGTACAGAGTAGTTTCAATGCCCAAAAAATTCTCTGGGCTCCACCTATTCATCCACTTTCCTCCTACCTTGCTCCCATCCCCTGGCAACCACTGTTCTCTATACAGTCTCCATAGTTTTACCTTTTCCAGAATGCCATATAGTTAGAATCATACAGTTATAGCCCTTTCAGTTGGCTTCTTTCACTTAGTAATATGCATCTAATTTTCACTCATGTTTTTCTATGGCTTGTTGGCTCATTTATTACTAGCCCTGAATAATATTCCATTGTCTGGGTGTACCAAAGTTGACTTATTCATTTACCTACTGAAAAACATCTTGGTTGTTTCCAAGTGTTGGTAATTATGAATAAAGCTGCCACAAACATCCATGTGCAGGCTTTTGGGTAGACATGTTTTCAGTTCCTTTGGGCAAATACCAAGGAGTGTGACTGCTGGGTCACATGGTAAGAGTATGTTTAGTTTTGTAAGAAGCTGCCAAACTGTCTCCAAAGTGTGCTACCATTGTTCATTTCCACCAGCAATACATGAGAGTTCCTGCTGCTCCATATCCTTGCCAGCATTTGCTGGTGTCAGTGTTCCGGATTTTGCCCATTCCAGTAGGTGTGTAGTAAGTGGCAGCCAATTATTTTTTTAATAAACATTTGCTTTAGAGCCGAGCGCGGTGGCTCACACCTGTAATCTCAGCAATTTGGGAGGCCAAGTTGGGTGGATCACTTGAGGCTGGAGTTCAAGACCAGTCTGATCAACATGGTGAAACCCTGTCCCTACTAAAACTACAAAATTAGCCGGCCGTGGTCGCACGTGCCCCTAATCGCAGCTACTCCCGAGGGTGAGGCAGGAGAATTGCTTGAACCTAGGAGGTGGAGGTTGCAATGAGCTGAGATTGTGCCACTGCACTCCAGCCTGGGTGACAGAGCCAGACTCTGTCTCAAAACAACAACAACAACAACAAAAAGAAAAAAAATTTGCTTTAGAATAGTATCAGATTTACAGAAAAGTTTCAAACATGGTACGGAGTTCCCATCTACGTTTGACCCTTTCCCCACTATTGTTAATCTTCCATTACCCTGGTACATTGACAAAACTAACAAACTACATTGGTGTACTACTCTTTAATAGCTCCAGACTTACCAAGTTTTGCTAGTACCCTCTTGACGTTCCAGAATTCAGCCTTGGATCCCACTACGATTATCTGTGTTCTCTCCTTAGTTTCCTCCAATCTGTGACAGTTTCTTAATCGTGCCTTGTTTTTGACGACCTGGACGGTTTTGAGGAGTACTGGTCAGGTATCCTGTTAAATATCCTCAATCTGGTTTTGCCTGATGTTTTCTTGTGGCTAAACATGTGCATGAGTGTTTTAGGGGCTACCACAGAGGTGATTTGCTATTCTCAACACATCATATCACACTGTCCACATGGCTCATCACTGGTGAGGGTCACCTTGATCACTTGGATGCCATTAGGTTTGTCAGGTCTCACCATTGTAAAGATATTTTATTTCCCCCCTTTCATATTCTAGTCTTAAAAAAAATCATTAAGTCCAGCCCACACTCATGTGGGAATGGCGTGGGGTTAAGCTCCGCCTCCTAGCAAGAAGTATCTACAGAAATTATTTTGAATTCTTCTGACAGGAATATTTGTGTTTCTTCCCTCCCCATTTATTTATATGTTCAATCATTATATCTGTATGGACTCGTGTATATTTTATTTTGGGGGCTAAATTTCAATAAATTTAATTATCAATTTTTTTGAGATGGAGTCTCAACACATTGCCCAGATTGGTCTCAAACTCATGGGTTCAAGCAATCCTCCTGCCTCAGCTTCTCATGTAGCTGGGATTACAGGTGCACACCACTGGGCTGGCTTCATTATTAATTTGTTGTTCAAAGTGTTTGGCCATTGGGAGCTCCTTTATTTCTTTTACATGCCCCATCTTTGTGTCTTTTAACATTTTCTTACTTCCTGGCACTACAGGATGCTCCATTTGCCTACATTTTCCTCTATTTTCCCTATATTCCCTCCCCCAGTCCTAGAATCAGCCATTTCTTAAAGGAGTCCCAGTTTATTTTATTAGAAAATCATATTTAGAGACCAAGACAAGGGTGCTGGGTGTACTCATTGCTACTGGGCTGTTGCCGCTTCAAAACCCTCTCAGCACACAAACACACACACATACAGAAAAAAATCAACCATTATTTATCAATTCACCTACAGATGAACGTTTGGATTCTCATAAATTCTTCACTAGTACAAGATGTATTGCAATGAACATTTTTAGAAATGTCTTCTCGAATGCATAAGTGAAATTTTTCTTGTATATTTGTCTAAAAGTAGAATTGTTTGGACACAGAGGATGAACACCATCAGCTTTACCAATTACCCATAATGATTTTCCAACTGTCAGTGTAAAGCAATCCTTGACCCCCCACACTTAACAAATACTTCATATTTACTGGGATCTTCAAAATGTTTCCAATCTAACATGCATGACATGTCATCTCATTTTTGTGTACATTTATAATTATTTCTTTAATAACAAATGAGGCTGAGCAACATATCATTATCTACTGATCATGGATTTAGTGGTCATAGAGATATTTTCTTACATATGTGTTAATGTTTCTATTTTATTCATATTTATGTTCTTAATCAACCTGGAATTGATTTCTAGGTAATGTGTATAGGGATCTTATTTTATTTTACGTTCTATACAGAAAAAAGTAATGTCCTACAATTATGTACCAAAGAATGCATCCTTTCATCATGTTTTCAATGCAAGTTTTAGAATAACAGGTTTCTGGGGAAGCATCATTGTGTCTTGGGATCTCTATTCCATTTGGTTTGTCCATTTGCTTATTCTTCTATCAATATCACACTTGCTCTTTTGCTCTCAAAGTATAAGCTATTCTTGACTCTCCACACCCTGACTTGCGAGGACATACCAGTGTAAGAATCTAGGGGGCATGACAGAGCAGAAAGAGCCATGCCATTTACACAAAGAACATGCCTCCCGCATCCCACACGGCTGAGACAGACCAAGAGCACAAGGACTCCTCACCAGTCAGAGTCAGAAGAGGACACTTATGCACAGGGCTTGTTGCCTTTGCTGGGCAGTGGTCTCAAAAGCCCTCAGAGAAGATACATGTGGCCACCCTGGATGACTGCCTGTCACACAGTCCCAAGTGGGGAGATCCAACATCCTGAAGGCCAGTGGCGGTGGGTGCCCCAAGTAGAGAACGCCCACTGCTACCCCTGTGTCAGCATCATTTTTGTAGCCCAAGCTCATACCAGTGAGCAGACAATGTCCATTAACCAGACAGCCCTCCCAGACCAGGCCGGGCCCCAGGGCCCCAGGATGATCACATAGGCACAAGCTCTAGAGCTATGTGGGGTATCTGGTTGACGCCCACGTATAAACAAGAGGTCAGAGAGCAAAGAGCCAGGGGCCAGATGGGTGCATCCCAGGCTCAGGGAGCCCAGTGAGACAGCACTGACATGCTGCAGGTCACAGCTACCAGTGAGGAACTTGGACAATTACAAGGTAGGCATTGCCAGCCCAGCCAGCCCAGGTACCAGAGAAGGACTTAAAAGTTTTGAAGAAAGCACTCCAAAGTATGCAGACTCCTGGGGTAGGAGGCCTGATAGGTTTTTTCTTCAGACGGAGTCTCCCTCTGTCGCCCAGGCTAGAGTGCAGTGGCACCATCTAGGCTCACTGCAAGCTCCGCCTCCCGGGTTCGTGCCATTCTCCTGCCTCAGCCTCCCAAGTAGCTGGGACTACAGGCACCTGCCACCACACGTGGCTAATTTTTCATATTTTTAGTAGAGACGGGGTTTCACCATGTTAGCCAGGTTGGTCTTAATCTCCTGACCTCGTGATCCACCCGCCTCGGCCTCCCAAAGTGCTGGGACTACAGGCGTGAGCTACCAAGCCCGGTTTTTTTTTTTTGTTTTTTTTTTTTTTGTTTTTTTTTGAGTCTGGCTTTGTCACCAGGCTTAAGTGCAGCGGTGCGATCTCGGCTCACTGCAACCTCTGCCTCCTGGGTTCAAGCGATTCTCCTGCCTCAGCCTCCTGAGTAGCTGGGATTACAGGCGCGCACTACCACGCCCAGCTAATTTTTTATTTTTAGTAGAGACGGGGTTTCACCATGTTGACCAGGCTGGTCTCCATCTCCTGACCTCGTGATCCGCCCACCTCGGCCTCCCAAAGCGCTGGGATTACAGACATGAGCCACCAAGCCCGGCCAGGAGTTCTTTAAAAGCATTTTGAATTCACTCCGTTGTCTTCTGAATTCCATCCTCTGAGTTGAGAAGTAACTCTCAAGGTAATGACTGCACCTTGGAAGGAAATTAGTGTTTTGTCTCTAGGTGCTTTCAATAATTTTCTGTTGGGTCTGGTTTTCAGCTGATTACCTAGGTGTGTTTAATCACATTCTTATTCACCATGATTGGAGTTTATAGGGGTTTGGAATTTTTGATTTGGTGTCTTTCATCCATTTTGAAAATTTCTCAGCTCTCATTGCTTCCAACATCATTGCTCTCTCATTTTCTTCCTTTTTCTGAATTCCAATTACATATGCCTGGCTCTTTGGTAAAAGAGCATTGCCTGATTGGTAGGTACTTCTGCTTCTATATTTTCCATCCTTTAACTTTTCAACATTTTTTTTTGGTCATTTTATTCTGGCCAATCTTCTACTTTACTAATTCTCTCTTCAAAGTTCTTAAATTTCAGTCTTAATTTTTTTCTTTTATAATTTATTGTTTCTAGTTCACTGTTTCTTTATTGTTTATTGTTTCTGGTTCACTGTTCAAATTTATATCTTATCTTTTACTTACTTGAACATTCTAGTAATGGTTCTTTGGCAGTCTGATTGATAACTGCTTTATCAAATAGGCCGGACCACAAGACCCCAGGATGATCACATAGGTACATGCTCTAGACCTATGTGAGGCATTTGGTTGACCCCATGTATAGGCAGGGGGATAGAAAAAAAAGAGCAAGTGGCCAGATGTGGGCGTCCCATCACAGTTGTCCTTGTGAATCAGTTTCTATTTATTTCTTGCTCTCCTCCTGTTAGTTGCTTATGGTATATTTTCTCCTTCTCTGCCTGTGCATTTTCTATTAACCCTGGATATTGAATATGAAAATTTGTAAACATAATTTGGGGCTTAAGACAAGAATATTTTGGAGAGGATTTGCATTTCATTCTGGGTAACTAGGAGCACAAGCTCTCCTGGATCCACTTAATCTGATTTTAAGATTGACATAATTTAGTGCTGAGCTTCCCATCCTGGAAGGGCCAGGATATCTCTAGTTTATCCTTACTCCCAGGATATATTTCTTGAGGATTCCTATGCCAAATAAGTGGTGTTTGCCAGGCTGACCCCTTGGTGGGCCTTAGGCTCATTTTGTCCTTAGATTCACAAGGCTGTCAAATGATGTCCTTAGCTCTCAACCCTCTCAGATGCTTAAAATGCTGATATCCATAGAGGAGGGTTGGCCCCAAATGGCCATCCTTCTGTTTATTCCTTCCCCTGAACTTAACCCCTTAAGTCTTCAATATCTTGTTAGCATTCTGAAATATTCAAGCATTTTTTTTGTCTGTCTTCAGAGAGGTTTATCTGAATTATATAGTCCACTATTACCAGACTCTGAAATACCCATCACATCTACAGATTTTCTTTGGTTAGATGGCTTTTGTAAGTAGATTGGAAGAGGGATTGGCTTTAATATTATTCATTCAATTGTAAGCACTTAAATTAACACCTAAAATTTCACCCCTGTATATTTTTTCTTCTCTATGAAGCATTGCCCTTTTTCTGTATGACTATTTTAAAATAAAATCATCACTGTAATAATGGGGTTACCAGCTATGTTTTTAAAAATCCCTGACAGTGTCAAAATTCTTCTTTCTCAGTGTTTGGGCTTGTGGCCAATTGTCTGCATTAGGGCAGACACAGACATATTAAGATTTCATTCAAGGGAATGAATACAATATGTTGAAAAGACATGATTCTCCTCTTTAAAAATATTGTTATCCTTTGCTTATTTTTATTTGGTCAATAATGAATACATGATAATGAAGAAGAATTTGTAAGTTCCATATGGGATATTTTCTCATCTTAAGCTTTATGAATCTTGGCATTGCACAACTCCTTAGAGAACACAGTTAATCTACAGTCCAGCTGGACAATCTAACTATGGTCGCGAGAGCATGGAAGAAGGTCAAGACGTGAACCTGGTGTTACTTACAAGGAGACATGAAATAAGGTTAGAATGTCACAGGGGTAAGGGAGTGAGAGAGCGAAATAACTGCAAGAGAGGGAGAAATTTAAATATCTACATAATTATCTGTAAACTTAGGAAGAAGTTGAATGCGATCCAGAATCTACATTGAAAAAGTTCACACATTTTCAAATATTGTTTTGGATAAAGCCTGAAAATATTCAAGTACCAGTGAAATACTTTAGGGATGAGGCACTTAATTTTGTTTGCACCTTGGGGCCTTTTTGCAATCTGATAATGCCAATAGAACCCTGGTTTTTAAAGGAATAAAATAAAATACATATGGTAATTAAGGAATCCAATCACATTGATGTAAACGATAATCCTACTAATACACTTTTCCAATCCAGTAACATATGCGCCTCTCTGCTGATGCATTAAATAAAACATCTACCAGTGAGCTCAATATTTACTAGAATTTTGATGTAGTAAGGAACGAAAATGGCACTTTGAAATTCCTGCAATCATTGTAATACGATGTGAGAAAATCTGTTATTTTTATTAAGGAACTGCTGTAGTTTGTGCTTCATTCAAAATTGAAAGTCATGCTAAATTTCAGTTAGAGGTTAGTGGAAATAAAAATGAAATTTTCTTTACATCTAGGTTCAAAGATTCCCTCCAAATTCTGTCTATGGACTACTTGCGGAAGAGAAGATCCATGAAACGGGAGACTGTTTTGTCTCCCGTCGTGGATTCTGTAGTTGTGTGAGCCAGGTCTGAGGTTAAATACATCTTCGTTGTTTAGAGGACACACGTCCCTACACTAATGCACGTTAAATCAACCAGCCATAGACAATGATGACAATACCAGTGAAATTTAGAATAGGAAGTTCTCTTTGAGCCAGTCAATTTCCTCTCAGTCTGATAAGCTCATCTGGAGCTAGGAACACTCACGTATAACTAATTTGAAAAAGCACAAAATCTGCACATCCTCATCTAGTGGTGAGGAATAATGGGGTTATACAGCTCTAAACTCGTTTAAAATTCTGGACTGGTCTCTCCTACATGACTAGTTCTAAGAAAATGAAGTGCTTTCTTAAATATCATTTAAAACAAATAAACCCACATGTGAATGGAAGAGTAATAAAGTGAAAGGAACTAATCAATTTTTAACATCAAAGCATAGTATCTTATTCAATGGTAAGGAAAGCAGCATTTTAGTCATTGTAAGACAGTATTTTAAAGCAGATAAATTAATTGGAAACTTTCGTACATGACTGCAAAGTGCTTTGCTAAAGCATGGCAAAATAAATACAAAATGTGAGGTATCTTGCAAAAAAATCTTAAATTGTAAAACTCTCAAATAAACTTATTTATTCTCACAACATAGTTTAAGAAAGAAGGCCCTGAAAGAACATTTAAAAAATATAATGGTGAGTATTCATTTTAGCGTTCTAATAGCTACCAATTATTAGGTAGAGGAAAAAGAAATGTTAAAACTCTCGATATCTGGCTTTTGTATAGAAGAAAAACATCATCTGAAAAATCAGGCATTAGCTTCAGACAAATCCCTTCATAGCAAAGTGATAAAAGATTTAAAATTTATGTGTAGCCTTGAAAATAGAGAATAAAAACTAAAATAAAATGAGCATGCAGCAGACACCAGTTTTGATCACCCACATAGACTGATATTTACAAGAATATAACTCCTGCTTATATTTCACCAGCAAGCAAGTCCAGATTCATCTGCTCTGGACTTGAGTTTCGAAAGAGCATCTTAGTAAAATGCGGGTATTTAACTTCTGATTCAACGCCGATCTTTTCTGTCTTTGTGTGAAGATCTGGGTCTACTGTCATCATTCAGAGGAAATAATTTTAATAGTCTTGAGATAGGAAATTGAAGACATTTTAACAAAATGGACCAAATGCTGAGAGTCAGCCACTCAAATAGCAAGTACAGACGACGGTTTAAGTTGAATCTAAAATAAAATACTCTCCTTCCTAACTAAGGGCCCCAAGGTCAAGCACAGTAGTCAGTCTCTTTAGAAAACATACTTCCAAGTCAAAGGTTTCTACGAATGTCAAAGCTTAAGCTTGTGCCTTTTGATATATTAATTGGAAACGCACTATGGTTTGAACAAATGTTACTAGGTATGTCTGGGGAAAGCAAAGGAATTACAAAGGAACCGTTGCCATGTAATTAAATAAGGCACTTGAATACTGATTAACCGCAGGGACTGGAGGCCGTTATTATGCATCTTAAGCACAGGTTTGAGTCCAGCAGAGAAAGCACGTGTTCATTTCTGCAGCAACCACAGGGCCCTTTCTTTCCTGTTTCAATGGCCAGAACTGACATCCATTTATTTTTCCATTTTTAGCTGAATCACTCCATTTTGTTTTCAGGGTCTTCTCAAAGAGTTTCTGAAGGGACTCAGAGGAAGTGTTCAATAGAAAGCCCGTTATTAATAAATCAACTTACTATAATTTTAGGTAATAAATAACATATTTTAGCTGATGAGGGGCTATGCCATTGTTTTAGCTTTTGAACCCATTGTTCTCTTTTCATTTAGATTTGTGGATGAGAGGAAAGGTCTGCCATGCTCAATTTTCAAAGTTAAGACTAAAGCTCATAAACAATTGCTCTGACGGTGGGAAGCTTCAACTCACAATGTAGAAAACAGATTGCTGCCTTGCTGTGAGGAGTCCAGGCATGCCCTGCACTTGCTATTCAAACTTCCCCTTCCCGGCTCTTAATAATAGTGTAATAGTGTGTCTTCTGCCTGATCTGCTTTCTTGTTTACCTCTGACGATGCAGGTTTTATCTGTAGTTCAAGGACTACTGCGTTCTATCTTTGGAAAAATTAAGCAAATAGTCAGGTACACGTTGGCCAGTCAGCAAGCCCTTTTCTGAACTCAAATATTACTTAATTATACAATGTCTTTCATTGTCCTATAATAGAGGGGTGTGTGTGTGTGTGTGTGTGTGCGCGCGCTTGTCATCTCCCCTACCCAAACATATGGAAAGACTTCTTTGAACTCAGGAGCCTTACTTTCTACACTTCCACTATACCACATTGGTAGAAAATCAGCACATATTTGTGATTTTCAGCTCAAATTACTTTTTAAAAAACAAGATAGGTATATATTAATATTTTCTTCAAAGGACTTTTCACAATTTGCACACATGCACACACAAAAACACACGTATGAATACATATATTTGTGATTTCCCAATAAATATTTATAAATTAAAAGTACAATATGTCGCATGAGAGTAAATAAGTCAATTTAATAAGCATGGTTTTCAGTATGGCAATATTACCTACTTCTTCAGCTCCACCTCTGAAAACTTACAAATTGAAATATATCATCTTTAAATATGTATGTATCAGGCACAATGTAAGGCCTTGCCATCCAGAAACTGTTGTTCCTGCAAAGGTCATTCCCAGGCTTTTTTATAAATGACTTTGACATATATGTGATATAGACATTAAGTCTTTGACCCACATTTATAAATGGTATAGATTATATACTAAAATTTCAGAGAAGAGCCGGGCACAGTGGCTCACACCTGTAATCCCAGCACTTGGGGAGGCCGAGGCGGGAGGATCACGAGGTCAGGGGATCGAGACCATCCTGGCTAACACGGTGAAACCCCATCTCAACTAAAAATACAAAAATTTAGCCGGGCGTGGTGGCGGGCGCCTGTAGTCCCAGCTACTCGGGAGGCTGAGGCAGGAGAATGACACGAACCTGGGAGGCGGAGCTTGCAGTGAGCCGAGATCGCACCACTGCACTGCAGCCTGGGCCACAGAGCGAGACTCCGTCTCAAAAAAAAAAAAAAAAAAAATTTTTCAGAGAAGAAAATGCCTTGGAATTTGAGATGAGGATTAAGTGTGATACCATAAACACCAAGAAAAATACCTGCACACGAAAATCCTCTACTTCATATTAGCTACATGCCAATTACTATCAGCAGAAGCGGGAGGCTGGAGGAGAGTTTAGAAATGGTGAGGGACAAACCATAGACGAGCAGAGGCGGAGGCAAATTTCAGAGCAATGTGAATTAAAAAATCCAAGGGAATACGCCCTCAATCTGGCAGAGGAAGTATGGTGTGGTACATGAAGGGGGCAAAATGGACAGACTAAGAAAGGAAGGTGATAAGAGAGTTTAAAGTAAAGTTAATTACGTGAGGTAGGTCCTAATGATGGTGAATATTGCCTGAAAGCCACATAGAGGCAGTTGGACACGGCAAATCAGAAAATATAGAGAAATTACAAGTTCTAGATCAAATAACAAATTGTTAGAGAACTGTAGATTTCCACAGGTATCGTTTCCCTATGTATCAGGATTGTAGAAATAAACAAGTTAGTCAAAACTAAAATTGCAGTCGTTCTGGTCTTTAGCTTTACAAAATCAAGTCAGCATATTGTTACTCTGGCCAGCTCTTTGCACCCCCGCCCCCTTCCATGTAGGCGTATGTTTCACTTATAATACAGTCAGATTCATTTGTTGAAGTATGAACTTCATCTTTGTGCTTACACTCTGGCAGATTTTTTTAAAGTTTATGTACCGTAAAAATGTATTTTTTTGTTGTGCAGTTCTATTGGGTTTGACAAATGCATAGTCTTGTGTTCACCACTTCGATACCATCACTCCCTACATTTTCCCATGCTACCTCTTCATTGATAATACCCCTCCCCATTTTCCAGCCCCAGGTAACCACCAACCTCTTTTTTCTCCTATAATTGTGCCTTTCTCAGAGGAATGTAAATAAAATCATACAATATGTAGTTTTTGGTCTTCCTTCATTTTTAGATTCATCTATTTTTGTTACATGAATCAAGAGCTTTTTTTAAATCATCTCATTATGTGGATGTACAGCAGTTTGTTTATCAATTAATCAGTTGAAGGAAGTCTGGAGGGCTTTCAAATTTTGGCAATTATGAATAAAGCAGCTGTCACTTTTTATGTACAAGTCTGTGTGTGTGAGACATGAGTTTCCATTTCCTAGAAATGAGAATGCTGATAATACGGTAGGTGTATGTTTTACTTTGTGTAACCTGATAAACTATTTTCTAAAGTCGCTATACCATTTGCTTTCCAGAGGAAATGTGTAAGAGCTCAGTTGTTCCACCACATCCTCACCAGCATTTATTCTGCAATTTTTCAAAAGACATTCTAATAGGTGCGTATTGGTACTGCAATCTAGTTTTAATTCACCATTCTCTAATGATTATGTTGAGCATATTTTCATACACATATCTGACATTTATATACCTTTTTTGGGAAAGTATCTGTTTAACTCTTTTACCATTTTTTTATTGGGTTGCTTGTTTTCTTATTGCTGACTTTTGAGTGTTCCTTACATACTCTGGATACAAGCTCTGTTCAAATGAAATTTGCAATGATTTTCTTCCAGTATGTAATTTGTCTTCATAATCTCTTAACAGTATCTATGGCAGAGCAAAAGACTTTAGTAAGTACAGGCTCACCATGTTGGCTCATGCCTGTAATCCCAGCACTTTGGGAGGCCGAGGCAGGCAGTTTGCTTGAGGGCCAGGGGTTCGAGACCAGCCTGGGCAAATGTCAACACCCTGTCTCTACACAAAGAAATAACAAAATTAGCCAGGCATGGTGATGTGCACTTGTGGTCCCAGCTACGTGGGAGGCTGAGGTGGGAGGATCCCTTGAGCTTGGGAGGTTGAGGCTGCAGTGAGCCATGATCATGCCACTGCACTCCAGCCTGGGTGACACAGTGAGACCCTGTCTCAAAAAAAAATGTCCAATTTATCCATTGTCTTTCCATTTATAGGTCATGTTTTTGGTGCAGTATCTAAGAAATGCTTGCCCAACCCAAATGAAGCAGAATTTGTCCCATATTTTCCTCTAGAATTATTTGTTTACATTTAGGTCATAATCCCTTTTTAGTTACTCTTGTGTAAGGTGCTAGGTGTATATCTAGGTTCATTTTTTTATTATGGATGTCCAATTCTTATAGGACTATTTGTTGAAAAGACTATCTCTTCTCTTGAACTCTTGTTGAAATTCAGATGACCGTATTAGTATGGGTTAATTTCTAGATTCTCAATTCTGTTCCATAGATCTATGTATCTACACTATTGACAATAAGACTTTCAAGATTACTGTAGCTTTATAGTAATAGGTAAAATTAGGTAGTGTTAGCTTTCAAGATTTGTTCTTTTTTTCCAAAATTGTTTTAGATATTATAGTCTCTCTGCCTTTCCTGCTAAATTTTAGAATTAGCTTGTTAATATGTACAAGTCTTCAAGTGTCATCAAATGAGGGACTGCAATAAAAAGATAGAAATTACGTACAAGGACCAAATAGACATTCTGTGTTTGAAAAGTATAATATAGCAAATGAAAATCCACAAGAAGGATTCAACAGCAGATTTGATCTGACAGAATAAAGAACCAGGGAAATGTAAATTTTAAGATAGGTCAATTGAGATTACCAGTCTGGGGAAACAGATACAAAGAATAAGAAAAATGAACAGAGCCTCAGAGACTGGGAGACACCATCAATTGTACAAACACATGCACAATGGGAACTCCAGAAGGAGAGGGCAGAGGGGAAAGGTCACAAAGATAGCTGGAAGAAATAATGACCTCATACTTTCTAAACATAATATAAAAAGTTAATCAGCATATCCAAGAGGCCTGACAAATTCCAAATAAAATAAAAAACTCAATGAACTCCACACCTAAGCACATAATAGTCAAGCTGACAGAAGACAATGACAAAGAGAGACTCTTCAAAGCAAGCAAGAAAAAAAAATCTCATAGTACAAGGGCTTAACGACAAGATCAAAAGCTGACTTGTCATGAAAACTAATGGAAGTCAAAAGGCAATGGGATGATATATTTAACACTGTCATAAGAAAAAGATTGTCAACCAAGAATTTTGTATTTAGTAAAATTACCCTTCCAAAACGAAGGCAAAATTAAGACATTCCCAGGTTTTAAAAACTGAGAGCACCCATCATTAACACACCTGCTTTACAAGAAATTCTAGAGTCTTTTGGCTAAAATGAAAAAACAAATGGATAGACAGAGTAATCAGAAGCCATACAACAAATAAAGAACCCTGGTAAATGTAATTATATAGGTAAATATAAAAGACAATGCCAATGTACTTTAATAACAATTTTCTACTTCCATAGGGATCAAAATACAACTGAATAAACCAAAAGTTATTAAACTGTGCTTATATACTTATCATACATAAATATGTAATTTATATGATAATAATAAATATAAAAGGGGATAAAATTTGAAGCAATATTTCTGTAAGCTACTAAAATAAAGTTAGTATTAATTTGAGCTGGATTGCTTTATGGTGATGATTATAATCTTCAGGGAAAACACTAAGAGCATAATTTTTTAATGTAGTAAAAGAAACAGCAAGGAAATTAAAGTGTACTCTAGAGAACACATATTTAATACACAAGAAGGCAGTGAGAGGAACAAAAATGACCTAAGACATACAGAAAACAAATATAAAAACCCCAGTTGTAAATCTTACCTTATCTGTCATTACATTAAATATTAAACAATAAAATAATACAGTTGAAAGGCACAGATTGGCAGAATAGATTAAAACAAGAACATGATCAGACTATATGCTGTCTATAAGAGATTCACTTTAGACTGAAAGATACACATAGGTTCAAATACTTAGGCTGAAACCCTAACCCTAATCCAATAATGATAATTTATTATCTTACAGATTTGTAGGTCAAAAGTCTGGCATAGATCGTAAGCCCATTCAGTAATGGGCTGAAATCAAGGTATCAGCGGGGCTGCCATTCTGTTCCTTTCTATTCCATCTTGCCAGAGGCAGAAGATGCCACTCCATAGTATATGCTCAACAGAAAGGAGTGCATATATTAATAAGAAGATATAGTCAAGAATGAATTGCAGCTTCACTGGTACTATCTGAAACCACTACACATTTTCTGGCCTTAAAAAATTAAGCAAGTGGGTGGTAAATGGAAAGCCAGGATTCTATCTGTGGAAGTGAGAGTTTACAGATAAACAAGGGAGGAGGCTAGAATGATCCATGATGTAACTGATTAAATATAGATATAGAAGGGTATACAGAGAAATATTTATAGATATGTTTATATGTATGTGTATATGTATATGGTCATTATAAACACATATATTCTCCTGCTTTGGAAGCTGAGAGGGCTTAGAAGCAACAGCACTCCAGTATAAATGAACTTTCTTCACGCCCATGTCCTGATTCTTTTCTTTTCTTTTCTTTTTTTTTTTTTTTTTTGGAGACGGAGTCTCGCTCTGTCACCCAGGCTGGAGTGCAGTGATGTGATCTCAGCTCACTGCAAGCTCCACCTCCCGGGTTCACGCCATTCTCCTGCCTCAGCCTCCCAAGTAGCTGGGACTACAGGCACCCGCCACCACGCCTGGCTAATTTTTTGTATTTTTAGTAGAGATGGGGTTTCACCGTGTTGCCAGGATGGTCTCAATCTCCTGACCTCGTGATCTGCCCGCCTTGGCCTCCCAAAGTGCTCGGATTACAGGCATGAGCCACTGCGCCCAGACCACATCCAGATTTCTAATACCGTTCTCTACTGAAATGAACCGGGGCTCTTAGAAATGGCTAGTTCTAGGATTGGAGAAAAAAACAGAATATAAGTGTGGAATATCTTGAAATGCCAGAATGTAAGAAAGAAAATGTAATATAAAAAATATAATCATGCTGGGTATGTCAAAGGAACAAAGGAGCTAACAGAATGTGCTCCCAATGGCCAACGCTGGAGCAATTTGAGTAACAAAATAAATACAGTAATGTTGGGTTATAACCCAGAGTATAAAATAAATATCCAGGAGTCTCTACTGATAGAAGCAAATGATTGAGTCAATTGATAAATGAGGGAGAAGGACAAATTTACCTTTCAGAATTCCAAATGATTTATGTAGTTTTCCCTTCAGGAGGTATAGAATAATGCCCTAGTCCTTAAAGTGTGAGTTGGGCATAATGACTTCCTTCTAAAGTATGCAGAGTACTGCATGATGAAGGGAATAACTTTACAGGGAAGCAACGTGGCAGACACCACCTCAGCCAGGTGTTTAAGGTTATCATCAAAGGTGACAAGTTGCATTGATAGTATGATGAGAACTGTACTTGACCTATGCAGTCTTCCTCTCAAAAACGCATAACCCCGGTCTATGGATAATAAAAACATTGTACAATTCCCAATTGAGGTGCATTCTAAAAAATATGTGACCAGTCATCCCCAAAAATGTCAGGGTCATCAAAAACAATGTAAGTCTGAGAAACTGTTGTAGCCAAGCAGAGCCTGGGAGAACATGACAGCTAAATGCAATGTGGTATCTTGGACAGGATCCTAGAACAGAGGAAGGGTAGTAGATGAAAAGGATGGAATATGAACAAAGCGTGGAGGCTAGTTAATATATCAATACTGGGTTATGAATCTTGATAAATGTATGGTACTAAATGTAAGATGTTAACAGTGGGGATAATGGGGATGTGGTATGTGGAAATGCTGTGCTGTCTTCACAGTGTTTCTATAAACCAGAAACTATTCTAAAATACAAAGATCATTTTTAAAAAATTTAAAGACAGTGGTATATGTCACAGCAAAGGTATGTACCAGGACTGAGAATTAATTTTTCACACCAAATTTCAGCACATGATTCTCATCCAAGCTGCTAGTATGTGTGTGTAGTAAATGCGTGGACAGTGTCCACACTCTGCTGCTCTTCTCCTAAGTTCATGCTGATTGAGCTATATGGTTAGCGAACAACACTGCCAAGAGAATGGGTTGAGATCATATAACCGTGTTTTAAACAAAGAATTTAAAATAATTACTGTGGACATGAAAATAGAAGCCTGGTCCAGTTTTGATTGTGTTTACACCCAAAAATCAAAGCCATAAGGTGAAAAGAAAATACGATTTCTCTTCCTTTTCCTCATAACAATCCTCTGAAATCAGGTGAGTTTTTAATCCTATTTTTTGCAAAACAGAGGCCCCCATGTTCCCCAGGTCACAGATCTGATCAGTGGCAGCCAGGGCCTGTACTTTCAGTTGCATATTAGCACGAATACAGGGAAGGTGTTAGAACAGTTCCTAGTAAGTAGGTATTCTAACATCGGCATTAAATATTATTATTATTATTATTTTTACTACCTGAAAATGAAGTGCAGAACTAAGTTCTGAAGTCTTTTGTAGTTCTACATTACCACTTCTCTAAATATATGAAATCATAAGCAAACCTAAACCTGCACTTTGGGATCTGTCTCCTGAACTAAGGGAGTTGCTCTGATGTCTTAGCATTCAGATTTAAAGTTGTCTAGATGCCATTTATGTAAACTCATTTCCTGTAACAGCATATTGCTTTACAAGTGTAATAGAACTATAATAAAGCCTATAAAATATTAAAAGAGAAGCTATTTTTCTATTTTACAAGGGCTGCTGAATATTATGTGAACATTTATTCTCCACATCTGCATCAGGTGCCATTGTAACCTGAGGGATTGTGTCTTTTTTTTTTTTGAGATGGAGTCTCCATCTGTCACCCAGGCTAGAGTGCAATGGTGTGATCTTGGCTCACCGCAACTCCTGTCTCCTGGGCTCAAGCAATTCTCCTGCCTCAGCCTCCTAGTAGCTGGGATTACAGGCACATGCCACCACACTTGGCTAATTTTTGTATTTTTAGTAGAGATGGCATTGCACCATGTTGGCCAGGCTGGTCTTGAACTCCTGACCTCAAGTGATCCACCCGCCACGTCCTCCCAAAGTGCTGGGATTACAGGCATGAGCCACCGTGCCCGGCCTGATTATGTCTTTTTATCAGAATGCTGTCCATAGACTTCCTAGAAGTGAGGAGAGACTCTCCACACAGACCCTAAAGCCCTGATATAGAATTTCTTCATTTCTCTTTCCTGCGCTACCTAGAAGGCCAAAGATGGAGTGATCTCTGGCTCTGACCAGACTCACCATAGGACACCAACATAGATGGGAGGGACGTGCTGAGAGTCAAGAGGGCAGACAATGTGCACCCCAGTGCTCCCTGGGCTTGCCCTGACAAAATGACTCCCATGGTCCATGAGCCCTGTTTCTATTGCTGGGCATTATAGGTTTATTGGACTCACTGAGGAGTGCTAGGCTGTTAAATAATATTCTGATAAGTTCTTGTGTATTTCATCAAAACAGACAAAAATTATGTCAGCAGTTTGAAGTCTAGTGCTTCAGAAGAAAAAAAATATTAAATTTTTCTTGGCTTGTTCATTCTTAACTTGTATATTACAAATTGTAAGCTGTTCACAGTTTACCACGTATTTCTGGTGAAGTCAAATTTAATTTCTACAGAACTAATGTTAACAGTAAATAATAGTGGTTTGTTTTCTCAATTTTCAGTGGCGTAATATACGAAAGAAGCAAAATCAATTTGAGGTGTTATGATTTGTGAAGCATTATTCACTTAAAAATGTATTGCTCAATATCTGTTCTGATTTTATCATAATGTGCATTTGAATTTTTAAAAGTTGAAACAAATAACAAACATCTCACTTGGAGCATCATGGGAAATTTATACCCTTAACACTGGCATCCATATTTGTAAACATTCTTTAATAAATTCTTGGCACACAAAAATTTAGCCTAAGAGGTGAGATAGAATATATTCTTTGTCCTCAAATAATTATTTGCCTATTTCCTTAACTTTATGACAGTTTTTATGCCCTGCAGGCAGTTTTATGCCCGCATATTTTGCGCTGCTTTTAAATCCAACCATAAAAGAGAGTACACCACAACATGTTCAATTATTTTACTTTTTTACATTTGTTAAAGGAAGCGATGAAAAGCAAATACTTGGTTGGTTTGTTAAGCATTTTACCAAATATAAGTTGATGTGTTAACTCGAAGGGTCATTTGAATTACGTGCTCTGAGTAGCTGTGACGGATTGTTCTGTAGGATGATATTACATGTGTATATTTTACCAATCAGAGTTAGACTGTGGGATGTACTAGAAGCAAGATGTTACCTGAAAACATCAGGCATGTATAGTGAATGATGATGTGTTGGCAGTGAACACCATTTTTCTGAGGACTACACACACTCCAACAACATACTTTATTTATCAAAATAACCCATTTCACCGCAGATAACAGTGGTGGCGCTGGTACAAAATTTGGTTGAAAAAGCTTTCATTTACTTGAGCATATGGTGTGTTCCCTGTGGTGCAGGAAAAACTTAAATGAAACCTGCACTGGATATTAAGTTATGTTCACAAAGATTACATTGATCTACGCTATCATAAAACTACCCCTTTCCACACACACTTACCACTGGATATTTTCAAACCATTTATTTTCTGCTAATCTCATAGTTTAACATGGCAACTCTCTGTAGCTTCTGTTGCTTTCATTCGTATTTTCTATTTTAATGAAATGGAATTGATTTTTCTGTTAACTTTCTATTTGGATCTTTCTTGTGTGTAAATTTCCCATTTACATTATATACACACTTCCCTGTTGCATTGTGTGTTTTATTGATTCATGTTGTTGGTATCGATTTGTGGGACTGCTCTGTTCAGCAGGAACATTATGTGTTAGGATACTTTCAGTTACAAGTCATACAATCAAATGTAAATTAAACTTATGCAGAAAATAAAAGCTAATATATTGGATTGTGTAACTAGCAAAATCAGAACCAGGCATGGGTTAAGGCGAGGAAAAATTCAGGTCTCTCTCTGTCTCTCTGTCTCTCTCTCTTCCTCTCTCCACCTTCATTTCTTAGCTCTTCTTCTTCCATGGGGTCTTAACTCACAGGCAGACTCTCCAGAAGGTTTTCTATTTTGTGCATTGATCTGTTTCTTGGGGCCCATGGTATTTAGTTGGTGCACTCTCCGCTGAGTCTGTCTGGACTCACTCCACACACTTCTACTGCAGACAGGTCATTAACAGACCTGTTTTAATGCATTGTGGGGTAAGATAACACAGCCAATCATCTACCATCCCAGCACCCCACAGCTCTTTGAGTGACTTTTCCTAAACATTGCCAAGGACCGATTCTGTGGTCCTGCTCCTGGAGAATGCTATCAATGGTACTGAATGGCTTTTCTGAAACCTTGTTAAAAATGAGCCTTCTTAGCCTTTCCTGTGCTGCAAATCCAACAGCAATGTTTGAATCACAGCCAAAACAATTCTGCGTTTGCATCTTATCCCCTTCCTTCCTTCCCCTCCCTCCCTCCTTTCCTTCCTTCCTTCCTTTCTTCCTTCCTTCCTTACCCTCCCTCCCACCTTTCCTTCCTTCCTTCTTTTCCCTCCCTCCCTTTCCTTCCTTCTTTTCTTCCTTCCTTCCTTACCCTCCCTCCCTCCTTTCCTTCCTTCCTTTCCTCCCTCCCTCCTCCCTTTCCTTCCTTCCTCCTTTCCTTCCTTCCTTCCTTACCCTCCCTCCCTCCTTTCCTTCCTTCCTTCCTTTCTTCCTTCCTTCCTTACCCTCCCTCCCTCCTTTCCTTCCTTCCTTCTTTTCCCTCCCTCCCTTTCCTCCCTCCTTTCCTTCCTTCCTTCCTTACCCTCCCTCCCACCTTTCCTTCCTTCCTTCCTTTCCTCCCTCCCTCCTCCCTTTCCTTCCTTCCTTCCTTCCTTACCCTCCCTCCTTCCTTTCCTTCCTTTCTTCCCCTCCCTCCCTCTTTCCCTCCTTCCCTCCCTCCCTCCCTCCTTCCCTCCTTCCCTCCTTCCTTCCTTCCCTCCTTCCCCTCCCTCCCTCCCTCCTTCCTCCCTTCTCTTCCCTCCCCTTCCTCTCTCCCTCTCTCCCTCCCTCCCTCCCTCCCTCCTTCTTTCTCAGCACTGCAGAGTGCACTGACTTTGTACTGTCATGAGCAGAGGTGACATTTGGCCCCCTCCCTGCTGGGGTCTGTGGAGACTGGGGGACAGAGGCCTGCCTGTGATCCCCACTGCACACTAAACTAAGCAAACAACAGCAAAGAGTCTCTGCTTCCATCTCTTTGCTGCCACCTAAAAAGGAGGAATCTGGAAGAAAACATATTCACACATGTGTATCAAGTCCTGGAGATACACCAAATGAAACCAACCAGAATTAACAGAAAAAAAGCTTGGAGAAATGAACTAGAACATGGAATACCCCCTAATTACAAATGGCCTCTGGGTAGTGCAAACTAGGGCAGGCCAAAATAGTGTTGAATAGGCTTCGAACATAAAATTAACTTCAAATAACAGCCCACAAAAGTAGGCCAGAATGTGCACTCAAAAACTAACCCATTTATTTCTTGCTAAAACAATAGATTTAAATACCAGAGTCTCATAATTTCATACTCAAAATGTCCAGAATACAATACAGAATGACTCATCAAATAAAAAAAAAAACGTGAATTACAACAGGAATTAGAAATCAGCAGACATCAACACCGAGAGATCACACATGGTAGCCTTGTCTAACAAGGGTTTTAAAGCAGTGCTCAAATAAGGTTTGTACTTTAGTTAATATATTGTACAGTCAGTTTCCTTGCTCTGATCATAGTATATTTGGAGATTCTGGGTAAAGGGTACACAAGTAACTCTCTATAATATTAATGAAGTTTCCAAGTGAAGGTAAAATTATTTGTAAATGAAAAGTTTTAAAAAGTAGAGCAACTTTTATATGCACAGTAACATGGAAAGTTATTTAAATTGTCAAAAGAAGCCAGATACACACACATAGACAAGTGCATCCTGTGTGATTCCATTTTTCTGAAATCCAAGAACAAAGTGATCTATGGTGGCAGAGTATCTGTGTGAAGAACTTGGCCATTCCTCTCTCAGTTATAATTAAAAATGTCTAGATATTGGCCAAAGGACACACAACAAATTGAAAAGGATTTGTTCAAGAAAATCCATTGAGTCTGGTTATAAACAGCGGAGTCTGTAGCATCTTAGCCAGGGGTTGCTCACATCCAATTCAAGCTCCATAACATGTAAATTCTGCCCTGGAAAGCAGGGCCTCCCATGAATACTGACAGCTCCACAGCACTACCACACAAGGATGACTTTATTTGGAGCAGAGCACAGAAAAATTCTCCTGAAAAAAAAAGTCCCCCAAGTTCCATGGAAAAATCCCAGGGTTATTGTTCAAACAATATAGATCTCGGTGACAAACAATCTTGGGAGGCTAACATTGCTGTGATATCAGTGGGGAAAGTAAGAAAAAGCTGATCAGCCAGAAATTTAACACGAAGATCCAGCAAAAGAGAGCCTTGCTAAGCTGTCACTCATCTTGGACCAACTTAGAAGAGGCTAGAGAGGGCCGTTGGAACTAAAAGTCCCTGGATGAACACAGGCCATACTTCTTAACTTCCTCAGTTTTAAAAATCCGACAGCAAAGGACGGGAAACAAACTCACTCAAGCAGTTTAAAGACAAGCTGTGACTAATCAGTTGTCACCAGTAAAGTGTGCTGATCCACTGGCAAGACTTAGGAAGCCTGACTTAAAAAGATAGAAAACACCAGGAAAACAAAGAGAGAGAGAGAAGACGACATCAGAGGCCATACCTATGGAGGTAAACATGCCACAGACTTAGTCAAGGCAAGTCAGTAAACAAACAAAACATTGCAATAACACAGCCCGGGGATATCAGAATACAGAGTTGCCACAATATATTATCTAAAATACGCAGTTTTCAACAAAAACTTATCAAACATTAAAAGAAACAGGAAAGTGTAACCCATGCATAGGGGGAAAGTCATTCAATAGAAACTCTCTTTGAGAGGGCCCAGATGTTGGGTTTAACAGACAAAGACTACAAAGAAGATATTATAAATATACTCAAAGAATTGAAGGAAACCATGCTTGCAGAATTAAGGGAAATATGATGATGGTTCACCAGATAGAGACTGTCAATATAGAACAGAATGATAAAAATGAACCAAATGAAAATTCTGGATTTGAAAGGACAGTAAATAAAATTAGACATTTACTGGAGGAACTCAACAGCAGATTTGAGCTGATAGAATAATCAGTGAACTTAATGATCATTCAGTAAAGATGATCCACTCTCAAAACCAGCAGAAAGAAAACAGAATGAAGAAAAATAAACACAGCTTCAGAGACCTGTGGGACGTCAGTTAGTGCTTCAACACAGGTGAAATGATAGTACCAGAACGAGAGGAGAGACGCGAAGGAGAGAAAATATGTTCTAAAAAATCATGGTTGAAAACTTTCAAAATTTGATTCAAACCTCCATCTACATGTCCAATAAGCTTAAGAAACGCCAAGTAGGAGAAACACAATGCAATCCACACCTAGACACAAGATAGTCAAACTGTTCAAAGACAAAGACAAAAACGTAGTCTATGATGATAGAAACAATACAGTTGCCTCAGGGCTGTGAGAAATTCGAGTGTAAAGTGTTTTAAAAGGTTGAGGTGTGGGCTTCTGATAAGTTGGTCTGCATGTGAGAAGCAAGCTCCTGAGAAAGTGTTTTGCTATCTTAAGAATTAGCTAAATAACCCTAGGAGGGGTGACCACTCCAGAGTCAGGAAGTCCTCATGATGTCAAAGCATCAGAATGAAAAGACCTGCTGCATGAAAGGGCAGGAGGAACATTTTCGGGATAATAAAAATATTCTATATATTTTTTGGATGGTGGTTACACAGATGTATGCAAGTATGAAAATACATTCAACTGAATATCTAAGATATGTGCATTGTACTATATAGCAATTATACTCTAATCAAAACATATAATACAAATATAAATATAAATCAAGAGAAGTGATCTGATGTAGTATGATAAAAAAATAAGATCTATATTGGAAAGTTATTATTAGGCTCAAATACCACATATTGAAAGTTTCCAGTGAAGACTTTGATACATATTATGAGTTTAACATTTTAGTGCCATTTCTATTACTTGTATTATTAACAAGACTCCTCTCTTTTGCACCACTTTTTCCTATTTAACATTAATCTGTAATTCAGACTTGTGCTGATGATCTAAGGCTCAGAATATTACTAAATAATTAGGACCAAGCATCAGGGCAATTTCATGATTCTCTAATATTCATAATTTATCTAGAACATGAATTAAACTCTTCCGTCAATTAAATTGACTCCAACGTCCCCTTTATCAAGCACTTGTGTGTGTGTGCGTGTGTATTTCACTTTTTACTTGCATTTGTTCTTAGTAGTTTTCAAAAGTCCTTCTATTAAAATGCTCTCTTACTTTTTCAGCAAGCAGGTGGGTTTGTGATAGGATGACTGGAATCATTTCACTTAATGCAATTCCTGAGTCTCATTTCCTAGGCTTGTACTAGATTTTAATGTTCTGAGAATTTTTTCCAGTCACAATGATTTGCATTTAATCAAGGAAAGCTCCAGAACTTGGAAGCCTGAGCCATCTTCTCACTGCTTGCAATGATGCTGTATCCTGGGTATTTTCTGTTGCAGAGATGACTTGACTTCGGGTCTCACAATTTAGACATATAGTCACTACTAGGCGCGTACACAGCATTGAGCTGACATGTTTGCATTTCTATTGAGTAAAATTAAACACTTCCCATTTGTTGAACAAATTATAATTAATTAACCGAAAAATAGCAGAAGAAATCTATTGTGGAAAGTCTGTCATGTAGTCCTTAATTATAGCTTGTTTCTAAAGAAATCCGGAAGAACAGTCAATAAAAATATCAGTTGTTTGGCCTCCACCAACATTCCACTACTGAATGCATCACTCTGCTTTGTGACATTATGAAAACGAACATGGAATTTTGCTGTTATCATACACTTTGTTTTATTATATACAAGTTACTTTATTTTCAAGCTTTTAAGCACTTATAAAAAGACACACATTATTTTTTGGAATTAACACGTTTTTCTGAAAATAAACAATGAAGAAAATGACATGCACATTTGTATTATGCTTCACACTCAGTGAGCTTTTACAAGGCAAAAGTCATTTTTTTTTTCCTTTAGACTTTGTATCTTCCTCTCACAAACACTAGGTGACCCATGTTCCGGTTGGCTTGACACTGTTGACCAGATGGCTGAAAATATTTCATCTAATGTTGTATTTCACTGACAATTTTTTTAAATGAGACAAATACTGGACTGGACAGATGACTGGGAAACAAGCATACATCAGAATTTTTCTGGGCAACTAAATGAATGAATTTTCAGACAGGAACACTGAGGCATAAATGAGTTGCCCAAAGCCACAGCCTAGACGTGCAGTCTCCTAGTTTCTATGGGGCATATCACAGGAGCACAAGACAGGGCTCTATAAAAATAAGCATAGCCTATTTGGTGAACTAGATTCAACAAGCGAAAGAATGGCCTTTGGTAATTTGATAGAAAAAAAGAACAGACTTAATACTCTCATGACAAATAAGTAATAGCACAAACTCAAAATTAAAGTACTATCCTCAGATGAAGACAGTTATACCTTGGCTAAGAAAGATCTTAAAGACAGCATGGTCAGTTGTTTCCAGGATACAGTCCCTAGCACATCAGCACAGCTCACGGAGTCCCGGGCTGCTTTCTCCTCATCTCACTAGCCCCTTAATACAGAAGTGCTCTATCAATCACTTTTCTTCTCCCTTCACTTACACCTAGGTGATTTCATCCAGTTCAAGGCTGTAAAAGTCTATTCCTTGCTTATGACTTCCAAATTTATATTTGGACCTCTGCATTGAATTTAGGATTAATATATCCAAGCACACTCAACATTTTCCCGATGCTGTCTGCCAAACACTTCAACTATTCCCCAAGCAAAGCTCCAGATGTTTCCCTAATCGTTCCACCGAAACCAACTCCTCCCACGGTGGTCCTCATCTCTGTAAACAACAACTTGATACTATGACTCCTCTCTCTGCTCATACCACATACTCAGTCCCTCGTCAAATAGCATCCACTATATGCTTAACGTATCCAAAATCCAAAAACACCCCACCACTTCTGAAACACAGTAGTGCAAACCACCATCATCTCTTCCTTCTGTTGGTCTCCCTGCATGTACTCTCGTTCTCCTCCCATTTATTTTCCATACAACTGTCAGAGTAAACCTTTCAAAGCATGAATCAAGTCATGCCTCTTTTGTGTTCAAAGCTCTCCAGTGGCTCCCATTTTCACTCCGAGTGAAAGCCATATGGTGCCCTCCAGCTGTTCTTTGACTCTTCTGAGTATTTTCTGCCTTAGAACTTTTACTTGTTTTTTTCCCTTGCCCTGAAGGCTCTTGTCACTTAATTAACTTAGCTGTCACTGCCCTATTTCAAAGAGCCATCTCCCTTCACTGACATCTCAATATATATTCCGTAAATTTTTCTCCCTACCTCTTGTCTCCATCTGGTAGACTGTATATTTTACATGCTTGCTTTTAACTTTTATCTAACCTAGAATATGGCATCAACATGCAAGGAAGTTAGAAGTTTTTGGCCATTTGATTTATTGCTGTATTTCCAATGCCTGGAAGAGTACCTAGCACATTAGAGACTCAATAAATTTGAAGTGAATGGAGTGTAGAAGCTTAGAGACGGATCATCTAGCTGTTGCTTGATCTTTAATGAAGTTTTATCAATGCAACTCTAATTTCAAAAATCACAGAATTTGGAAGCAATAATAATAACTACATTTAACATTTGATAAATTATGTTCTAAGATAACAAGTTCCTCATGCTACTCTTGTAATTGGGGCATGGAGAGGCAAGGGGCAGATTTACACACGTGAAAAGCTTATAAATTAATCATACTTCCATCCACTCAACACAAATTATGAACCCTGAAATTCATCTCAGCCTCCCATCTCTCATCCCCACATCCAAGCAGACATATTGCTGAGGGAAAAAGCTGAAATCACCAGCTTGGATCCTACGTATAAGAAAGTGTCAGGAAACAAAAAAGTAGGAGGACTTCTGGTTTCCAGTCCTGGCATATACGGAGCTTGAAAGTCTTCACTCTTATTCTCATTGAAAAATCAAAAACTCGTCTTAGATCCATCAAAGAATTCAGGTCACAAGGCAAATCACTGCTTCCAAAACTGGAGAGACAGATAGGTGGATACGGAGAATGACAACATATTGGAGCAGAAGCCCACAAGCAGGAATCTCTTCCGCAGCCAGCACTGGGGTGAGAAAACCTAAACTGTAATGGACAAATTGCTGGAGACTCAGTGGGGACAAAAATCTCAGAGTTAAAAACTCCAAGGAGTCCAGTCTTGGGGGAGTCCCCCTACTTTCATGAATTTTACTTCCACGAGCTCTATATGGTTCTCACAGTAAAGATCAGAGAAAAATCCCATCATGCCTTCAGAAGGAGGAGGGAATAAGAAACCATTCTGAAATATGCCGAGAGCATTCTGTTCTTAACGAGGCCTACCTTCAAGTAAACTGTTTCACCATCATCTAACTGGCTGGGGCTTTATCAGAGCCAAACCAAGTTGGAGAAAGAGAAACACTCAACTCCAGCCCCCTCTAGCCTTCCTGTCTCATTTAAAGATGGGGGCAACAATGGAGAATTGTTTATGAAGGTCACAGCCCAGGAACACAGGCTTGATAAAAGACTGACACCTACCAGTAAGACCACAGAGGCCAGGCGCGGTGGCTCAGGCCTGTAATCCTAGCACTTTGGGAGGCCGAGGCGGGTGGATCACGAGGTCAGGAGATTGAGACCGTCCTGGCTAACACGGTGAAACCCCGTCTCTACTAAAAATATAAAAAATTAGCTGGGCATGGTGGCAGGCGCCTGTAGTCCCAGCTACTCGGGAGGCTGAGGCAGGAGAATGGCGTGAACCCAGGAGGCAGAGCTTGCAGTGAGCCGAGATTACGCCACTGCACTCCAGCCTGGGCAACAGAGTGAGACTCGCTGTCTCAAAAAAAAAAAAAAAAAACCACACAGAACACTTCTCCCCCCGTAGCCCCTGAGCACCACATCCTGTAAAACAACAGGGGGATATGATGGAAGGAATTACATGACTCAGACCTTATTAAGAACAACTCTCTAGGGAAATCCAAAGACAACAGGGGAGACCAAACAAGGATGCTAGAGAAAATGTTAGCCTCTGACACCTATAGCTGCAGCTAACTGCAAAAATAAAACCAAATTCCTAGCAAGGTAAACATAAAACCTCACAATAAAGACTAATTTACTTCCAATCCTTTTACAAATACACTATGTCTGTCTCTTAATAAAAAAAATTATAAGGCATACTAAAAGACAAAAAAAAAACCACACACACACAGTTTAAATAAACAGAAAAGACATCATAACCAGACTCAGATAAAGCAGAGATGTTGGGATTATCAGACCATAAAGTTAAAACAATTATGATTAATATGCTAAAGGATCTAATGGAAAAAGTGGACAACATGTAAAAACAGATGGATAATGCAAACAGAAACCAGGTAACTCTAAGACAGGATTAAAAGGAAAGGCTAGTGGTCAAAAATACTGCATCAAAAATGGAAAATGTCCTTGATAGGTTCATTAATAGATTGGACATGGCTGAGAAAACGGTAAGCTTGAAGAAATGTCAATAGAAATTTTCAAATCTGAAATGTAGAGAAAAACAAAAGGGTTAAGAGGACAGAACAGAACATTAAAAAACCATCGGATAATTATAAAATGTATAACACAAATGGGAATACCAGAAGTAAAAAAAAAAAAGATAGGAAAACACAGGAGAAATATTTAAAACTATAATAACTGAGAATTTTCCAAAATTAATGACAGACACCAAATCACGGATTCGGGAACTCAGCAGCAGGCCCATGATATTCAAACTGCAGTAAATCAAAGACACAAAGAATAGCTTGAAAGAAGCCAGAGAGGGAAAACCACCTTCACTATAGAGAAGCAGAGGATAAGAGTTCCACTGGACTTCTCTTCAGAAATCAAGGCAGTAAGAAGGGAATGGAGCAAGATATTTATAGTGTTGAAAGAAAAAATCCACCCATCTAGCATTCTGCATCCAGGAAAACTACCCTTCAAAAATGAAGGAGAAATAAAGACTTCGATAAAAATTAAGAACATTTGTTGGCAATAGACCTGCCTTGCAGGAAATGTTAAAATAAGCTATTCAGAAAGACGGAAAATGATATAGGTCAGAAACTCAAATCTACAGGAAGGAAGGAAGACCGCTAGAGGAGGAATGAATGAACATACAATAAAATATTTTATTTTTCTTATTCTTAATTGATCTGACAGATAATAGTTTGTTCAAAATAACAGCAATAAAGAATTTGATGATTATAGCTTATGGATAAAATGAGTGACAGCAATGTAGTAACGGATGGGAGAGGAAAATTGGTAATACTGTTGTAAAGTACTCACACTACCTGTGAAGTGGTATAGTGTTATTTGAAAGTGGATTTGGATTAGTTGTCACTGTATATTGCAAACTCAAGTACAACCCCAAACAAGGGGAAAAATAAGAATAATTGATATGCTGAAGGAATTAAAAAATGGAATCTTATAAAATTCTCAAAACCAGAAAAGGCAGAAAAGAAAAGGTAGAAACAAAGAAGAGATGACATTTGAGAGACTGGGAAAGATTGAATTCTTCTTTGGAACTTTAGGATGAGTGGGCTTATTTAGAAACAAACACAGTAAAAAATTCACACATACAAACATTCACATATCCACATACATACACATTCATACACAAACTTATGCACAGGGAGACAAAATAAAAGAGCACTTCTCCTACACATACAACATGATTTGTTCTTTCCGCTGAGGGCATTCAGAGAAGACCCACTTCATCCAGTTCCCTTTCTTTTAATCCCATAATCCCCTCTCCAATCTGTTCACAAATAACTTTCTTTTCTTTACATATCAACTCCAGAGGACAGAGGTTTGCATGATCTGAGTGTAATTTTCCAGCGAAATGAAATCTCTTTCATAAAGTCAGTGAAATTGTTGCCCTGGCCTAAACATTAGTAATCAGACTATGTATCATGATTTAAATAAATCAGTATTCAAGCCATCACATAAATAAACTATGAAGCCAAAACATCCATCAGAAATAACCAGACTTGAGCCTTTAAAATGCATGACATATTAGATCACTTCGTTGCAAAACTATGAAATTTTGGAATCCATACCTGGATCATACAGTTATAATAAAAATGCCTTCACTTACTCAAATCCGATTTATTCTCAGTGGGTAAATTTGTCCATGCTAAATCCTGGATTATCTATTATTCACCATTGCCCACTCTAATAGATATCAAAAGTCCTGATTATCTAAGTAAGAGGGGGTCAGAGAAGGTTGTCAAGGCCCAGCCACTCCATATCTGGGCCTACTCTAGCCCACAGGAGAAGCAGAGGAGGAAATTGAGTGATTTGGGGAAAGCTGTGAAGGGAGAGAAAATTTGTGGGTTTTTTTAATTTTTTTAAATTTCAGCTTTTATTCTAGATATGCCTGACATTAGTTGTTTAAAAGGAAATGGAAGAACTCCAGGCAATTTCAGTAACTCATAACTCTCACCTGGAGCCTATGCTGATAAATCATGACATCAGCTAAAATGTTTTTTTTTTTCTTTCCGTAGGAAGGGATATCATACATAGTACAAGAGCTTACTATGCAACACTGGGTATTTTGGGGCCAGTTAATCCTCTGTAAAGTTCAAAGTGTATTAAATGGTTTCCAAGTTCCCTTTCCCAGCTCTTAACAATTCAGAGCTGTATGATCACTCACTTGCTATCTGAATTCCCCAAATCTTGTTCTAGCACAAAAGCCTCAAAGGAGTTCAGAACTGGGTAAAGGTCAACTAAAATTTGGCTGAATAAGACACGAAAAACCAGGAACAGGCATTATTCTAAAGACTCCATATATACAAGCTTTACAAAGTGTTATATTCACCAAAGGCACCTTTACAGATACATCCATGTAGATGGTGCTGCTCCCTTTGGCATTCATGGCCTGGTATGATTTGGCTGTGTCTGTACCCAAATCTCATCTTGAATTCCAATGTGTTGTAGGAGGGACCCAGTGGGAGGTAGTTGAATCATGGGGGCAGGTGTTTCCTGTGCTGTTCTTGTGATAGTGAATAAGTCTCACAAGATCTGATGGTTTTAAAAACAGGAGTCTCCCCGCACAAGCACTCTTCTCTTGTCTGCCACCACAAGAGACATGCCTTTTACCGTCTGCCAGGATTGTGAGGCCTCCCCAGCCATGTGGAACTGTGAGTCCTTAAACCTCTTTTTCTTTCCAGTCTTGGGTATGTCTTTATCAGCAGCATGAAAACTGACTAAACAGTAAATTGGTACCAGCAGAGTGAGGCAATGCTGAAAAGATACCCGAAAACGTGGAAGTGACTTTGGAAATTGGTGACAGGCAGAGGTTGTAACAGTTTGGAGGGCTCAGAAGAAGACAGGAAAATGTGAAAAAGTTTGGAACTTCCTGGAAACTTGTTGAATAGCTTTGACAAAAATGCTTATAGTGATATGAACAATAAGGTCCAGGCTGAGGTGGTTTCAGATGGAGATGAGAAACTTGTTGGGAATTGGAGCAAACATAACTCCTGTTATGTTTTAGCAAAGAGACTAGCAGCATTTTGCCCCTGCCCTAGAGATCTGTGGAACTTTGAACTTGAGAGAGATTATTTAGGGTATCTGGTGGAGAAATTTCTAAGCAGCAAAGCATTCAAGAGGTGAGTTGGGTGTTGTCAAAGGCATTCAGTTTTAAAAGGGAAACAGAGCATAAAAGTTTGGAAAATTTGCAGCCTGACAATGCAATAGAAAAGAAAATCCCATTTTCTGAGGAGAAATTCAACCCAGTGGCAGAAATTTGCATAAGTAATGAGGAGTCGAATGTTAATCCCAAAGACAATGGGGAAAATGTCTCCAGGGCATGTCAGAGACCTTTGAAACAGCCCCTCCCATGATAGGCTTGGAGGTGTAGGAGGAAAAAGTGTTTTCATGGGCTGTGCTCAAGGTCCCTGTGGTGTTCAGCCTAGGGACTTGGTGCCCTGCATCCCAGCTGCTCCAGCCATGGCTGAAAGGGGCCAACATAAAGTTCGGGCCATGGCTTCAGAGGGTGCAAGCCTCAATCCTTGGCAGCTTCCACGTGGTGTTGAGCCTGTGAGGGCACAGAAGTAAAGAACTGAGGTTTAGGAACCTCTGCCTAGATTTTAGAAGAGCTATGGAAACACCTGGATGCCCACGCAGAAGTTTGCTGTAGGGGTGGGGCCCTCATGGAGAACTTCTACTAGTGTAGTGCAGAAGGAAAATGTGGGGTTGGTCCCTACTGGGGCACTGCCTAGTGGAGCTGTGAGAAGAGGGCCATGGTCCTCCAAACCCCAGGATGGGAGATCCACTGATGGTTTGCATCGTGCACCAGGAAAAGCCACAGACACTCAATGCCAGCCTGTGAAGGCAACTGGAAGGGAGGCTGTATCCTGCAAAGCCACAAGGGCAGAACCACCCAAGCCATGGGAGTCTACCTCTTGCATGAGTGTGACCTGGATGTGAGACATGGAGTCAAAGGAGATTATTTTGGAGCTTTAAGGTTTGACTGCCCCACTGGGTTTTGGGCTGTCCCACTTGAATAGGGTCTGTAGCCCCTTTGTTTTGGCCAATTTCTACCATTTGGAATGGCTGTATTTACCCAATGCCTGTACCCCTATTGTATCTAGGAAGTAACTAACTTGCTTTTCATTTTACAGGCTCATAGGCAGAAGGAACTTGCCTTGTCTTGGATGAGACTTTGAACTGTGGACTTTTGAGTTAATGCTGAAATGAGTTGAGACTTTCAGGGACTGTTGGGAAGGCATGATTGATTTTGAAATGTGAAGATATGAGATTTCGGAGGGGCTAGGGGTGGAATGATATGGTTTGGCTGTGTCCCCACCCAAATCTCATTCTGAATTCCCACATGTTGTGGGAGGGACCCAGCAGGAAGTAATTGAATCATGGGGGCAGATCTTTCCCATGCTGTTCTCATGAATAAGTCTCACATGACCTGATGGTTTTAAAAATGGGAGTCTCCCTGCACAAGCTGTCTTCTCTTGTCTGCTCCTATGCAAGATGTGCCTTTCACCTTCCACCA
Source organism: Homo sapiens (assembly GCF_000001405.40). Taxonomy (NCBI): domain Eukaryota; kingdom Metazoa; phylum Chordata; class Mammalia; order Primates; family Hominidae; genus Homo; species Homo sapiens. The sequence continues at coordinate 27,375,600 of NC_000015.10, read as the reverse complement.
CAATCGTGAAGCCTCCCCAGCCATGTGGAACTGTGAGTCCAATTAAATCTCTTTTTCTTCCCAGTCTCAAGCATGTCTTTATCAGCAGCATAAAAATGGACTAATACATGGCCCCAGGCCTTATGCCCTCGGCTGTCCCTGCAACTCTCCGTCTGATGCTTTGCTGGGACTTATCAACCAATAGCCCAAAGTATGGCACTTTGACATATTGAACTGAAGAAGATACCTCAAGCTCTCTCTGACCTTCCCCTGCTCTCCTGTCTCTCAATCCTCTGTTTCTCCCAAACACAGGATGAAGTTGTTCTCTGAAGTTCCCTTGTCTGCCTAAAGGCCAGGCCCCACAGAGAAGAAAAACAATCAATCATTTCTTGTCCCTTCCCAGCATTTACATGAACTGAACTAATATCTCATGAAGGGAGACTGAAGTCTGTCAACACACCTACATACTTTTGTTACAAATCATTGTCTACTCTGCAGGCCCAACAGATTTTGTCCCAAGCCACTGTTTGTTCTTCAGGCCCATTGAATTCCCCTAAAAATCATTTACTACCCACCCCCCCAAAATTATCCACCTTTCTCCATGTCCCTTTCCCCTAAGAAGAGGGGTATATGACCATCTGTACCCCATTGTGTTGGGGGTCATCAGTCTGTGATTGTCCCCAGGGCACATTAATAAATTTGCATGCCATTTTTTCCTATTCATCTGCCTTTTGTCAGTTGATGTTCATCAAGCCTTCCAAGAGCAATGGGGAAGTTTTCCCTTCTCTCCTACAGTTTCCGCCCACTGGAAGTGTCAGGACCTCAGCCAATAATGAACTGAGTTGGAGGACAAACCCTCAGCATCCTCGTCCTCCATCAGGATAACTCTGAGGTGTGGTCCACAACATGGTAACCTGCTCCACACACACCTTGGCGTGGCTGTTTCATTTCCTTATTGTCTACCTTTGCTTCCTTGGTCACCTCCCAGATACACTAGTCAGACTCGGTGCTTGCTACAGGTTCTGCTCTGCACAAACCCACACTTAAACAATAGAAATGCATAGACAATATACAACCAGGGTGTATGGATAAAATGTTAGTTTATGTGTAACAAGAACAAACTTGAAAACAGGCAAATAAAATATTAGATAGATTCCTAAATTTCAAATTGGAAATATATCAATAGAAAATTCACTGGTGCCGTGGTGCATGCCTATAATCCCAGCACTTTAGAAGGCTGAGGCAGGAGGATTGCTTGAGTCCAGGAGTTCGAGACTAGCCTGGGCAACACTGTGAAACAGTTGCTACAAAAAATACAAAAATTAGCCAGGCATGGTGGTGCAAACCTGTAGTCTCAGCTACTCAGGAGGCTGTTGTGGGGGGATCACCTGAGCCTGAGGAGGTCAAGGCTGCAATGAGCCATGTTCTTGCCACTGCACACCAGTCTGGGTGACACACTGAAAAAAAAAAAAAAAAAAAAAAAGAAGAAAAGAAAAGGAAAGAAAATTCTAGGATACATCAGATTGAACTCCTTTTGACAAAGATAATTAGAATTGCATTTATAAAATCATAAGAATTCTTAAAAAACTAAAGAACTTTGGAATCTCCTCTGAGATGAGAAAATAAATAACAAAATAATGAAACATGAAGATATTAGATGGTATTAGAAAGCAGATATTAGATGGTAGCAGATTAATATTACATGGAGATTGTGGCCAACACGTAATAGTGTTTCAGAGAAAAAAAACAAAAAACATCAGCTGACCTGATCAGGAGAACTGATGAGGATTCTCCTTTATTGGTGTTTTCATGATAATTTGAATGTTTATAGATAAAATTATCCATGTTTTAATCATAAATCATCCGGAGAGAAAACTTACTTTCTTGTAATATGAGGGTTAACAAAAACAAACAGCAAAGTAAGCGCCAGAAGTTGCTAAAGGTCAGATTTTCAAAGTAATTTTTTTTTAGTAATTGAATTACCATTAATATAATTAAGTGCTAGTAATATTGATTCAGGGCTTTTTAGAATTGGAAAAGCCCTTTTAATAGACATTGTTAAAACTATTAATTCAACATCCCAAATATAGTGAAGTTACTTGCTAACTTGTAAATTTTTGCCTAGCAGAGATCCAAATAATTTCTGTCTGGCAGAAAAGATAGCCTGGAAGATTGTGGTTTATTTCCCTGTAGGGATTTACTAGGTTTGTATCTAATACAGCAATCTTTTCCCTTAACATATCTTTATTCAATTTTCTACAAATGCCTAGTTCCTTAAATGCTCCTTTAACTGGTATTGTCATTTTACTGAGTTCCTTATTTATTAATGAGTTGATAAAAACACTTGACAGTATTTATTTTATATTCATAAGAATCATCTTAAGTTTTTGAAAATTATAATTTAGAAGCATATAATTCAAGTTCGTTATTTCCTAGGTAGAAATACACTCAGAAAGATTAGGCACCTTTTCCTGATTAAGAGTTGGAGCCCAAGCATCCTAAATCCCAGGCTAGGGTCTCTCTAGTACACGTCACCCTTCTCACTGCATTTTAGTGGCATTTGCGTGCTGTCTCTTTTACAATACTGTAAAGTAGGCAAGGGAAGTCATGAGCATTTTGTAGGTGAAGAAAACTGAACCAGCTGAGAAAATAGCTTGCTGGAGGCCACAGCTGAAGTCATTGCCAAGCAATGTAGCTGAGAAGAAGAAAGCTCACCACCCTATGGCTAATGCCTAAAAAGAGTTCACAGGTACAGTGACAACCACTCAAGGTACAGTGTTCTGGGACTGGGAGAGAGACAGAGGCACCAGGAGGGAAGTGAGTATGAAGAGGCCAGGGAAGTATTCAAAGAGGAGACAGAGTTTGAGCTGGACCATTGAAACAGGCACAATGACAGTAACTCTTTAAATTTAGTGGTGGACTTAAGTTTTAAGAAGGGGACTAAAGCCAGGCACGGTGGCCTAGTACTTCGGAAGGCCAAGGCAAGAGGATCACTTGAAACCAGGAGTTTGAGAACAGCTTGGGCAGCAAAACGAGGCCCCATCTCTATAAAAAATAAAAAATGATTTGGACCTGGTGGCATGTGCCTGTAATCCCAGGTACTTGGGAGGCTGAGGTGAGAGGATTGCTTGACTCCAGGAGTTTGAGACTGCAGTAAGCTATGACTGCTCCACTGCATTCCAGCCTGGGTGACTGAGCGAGACCCTGTTTCTAAAAACTAAATAAATAAATAAATAAATACAAAAAGTTTAAATGAAAATCAAAGTGTTCTATGGCTGTAAGCAGCTCCTTCTTGTAAATAATGTGCAGTTGTTTATCAAACTAGGTTATACTGATAAAACAGACGCAAAACACATACAAGTATTATCTTTAGCCCCATCTAAACTCCTGATATTATTTCAAATATTGGTTTTTCCTAAAATTAAAAATGAAGTCAGAATAATAGTGATATATATATATCTCATATGAAACATACATGGCTTAAAGCTTAATGCTGAGTTAATACTTAAGTATAATTTTGTGCAATACGTGAGGTTTTTATTAACTTAATAAAATATTACTAATTATGTTCTAAGCCAATTAAAGCAATTAATACTGAACAGTATTAATTACAGTAAAAGCAATTAAAGCCCACATCGAAGTGATATTTACTAGGACTATTTCTTGTTGTTTTACAAAAAGATCCAGCATGTCACTTTGTTTTTAACCTATCTAAATGAATTAACATTATCAAATTGTATGTTGCCCATCACGTCTATGTTCTAATTTTAAATAGTATGATACTTTTGAATATTTAGTGTTATTTTGTGTTTTCTAAAATATGTTTATATAAAATATTAATATATGTGAGATGATGAATTCATTATAATTGTTTGCACAGAACTGAGATTTAGGGAACTAGATCACCCCTTTCTAATCCTTTTGTCCTCCTCACATATACAGACTTGGATGCAAACAAGAAAAGTCAGAATCCATAGAAACGAGTTGCCTTTACAGCTTGTCTGTGGCAGCCAATTAGTAAAAGCCTTGGAAGATCATTTAACCTTAACTACAAATGGTGCCCTTGTATTGTGATTTGCATTATTAACTAGATATGGCCACCTTCAATACCACAAACTACAAGGAGAGAGAGAAGCAGTTATAAAAAGGGTTAGATTTTCCTTCTATCAAAATAGATTCCTGCTTCTAAATAATCTTCTTTTTACAGAATGTGATCAGGAATTTCCTTTATGAATTTATATGCATCGCCTCACCAAGGCTGAAAGAGATTAGTGACACATTCACAACTGGGGAACTGCAGACAGGCTGGGAAAACATGACATACAATTCAGAAAAAAAAATGTTCACTGTCTCAGGGAAAAGAGAGGAAGAAAAATTGTGGCATATTCTATCGATGGTTGCTAATTTAGTTGGGGAGCAAACATGTTCAGAGAGTGTGGTCTAAACAGCATACCTTTTTTTTTTCCACAAAATGTTGTTTCTAATTCTGGTAGGAGTTTCCAACAATGGAACTTGGTGTACTGGCCATCAAAGCTGGTTACTATGGGATGATGGTGTAATTGTATAGATTAATGAGGGTACCCAAGTCACTTCGAAATTCAACAGTGGATACAACCACGTTTGCATGTCTGTTTTCCCCTATTATCTTGACCTTCAGTTTGAGAAGGAGCAGGGAGAGCAGTGAGCGTCCCACTTGTGCAGTACAATTTAAATCATAGCTTAGTCAGTTTTGATAAAGTGGCCATGGATCTGCACCCGTGTTTTGCCACTGCTGGAAAAACAACCCACTCATTGCATCTGCATGCATGGGAAACCCAGATATTTTCTATGTTAAATACAGCAAGAGAGGAATGTGCCAGAGTGCTCACTTCATGTGTCATTCCTAATTATTTTCCAGAAAACTAAAATTCATTGCAGGCTTGTTTTATCGAAATGTAACTGATGGGGAAAAGACCATGTGATTTCTTTAAACGAGCAGCTAATGAAGCTGGAGGAACCTACTCCTCCTCTGAGGTGGTCTCCTGAGATTCCAGGGCAAAACAGGAGCATGTCACAGTGCCTCCCACTAACAGACCAAGTCTGCTGGACCAGGATCCCAGGGTGGTCCCAGACTCCGCCGCTCAGATCTCAAGTGGAGTCATTAACAAATTGGAGATGACCCAAACAGGTAGGAGACTGGCAGCGTTAGGTTGTCTGATGTCCACAGCTAAAACAAAGCAAGCAAGAGCTGCAGAACAAGTACTCCAGGCTATTACATGAGCAGGCTAAGTGGCTAGCTGGCCATCTGGCATGTGATTCTTTCCTGGCAACCTGTCCATTGTGCTATCCTCCTTAGATTCCCTTTCTACTCTGCTAAATGCCTAGCTCAAACCTCATGGTTGTCAAAGCTGAAAGATACTTCAGGATCACCCAGGCAAATACTTCATTTGATAGATGTGGAAACAGAGGACCTGAGATGATAAGTGAGTAACCCCAATATTTAATTCCATGGAAGCATGCTGCTTTCAATGCATTTGCTGCTGAATTCCATTAAAGGCATATTTTAAAGAATGGCTTTGTTTTTCAAGAACTGAAAATTTAATTGATTAGAGCGTGCTAAAAGGGGTATGCAATCAGCATCCAACCTACTACGCTTCCACGTTGGAACTGATGGCCTCACATAAGAAGCTGGTGAGTAAGGGGCAGAAGGAACATCTGTCCTCAGCCTCCCCAAGGTGAGAAAAGAGGACGGTGGAGATCTGGGTCCGTGCCCACATCTGAAAGGTTTTTCTTAGTATGATACCATAATTTTTTTTTTTTTTTTTTTTTTTTTTTTGAGACGGAGTCTCACTCTGTCGCCCAGGCTGGAGTGCAGTGGTGCAATCTCAGCTCACTGCAACCTCCACCTCCCGGGTTCACGCCATTCTCCTGCCTCAGCCTCCTGAGTAGCTGGGACCACAGGTGCCCGCTACCACGTCTGGTTAATTTTTTGTATTTTTAGTAGAGACAGTGTCAGCCAGGATGGTCTCGATCTCCTGACCTCATGATCCGCCCACCTTGGCCTCCCAAAGTGTTGGGATTAGAGGGATGAGCCACCGCGCCCGGCCAATACCATAATTTCATAGTGGAGAGCCCATGTTCATACACCAAAGATATTCCTAGAATATCTTCCAGTTTTTAGGCAGCATGGCTGCATCATTTCAGGTTGAAGCAGAACTGTCTACAATGGCATTGTTTACAGGTTGGTTCAACCATCATTCCTAACAGAGCTTTCTGGTCAGGCAATTTTCCTCGTTATCCTTCACGTTCTCCTTAATTGAAAGGTCATTTACATGACATTTGCTCTGGGAGATCTCCTTGTTTTTGTATTCTTTCACCATTCTGTTATTTTGCTGAACTCACTTGCATTATCTAGAACTTTCTGCTAGCTAGCACTCTGAACATCTATGGTATAAAGCTACTGATGCTGGATAAAGTGACTTCTGAAGCTTTCTAAAATTCAGAAATCCTTTAAATCATCCATGTAATTAAGTTGCTTAGTGCATTTTAATATTACACATAAGCAAGGTAAAACTAAAAAGCATAAATGCCAGAGAGGATGGTGAACATATAAAACTTTTCAAAACAATGAAGGAGAAAGGATGACTTAAACTCAAGTTTCAGAAAATATAAATGACTTATTACCTGGCCCTTGACTATCTGTCCAAGGTCATTTCAGAATGTGGGGTTCCTTCGACTTGGAGCTTCATTGGGAGAGGCATCAAGCTTTCCCCTCAATGCCTTCCATTCCCCAGTACCTTCCCACACCCAGCAAACTCCATTTACTCAGTGTCTCTACCATAAAGCCTCCCAGACTCCCATGCAGATAGATTTGTTTCTTCCCAAGCATGTCTACTTGTCCTTTTCAGTAATTGAAGGATGATGCACCAGGTTCAGAGTGAGCCTGGGTTCCACTCTGTGTGCCCCTGAGGAAGTGACTGCACCCCTGTGCTCAGTGTCCTGCAGAACCGGAGGTAACAATAATGGAACCTAACTTACATGGTGTTGTGAGGGTCTGTGAAATGCTGCAGAAAACTACAACAATGACCAGGACAGGGACATGCCCAACTATGCACCTTGGACAGAATTACTCTTCTTGTGTTCTTATTATAATTATTCATGCTATGCAATAACTTTACAGAAATGTAATTGTCTTCTGAGGGAGACCACAGGTTCTGTGAGGACAGCCCATGCCCAGTTCCATATTCCTCATATCTAGACCTTCTACCCTGCAACAGTTTTGACCAACCACCCTAGCACTCCGTGAGTGCATGTATGTGTGCGTGTCCACCTGCTTTGCCCACACACCTCCATCATGTTTCCTGGTGGCAAGCTTTAGGAACCAGTTCAAACTCTAGATGAGAGGTGCCCATACTATGCATCCCGGTCTCCATTACCTGAAACTCACACCTTGATCTTGACCATTGAGCTCTGACCTTTCTCCACTGTGGCAGAAATTAAATGAAGAAAAGAAACAGCCCTTCTCTATGAGACCTACAGCTGGATGGCCCATCCCAGCAGTGCTTTCCCGTCCCATTCCTGGCCATTCTGGGGCCGCAGTGTGAGGTGAGAGGCCCAAACCTGAAAGTACCCCAATGAGATGAAGGGGAGATAAGAACAGCATGCTTAGAAAGGAGACAGAGCAGAGAGAGAGATTTCAGAAGAAGACCCTACAACTCCCCTGGGCCCTTTTGACTTCTCCTTCTGTGAAAACACACCTTATCACAGTGGTCCAATTTGTCTTCTCTCACATCTAGACTTTTTTGCTTGGGTCAACAGAAGGGAAACTGGGGCAGCTATCAAGGTTAATCAGCAAGGACCACATGGCACAGAATAGATATTATAATTAATGCATAATTAGGTGACAGATTTAAATAATCAACCATATAAAGTTTAGAAAAGTCACCACATATATTATATGCAATGCTACTCAATTTCACTTTAATATGTACAGATACTCCCTTTGTATCTGAAAGATTTCAAAGGTTGTTTGAAAGCACAGCCCCTTCCCAATCCTGAAATAGTCTCTCTCTTTCTCTCGCTATGCAATGGCCAAGGCACTGTGTTAAAAGAGAATTGTAAAATTGTAGACTCTATGAAGCAATATAAAACACCTTTTAGGAAAAAAAATGTGGTATTCTCCCTCCCTAACCTCATCAAGAATTAGTCAATTGTTTTGAATAATGCAGCTACTATTTTTTGCTTTTGGACACCACATACCTTTATTGGTAGGCTGGTTTCTTTTATTATGACTTTGGTCCATCCAGGATAGGTCAAGAGGTGTGTTGGCCTAGGGATGAAGGAGGAGGACTGGGATCTTCCACTTAAATGATTAAAATAAATATCTAGGACAACTAGGTCCTGGGTGTTCTCACGAGACAGGAAGAGTGCAGGGTGTCCTTGTAGGGGGAGGGAGGTAGTGAGCAGCTCCAGGAGGGTACGAGGATGGAAACTCCACCTCTGGGAAGGAATCCCAGGGCAGTGGGTCCTGGCTAGTCAGGGAGACCTGCGGAAAGCAGTGGATGTGAGGATGCTTAGTCCTCATAGGTGGAAGGGACACACTGGGGCCTCCTTGGTGCCTCTGGGGGACCCACTGTCCAAACCACCAGGGGATAGGGAAGTGAGCTGACAGAGGGTCCCGATGCCCCCATAGTAGGAAGCAGGGGCATCACAGAGGTGACACTGAGGAGCAGGCTGCTGCAGGTGCAGATCTGCAGAGACACAGAGGGATGCACAGAAACAGTGAGGCCAGGTCAGGGTCAAGGTGGGCAGGGGGACACGGGCACATGGGCACAAGGTTCTATTATCACCCATAGCAAAATCCAAATTTTAGCAGCCATACAGGTCTACAGCGGATGTAGGAGGAGCTTATGATGAGGGGAGAAAAGGGTGGTTGTTGCAGAGATGAGCAGAGACCTCCTGAACCTGGATCTGTGAGAGGACCAGGACTCCTCTCACCCCCGTGAAGACACAGCTTGGGTTCGTTCCTTAACCCAGGATGTTCACAGATGCATGTTAGCCAGCAGAACAGGGCTGAGGCTGGGAGGAGAGCCTCAAAAGACCTACCCCGCAGACAGGGAGCTAAGCTAGATCATGGGATTGGATACTTTTAATTACTGGCGATCAAAGGCCTGTTCCTAACACACAAGAATCCATGAGAATGATGCCCTGTGAAGTTTAGACCAGTCATGGAAATCAAAGATAATGGGATTCCTTTTCCTTTTATTATTTTCACCCAAGAGCTTTAGGGAATATGTCTTTATCCCACTCCAAAGGATCTTCTCCATATGATGCAGGAAAGAGCCCGGAGTTGGAAGTCTGGAGCCCAGCTGGCTGCATGACCGTGGGCTCATCATGATCTTGGGGCTCCTTCTGCCATCTCCCGAGTCCACATGCCTGCGTGCCCTCTATTTAAACTAGAAGAGCAATCGGTGTCTCATGATAGTGCTTCCATGGATGTCTTTGGATTCAGATGCCTAAACCTGAAAGAAGCTTCATGTGTTTGTTTCCACGAACTACAGATGGAAAGGAGACCACTTCATGTTGCAAGTTTTCGTTCTTCTTCCTCTTATCTGATGCTACTGAAAACGAACTCCCATAAAGGGGAACCTTCTTCCATTTATGCCTAGAAAAATCAAAATCTGTACATTTGAGGAATAACAACAAGCCCTATAAATCAATTAAAAAATGAACTATTTAACTTATTTATTTTTTGGCTTTTGATGCTACTGTCTTTCACAGTATAGTGAAAGCAGCTTAAACTTCAGCATGAGACATGAATTTGATTCTTGGCTTCATCTCCAACAGAAGATAGGACTTTGTACTCTGGTTCTTTATTTTTTAATGAGTAATAATTCTGTCCTCACAGGAATGTTTTGCACACAACCTTCCTAGTAATAATCAATTACAGAGAGAAAAATAATGGTAGTGGGGAAACTGGGCAACCTCCCTAATGAGTCATCAAAGTTAACATCACCAGTTAGGGGACGAGTCAGTGTCACCTGTGCCCTGGCATAAGCACTGCCAACCTCTCCTCTGGGGTGTTCCTGCTAAAAATGCACAGCCCAGCTCTGACCAGGAGGAAACATCAAGAAAATCCTGCAAAATACCTGGTGTGCCCACTACGAAATGTCAGTGTCTTAAAGAGATTGAAGAACCAGGCCAGATTAAAGGACATTTAAAAGAAAGGCAAAATACTGAGTTACTTGTTTGTTATCCTAGACTGGATCTTGCACTGCGGACAGGGAAGAGTGGAAGGTTAATATGTGTGTGTGTGTGTGTGTGTGTGTGTGTGTGTGTCTGTGTCTGTGTGTGTCTTAGCTATAAATGCCGTAATTGGGACAAATGGTGAAATTTAAATAAGGTCTATAGAATGCTTAGTAGTGTATCAGTATATTTCCCTGATTATTGTAAATGTATTTATATTACATAAAAATTTCTGGCTTTGGGAAATATATGCTAAAGAATTTAGGGGTAAAGAGGTACCATGTCTGCCACTTGCTGTCAAATGGATCAGCAAGAACAAAAATTAAACCAAACCTTATCTGTGTGAGTGTGTGTAGAGAGAGAGGGAACTCCCAAGTTCTCTCACCATCTTTGGGTGGTAAAATATCAACATTTGAGGAATATGTGTCTACAAAAATTCTTTGTCCTAGTCTTGCAAGTTTCTTGTAAGCCTGAAATTAAAACAAAAAGGCTAAAAAAGTCACGACACATCTGAGATAAGTAGCAATACCATGTATTATAGGATACCCTTTCTTGTGTAGCAGGCTGGCTGCTTTGCGCTAGTTGCATTACTCCTTTATGATTACCTTTGAGTAGACCAGTAAACCTTCAGTAATGTGTTAGTGATCATGATGTAGCCAGGTTATACAAATCTTTTTAATAATTTGCCCCAAACCAACCCTACTCCAGGAAAGCTGACAAAAATCAGTCTGCTCTCCTCCCCTCTACCGACTGCTGTGACTTACTATGAAGGCTACTTTCAGTGTTGGTGAAAAACCAGAGACACAAAACCACTCAGCAACTCAGAGCAGGGAGGATGTGTGTAATTTTCTTATCTGCGGAGCTGTGCCTTTCCAAATGATATCTGAACAGTATCTCCATTTACGGTCCTGTCTCAATGTTTCAACGTGCCATCCTGTCCTCAAAGAAGAAACACTTTTGCCTCCTGTGATTGAACCACTTGTTATCAGGCAACATAAGAGTGCCCATCATTACCCAGAGTCCAGCCCGGAGTCATGTAGAGGCGCATCTGCCCTGCGGGGTCCTATTAATGCCCAGTGAGGCACAGAGTGTGTAAGCATAATGTGGCCATGTGACTGCTGCACAAATTAAATGTTAGAGACAAAAACTGCTGCCTTTCATTTGAAGCAATTTGTCTGTTTCACTTCCGTCTTGAAATATATAAAACCAGAAGGAGGTTTTCATAATGCAAGCTTGATGTAACAACAAAACTGTGATTTTTAAAACGTTTACTGAAGTCACTGCACAATTACATGTACATACCATGATACCTTGTGTTTCGGTAGTGACTGTCCTCTGTCACAAACCCACCATTTTTTGGTACAAACATCAGCGTCCTGCTCTTCTAAAGGAAAGTCCACTTTGGTTATTTGGACCCAACATATGTGTCCATCAGATCTCACACTCCTGGACCAAAACTCAATGGCTTCAGAGGGCAGGCCACGGATCAGGATGGCCAGAGGATCAAACACTGCCACAACCTGTCTGTCTCTCCATTTGCTCATGTCTGAAATTTCAAAGACAGCGCCGCTCCTGCAATGTAAGTCTATCAGAGCTTTCCATGCTGATATCCCCTAGAATAATACTAATAACTCATGCATGACTGTTTTGAGAGGTGTATGGTTAGGTAAGTGCAGAGGGGAGGGGAGAAAATGCCCCTCCCAGGTGGAGATGGATATAGACTTGCCTGACTGCCTCGATTTTGGTCTCCCCTGAAGGGCTGTCATGGCTCCTGGTGGCAGGCGTGCTATGGATCAGTTTTTCCCTCTGCTGAATCCTGCACCCTCACTTCCCTAAGCAGGTGACTCCCGAGGGCAATCTCCAGCAGTCCTCTCCATATGGCCCACCAACTCAGTCCATTAATATTTTCAGGGAACTCAATCTGAGTAGCTTCTGTCCCTCGGGCCACACCCTGTCCTCTCTACTTCTATTGTTGATCTTGATGAGTTTCCTTTCTTTGCTCTCCATTCTAGTCTTAAGATTTTCATGATTCCTGTGGCCAGCTGCACCTGGAATCCTCCTGGGTGGGACTTCCTGGTGGCAGGGACTGGCCTCCTTCCCCATTTCTGACCCCTTAACATATAAAGATCTTGCCCAACTTAGACCATGAGAAACACATGATATTCCTGCTTATTTCACCTGCAAGAAGGAGAGCAGACTCCTATATGACAGAGAGAAATGTGCCTTTGCAGTGTTTGTGGAGGAGGTCTGAAATGTGGGGATGTTGAGTCCCCTTCCAGCAAATAGGGACAGCCTCTTTTGGGGGCCAGAAAGAGCACAAACTCAGGAGGATACAAATTGTAATGAATTATGTACCAGTTTCTAAGCCCTTAAAATTGAAGTTATTGCAAACATTTCTATAATTTATATCAATTTACAGTATGGTATTCTTTTCCTAAGTGGTTGCTTATCAATACAATTGCTATTTTTCACCTATGTACTTTCTCGTCCCTGGGAATCTTGAAGAATGAAGCATTATGTTTGGCAGATGAACAACTTCTGATGCACCCTTGTTTGGAGAGATGCTCCCTTGAAGAAATGATATCTGGCTCTAAAATCTCAGGTGGACAGGTAAGCCCTAGACGGTTAGAAGCCATGAGAATAACTTAAACCTGAACATGATGTTGCCTCTGAGTAAAAGGCTCCTGGGGGAGCATCGCAGCATGCTGAGCAGAGTGTTCCTGGTGAAAAAATCCCAGTTCCTTTCATATGGTGAAATCACAGAGAAAAACATTTTTACCATGTGTATATTTTTCATGTTTTGAAACACTGGATGCAAAGCCAAAATGCTACATCAAAGGGCTTTCAGTGTAGTTTTTTGCTAAAAACTAGTCCTTTGAAAACCTCTGCTTTTGCAGAATTATAAGGTCACAGCATTTTGATTTTCATTCTTGGTATCTTCCAAAGAACATCTTCACAGGCTGATTCAAACCTCAGCACCATGTTTAATTAGACAACTGAACCTCCCAGACAAATCTTGCTGGGATACTTGCTGCATGCAAAAATTCACTCTTGGTTGAACCTACCATCTGGATTCTACATGGTCACCTAATTCTGTCACTGAAGTGAAATCAGCTTCCTGGTATTTCTGATCATGAGCAAAACAGACAGATGATAGTAGAAGGTGTCACTTTGCTACCTTTGCTCCTGTGCTTTTAACATTCTTTTCATACATTTTAATTGAGCCAATTTGAGCTCCTGAAAGCATTCAATAGCTTGGGAGAACATCCAGTCTAGCAAGAAATTCATGCGAACAAATAACAAATCATTCTGAATGATTAACGTGTGTCATTATCATCATTAAATACATTGAGTCCAGAACTAGGAAAACATCATGAGCGTGTGTGGGCAAGATATACATGTATATATTAATTTTTACCTCGGTCTTTTCTCAAAAGTGAATAAAAAGGAGGTTTATCAGATTATCTTTAAAGGGACTATTGAACATCAGCTAAATAAATCCTAATATTTAAAGACACAGATTACAATAATTTCAGAAATGTTGGAATTACAGACCTAATGGGAAATCTTGTAATGTGGCTTAATTGACACGTCGTGTTCTGTTAGCCTGACTCCAGCTGACAGCCAGATTCAGAAACATAACAGAAAGCAAGTGACATTTCTATAAGAACAGATTAGCCCGAAATAGCTGCTTGTCCTCTCATCCTTAAAGACTGTTGACCACCCACCCTCATTAAATGTTAGTGTGCTTATGCCTGGTCCTGGGAAACCTCTCCCTGGGCTCTGAGCCAACAGGCGAGGTCTCCAGTCTTCTCTGGCAGGGGAGCTCAAGGGGGATGAAAGGCATGCCATCTTACTCCTCTGGTGGTTGCTAAAGTCAATTTCATGGGACGTTTACCCAGGAAAATAATACTATTCCTTTCATGCTGTCCTCTGGAATAGAATGCTGTTTGAGGAGAACACCAAGGCAGTCCTGAGTCTCAGGGCCTTAGCGTCATCCTGGGAAGAAGTTAATTCAGAATCCCAAGGCCACATTGGCTTGGTCCTGCCTCCAAGATACCATTTGGAAAAGAGACCGCAGCACCCAAGACCCAGAAATGTGTTATGGTGGGTCACTTGAGAAGGTTTGCTCCAGTGGCCACCGCATTCACAACTCCAAGTGCTCTGCTAAATCCTCCAGCTCAAAGTGCCACAAAGACACACTCCCTTCACAGTTCCACTGTCACTAAGAAGTACCCTGCTCTCTCGTGCCCCATACAGCCAGGAAAGCTAAACGCCACAGCCATGATGGACCGCAGGCACTGAGGGCCTGCCCCTTGCCAGGGCTTTGCTATGAGTGGTCACAGCTGACTGTGTCTCAGCCTCACACGGGCCCCTCAGTCCTTTACCATCTCCCTTTCTCAGTTGGGGAAACTAAGGCCTCCAGTCAGTCACAGAATAAGTCTGCCAGGCTCACACTGCTCATGAGAGGTAGAGCTCAGCTGTGAATGTGAGAGCTGGAACTCAAGTCCCCCACTCATGGCCAGACAGTGCCGTCAGAGAGCATCCCACAAACTCATCAGGGAGCCAAAAGTTCTTGGGCTGGGAACCTGCCTGAGGCAGACAGGTTAACACTAATGTGGGAACCCTTGAGCTTCCCAGGGTCATCTTTGCAGCAGGAGTCCAGTTTTGGCAGAAAGGGGCTGCCCTTGCAGATCTTATGTAGAGGCTGCAGGGGAGCAGGAGCAGGCTGGAAGGGGAGTGTCCAACCCAAGGACACACCCAAGGGCAAGGTTCCAGACAGAGGTCGGGCACCTCATCCCGGCCCATCTCGGATTGGGGAATGCTCTTGAGGTCTTTGGACAGCCATGGGTTGTCTATTAGGAATTATTCTCCACTGGTGATTCATGCTGATAAAATCTCCATCTCCTGCAGTCTCATTAAAGCAAGCACACACTCAGAGAAGTGTGTTTCTGGTGGCCCATGAGTTTCCCAGGTAAAATACAGGGCTCCATAACTCCCAGATGGAGAGCAGCTGGTTATCTTTGCCCAGGAGATCTCCAACACAGGCCGGGGTCGCGGCCCATTCCACCCGACCTTGTCAAGTCCTCCCTTCTGTCCATGCTTGGAATCCAGTGCCTCAGGCAGAGTGGGGCCACCTGAGAGGGCTACTCGTGCTGGATGAACACTGTGTGTGTCTAAGTCTGTTTACAGGGTCTCCCCAGCCATAGCCCTTGGAGAAGCTTCCCTGTCCTCCGCAGGGCCTGGATGTCACTGCCTCCCTGTTGAGATTGTCTAGTGAGTCCCACAGTATTTGCTTCTCTTCCTGCAGCACTCCTGACCCAGTGCACTGTGGCCTGAAAATGCTCCCTTCTGACTCTTGGAGGCTGGGCTCAGTGTCCCTCTGTCCCCAAACCTTCACACAGGGCTCAATGTGTAGTTGGCACTCAAAAACCACATGTTCAATTGAGGAACAAAGTAGGTAAGTTAAACAAACAAACAAACAAGAAAAACGTATATGGAAATATGTGTATCAGAACTAAATCAGAGAACTTGAAAGTTTTAAAAAGATGTTCAGATAAACTTGGCATGACTTCTCTGGGTTATGTAAGCTTCTGCTTTGAATCTGTCTTACAGCAAGGAAGATGCATGAAAATAGAAGATATCTATGTAACGTTCAAAAACCGCAACATGCCATTTGCCTACGGCGACTTATGGAAACGTTTACAAAAACATTTTGATGGGAATGCGTACACTGAGTATGCCAGTCATAAAGGTGCTTTTCTTTTTATTTAATTTTATGTTCTGTTATGTTCTTAATCATGAGGCTAGATTGCCAATGTTTGTTTCCTTAGCTTCAAATCAGAATTTATAATATCCTGGATGATATATAATTGTACTGTTCATCCTAGCTTTGTTTTATGTTTAACTCAATCACTTTCAAAATAAAGAACTGAATAAATATATCTCTTCTCATTAAATTAAGTTTTAGTCACAGACCATTGTGGAAAATACTAAAATCTGAATAAAATCAAACACACCACAAAAAAGAGGGACATAGAACAATAAGCAATAAAAGGAACATATTTCATTTTTAATGACATAACATTTTAAGCAAAGCAGCTTGTGCCTGCAAGCGAGCTGGAGGAGCAGAGACAGGGGCAGGTCTCCCCACCGTAGCGGGGAGGGCACCCCTCCTTCCCACCCGGCCTCAGGCAGCTCAGCCGCCCTGCATGTAGTCAATCTTGGTGCAGTGGGAGACCTGACAGGGGCCTGAGGCCGGGTGGCCTCCCAAACCTGGATAGGAGAAGGGAGAGGCCACCTTAGGGGTACCCCTCTGCAGCTTCACCCCCAAAACTTGTCCATAAAAGGAGCCTGCAGTGCAGGCAGCCACCAGAAGGTGTCACTGCGGCTCTTGCGCTGAGCCTGCGTTCGCCCCGCCGGGTCCTCCCCAGGGAAAGCCTAGATCCTCTTACCAGGACCCCCGGGAGAAGCGCCCTCTGCACTGCCGGGGCCCACTGAGCGGGCATTGCACGGAGCTTCAGGGTGCTCAAACCAACAAGCTCCCAGAGCACACAGCAACCAGGCCCTCCTACGTAGGGAGAAAGGCAGAAAAACAAAAAGCCCTTGCTTTTCGGGGGCACACCACTTAGCCCATAGAAAGAGCTTGATCTGTGTGTTTGAATATGGAACGCATCATTTCTTATGCAGTACTTTCTCTGGGCGTTCCTTAAATGTTTGACCTTTCTCTCATTTATCACATATCATGTGCTCCTACACAGCATTCCTTTTTGGATCTCGGTGGAACCCGGCAGGAAGGACGGAATAAGGGGCTTCCATCAGACCTGCTAGGTGAGGGCAGAGCCTTCTCCTACGTTGGCAAGCAGTGTGTCACCCCTAATCTCACCCTCATGACTTACTGACCATGCCACCAGCCCTTCTCTCTGCACTTCCCTCCCCGTCTTGACTCAGCAGCATTTGCATAGGAATAACGTTTCTTAGAGTTGGGAAGGAGAGACCTTCTGACAGAGAAGCCCCCAGAGCAGATTTGCCAAAGGATTTAAAATGAATCCATAATATTCATCCATAATTATCCTTAAATCTTGGGTGCTGAAGGACAAAGCTTCGTGTATGAAATAGCATTTTCACTCGTAAGAGCAACAAACTATGGTTATTTTCAGACTGGGGTGTTTGGTAGCCATTTTCTTGAAAATGAATGGAGTCTGTCACTTCTAAGAAAACAACTGGCAGTATTTGTTGCCAATACTAAAAGTCGAGATTTCCAGTGGAAATTGGAATTTTGGAAAGCTCGTATCCACCTTCATGAGTCTGGTAGCTTCTCAATATTTAAATACTTTTCTAACACAATTGGTTGGGAGACTAATAAATGTGGTTTTTGTAATATCGTGTCAACATTTGGATGATCAGCATAACTCTGTGAACCAATATTTTCCAATGCCTGAAGTTACAAATTCATGCATGGGTAAAAGGTACATTTAAAGTACAAGATAAACCAATGTTTGGGAAGGTAACAAGATATGAATAGTATAGAGTTTCAGGTTCCACATTAGAATTAAACTCCAAGAAACTGCTAGTTGTTGAGTTTGATGTGATGTCAAGGAAGAGTATGCATCATTATCTGAAAAGTCTAATAAAATCACCATCCATTTTCATATCCAGCTCAGGGTAAATTTCCTTCACAGAAATTACATGTTGCAACAGATTGAATGCGGAAGCAGATATGAAAATCATCTGTCTTTTATTGAGCCAGACATTAAAGATATTTGCAAAAATGTAAAACAATGTCACTGTCCTTACTAAATTTTCTTTTTGGGTGGTATAATAGAGTTATTTTTTTAGAAATGTGTCACTTATGTAGGCTTTTTATTATATTTAGATTAATCAATAATACATATTTTTGAATGTCTAAGTTGAAATTTTTAATATAGTGAATAATGATAGAGATAATCCACATAAATAAAAGTTTTGGGTGGTGTTCCAATAATGTTTAAGAGCCTTGTGTAGGACTGAGAGCATTTCTGCAGTATTTGTGTGTCCACAGACCAGTAGCTTTACATCTTATACTACGTCAATTTACCCACTTGAATTTCATGGCTGCTAATGTAGATTCTATTGAGACTCAGTGGATCTTAAGAAATTCAGTTACTCACTAGGAATGGTTCCACTGGCAGAACAGGGAGGAAGTGCAAGAAGGGCTAGTCTCTTCTCAGTGTTGGGGAAGACAGAGCGACAGGATGGGTGTTAAAACACAATGAGAGGCGCCGTGATCACAAGGGTAATTTTTATATTGGAGTGCAGCCCAATGCAGTCCCCTTTTAGAAGTCTAAAAAACTGGGTCTAATTAAACTTCCTACTGTTGGTGATCATTTATTTTTATGACATTCTATTATGAAAATTCCAAATATACAAAAAAGGTTGAAAGGATTTTATAATGAACACTCATTATAGAATGAACATCACCTAGAATTAACGTGGTGAAATATTTACTTCATTGCTTACCTGCAGACATTAAATAAACCTATAGGGTTATGTGACTCTTGCTGTGGTCTAATTGCATGCATCACTCAACCCTGTATCAAGAAACCCCTTCCATCTCAATGAAATGCAAATCCTAAGCATCATGTTCAAAGTGGGCAGCCTACTGTTTTTGTGTGGGTACACCAGGATTTATTTAACCCATTTCTGACTGTTGACTGTTTGGGTTGGTTAAACTCTTTACTAATTTGATAAACATTGAGGAGCACCTGTTTTTCCTTAACAATGATCCTTTATTTTCCTTCTTAGACTTATAGGATTAAATCTAAGAAGCAGAATTCTCTAGAGTTTCTCTTGTGTATAGTGGCAAGTTCCATCAACAGCTTTTCCTTTGCAGACTGAGCCTATATGTAGATGTTGGGGAAAAGATGGAGATTAGTCTGAAGAGAAGAGCCGAGGGACCATGTTAGCTCCTTTCTGATATCCTGCCATATAGTACATTCTCAAAAAATAGCTGCCAAAGGAATGAATAACGAATGTTGAGGCCCAGCGGGAGATGTAGGCTTATCCCTGGAATCACTGATTCAAAGAATGAGAATCACAGAGTTGTGAGAGGTCAACTTTGGTTACACATGAAGACCTCTCTCCCCACCCCCTACCCTTCCCTCATATCTTTGTTTTTTCTTCCAGGTGGCACTGTTTTTTGAAATTATCATGGAAATCAAAGGTGAAGTGTAATTTGTTATAGGACTATAAAATTAATTATGATGAATACACTTTCTGAATCACTGATACTCTTTTTTAAAATAGCAGCTTTATTGAGCTGTAATTCACATACTATAAAGGTCGCCCTTTAAAAGTAGACAATTTGGTGGGTTTCAGTAACAATCTAATTCCAGACCTTTTCCATCACTCCAAAAAACAACCCTATCTGTGCCTTTTAGGTATCATTCCCCATTCCCCAATCCCAACCCCCGGCATTCACTAATATACTTTTTTTCTCTATGAATTTGTCTATTCTAGGTATTTCATATAAGTGGAATCATACTGTCCTTTAGTGTCTGGTTTTTTCACTTTGCATGGTTTCCAAGTTTATCTATGTTGTAGCATCTGTTTGAATTTCCTTCCATTTTAAGGCTGAAGAATATTCATTGTATGTCCAGACCACATTCTATTTACCCATTCATTAGCGATAGACATCTGGGTTTCCCCCCACTTTTTGTATATTATGAATAATGCTGCTATGCACATTCATGTACAAGTTTTTGTGTAAATACATGTTTTCATGTTTTCCCTGCTATATACTTAACATTTGAATTGCTAGGTTACATGGTAACTCTATGCTTTACTGTTTGAGGAACTGCCAAACTGTTTTCCGAAGTAGCAGAACCACCTGACATTTCCACCAGCAAAGTGCTTGCTCTCTATCATCACCAACACTTGTTGTTATGGTATCTTTTGTGTTATAGCCATCCTAGTGGGTGGGAAGTGGCATCTCATGTGGGTTTGATTTTACATTTCCCTCATGACCTATGGTGCTGGGCATTTTTGCTTGTGCTGATTGGTCATTTGTATAACTTCTTTGGAGAAATGTCTATTCAAACCCTTTGCCCATTTTTAATTACCTTATGTTTGTTTTTATTGTTGAGTTGCACACTCACATGCTTTAATTCTCCCTCTTTCCATGGTCTGTTCATTTACAGGAAACAGATCCATTTGAGGTTACAGACTAAAGATCACTAAGCAGCTCTCATCTGGTGGTACATATTGAGACATGAACAGTCTAAGAGATAAGCAGGTGTGGCTCATCGGAAGGCAGCTGAGACAGGCCTTTAGCTGCCGGCAATGGCCAAACACCCTGGGTCTTCCTGGCACCACACAACTGAGTTTTGTTGCCCTCTCATAATTATTGGCAGAGCTCTCTCCTTCTCAATGATCCTCCGATTAGAACCAGAAAGCACATATCACACAGGTCCTGGGCATGAACAGAGAATGGCCTGACATCAAATGTTCATTTAGGAATCTTTAAAAAATCACCTAGACTTTGTACTGAGCATGTGGTGCTGAATGTAGCAGCTGCAGCCACTGAACTTTGGGAGCTTTTGTCTAGTTAATGAGACTCTTCCATAAGATTGTGATAGACATTGAGCTTGTGGGAATTGAATCATACTTTAAATGCATGTGAGATATCCACTCACATAACAGAACCTTACAGTAAACCTGCTTGTTGAGTTCCTACAGTAGTCTCTCTGGTTGTGGCATACTGCTACTGCAACCCATAAAAATCAGAAAATGCATCAGCATTTCTTAAATCTCCTCCTGGTGCTTCTCAGTGCAGCTAAGTGCTCCTGCCCTTCCTCAGGCCCCTGGTGAATGCTCAGCTTTCAAGCCCTGCATCCACACACAGGCAGTGCCACCCACACGGGGACTTGGACTGTTAAGATTGGGGACGGGTGGTGCCCTTGCAGTTCCATAGCCATGTAGGCATGGGTCAAGTCATATTCCATTAAGCATAGTCAGAATGTTGGCGAAGGATTTGCTTTTGTTGATTAGAAATGATTCAGGGTGTGGCAAGCCCTGCACTCCACTGAATTCCATCCTGCTCTTCTGAGAAGGTGAGAAGGAGGTACGCAGGGGCTTGCAGCATTCCCATGGTGATAATTGCACAAATGATAACTCACAAATGCTGTCAGTTTTCTATGTGTGAAGAGTAGCTCACCATGCTACCTGGGCTTGATAAACTTCATCCTTCTAGTATTACCATAATTTTTCAGGCTATGAGACGAAGGCTTAGAGGGTAAATTCCCCAAAGGCATCCAGCTTCTTAGTCGGTACAGGCCTGGATCTGAGCCAAAGTGATGACTGTGCAATCAGCCAGCTACCTCATCAAGCCCTTCCTCCCTCCCTTCTTTCTTCCCTCCTGAGCCCTTACAGAGCCAGGCATTGCCCCAGGGGCTGGAGGTGCAGGAGAGAGCAAAGAAAACTCCTTGTCCTTATGGTGCCCCATGGGGTGGGAGAGGCAATGAACACAGAAACTAGACCATGCACAGCATCTCAGAGAAAATGGAGTCCAGGGCTGAGGAGCGGGTACTAGTTTACACAAAGAATCTGGGAAGACTTCTTGGATATGGTTACTTTGAAGCCAAGATCTGGAGAATGATTGAAAACTACGCACATACTGGCTGGGCACCACGGCTCACCCCT
Organism: Homo sapiens; assembly: GCF_000001405.40. NCBI lineage: Eukaryota > Metazoa > Chordata > Mammalia > Primates > Hominidae > Homo > Homo sapiens. The sequence goes on along the minus strand of NC_000015.10, from coordinate 27,353,718 downwards.
GTAATCCCAGCACTTTGAGAGGTGAGGTGGGTGGATCACTTAAGGTCAGGAGTTCGAGACCAGCCTGGCCAACACGGCAAAACCCTATCTCTAATAAAAATATGAAAATTAGCCAGATGTGGTGGTGCACACCTGTAGTCTCAGCTACTCGGGAGGCTGAGGTAGGAGAATTGCTTGAACCCCGGAGGCAGGGGTTGCAGTGAGCTGAGATCGTGCCATTGCACTCCAGCCTGGGCAACAGAGCGAAACTCCATCTCAAAAATAAATAAATAAATAAATAAATAAATAAATAGAAAGAAAGAAAACTATGCACACATCTATGGGAAGAGGATTTCACCGGTGTAAGAGAAGAGCTGCTGCAGGGTCCTGAGGCAGGCATGCCCAGCAAGTGTAGGACACACATGCGCCCTGTGGCTGAGCCTATGCAGGAGCAAGCAGAGTGGCTAGGCAGGTACTGGGAAGCCTTGGGGCCATGGTTAGGACTGGCCTTTTGTTCCCAGTGAGATGGAGATTGGTTACAGGAACACAGCTGACCAGTGTGTCTACTCTGATGAGAACAGTGTGTAGGTGCCCAGGTAGGGGCAAGAGGGAACTGCCAGGGTCCCTACAAAGACAGTGAGGGAGGGAAGGAAAAACATCAAGGACAATTCTCAGGTCTGCAAAGGAGGAGTTTTTGTGTAATAAAAAGGGAAAAGAACATGAAGGAACACAGAAGTCGGGAGGTTTGTAGACGTCACACTTCAAATACCTAACACCCAACCATCAAACGATCCACTCGCTTTCAATGGCTCATTGTCAGCAATCGTGATGATAAGATAATGCAGATGCAATGACTTACCAAGTGAGCATGTGCTGGAGTCTTATTTTACGCCCCCCATAGTCCTATGAGTTAGGTGTTGCTATACCTGGGCCCCATATTGCACCCTCCACCTTGCGCTATATCACCCCATGCATCTGCGTGAAACGTGGCATATGGGGAAGACACTGAGCTCCTTTCTCAAGCACAATCCTAGGGACCAATAACCAAGACCGATATCACCCAACGGTTTGGTATGTGGCTGCTGCCTTGGCAGGGGGCTTCCTTGGCCTGCCTCCCCGGGGCAGTGTGGGGTGGTGTGAGCGCCTGTCCCACAGGTCGGACAGAAATAGCACCTGAACAGCAGGCGGCACAGTTCCTCATCCAGACACACTGCCGGCCCCTGTGTTCTCATTCCTAGGATCCAATTCTCGAATCTTTTTCGTACTAATTAGAAGACTATCAATCTGCTTGGCTCACCCTGGATTTACATCTTGTGGGATTTCCTGGGTTATTTTTCTAAGCTTCAGCTAACGGAATAAGAGAAATTGGCAGAGATCCCACCCCATCACCCCTTGAAGTGTGCGGGGGATAATCGTGCTCTCCCTGGGTCCTCTTCCTCTCACTATGGGTCTGGATTTACGCTGTGAACAGTGAGCGCGAGACGGAGATTAGCTGAACGGTCTGGCAGAATCCCTACACTGCCACGCAGTCTTAAAAGGATCCAAGATACACACAAACACACACACCATACACAAACACACACACCATACACAAACACACAATACACACATCATACATACACACACACCATACATACACACATCATACACACACATGCACCATACACACACACACGATACACACATACCATACACACACACACTATACACGCATACACCATAAACCCACACATCATATATACACACACACACCATACACACACATTATACAGACATACACCATACACACACGATAAACACACACCATACACACACAAACACACACACACTATACATACATACACCATACACACACATCATACATACGCACACACCATACACAAACACACCATACAAACACACACACTATACACACATACACCATAAACACACACATCATATATACAGACACCATACACACAAACACACACTATACAAACACCATAAACACACTCATACATACACACATATATATACACACACACACAAATACCCCATACACACACACAGACCATACACACAAACACACACAAATACCCCATACACACACACAGACCATACACACAAACACATACCATACACACACATACCATACACACACAAACGCCATACACACACACCATACACACATACACCATACACACACAAACACCATACACACACCAACACACACACAAACACACCATACACACATACCAACACACACACACCATACACACACCATACAAACATACACACACAAACACACACACCATATACACACACACCATACACACATACACACACACAAACACTATACACACATATACCATACACACACACCATACACACACAAAGGCACTCACACATACACACATATACCATACACACACACACCATACACATACACCATACACACAAACACACCATACACACAACATATACACACAAACACACACACCATACACACAAACACCATACACACAAACACACACACCATACACGCACAAACACCATACACACAAACATACCATACATACACACAAATACACCATACGCACATGCACCATACACACACACCATACTCAAACACACGCACCATACACACACACCATACACACACACCATACACACACTATACACACACATACCATACACACACACACACCATATGCACATACACCATACACACAAACACATCATACACACCATACACACAAGTAAATGCATTCACACACCATACACACACAAACACACACCATATGCACACACAGCATACACACACGATACACACACACAAACACACATGATACACACACACAAACACACACGACACACACACACCATTCACAAGGACAAATACATGGCTGCCTGGCTTGATAAAGGGCTGTGGAGACCCTTTGTCAGCCCAGGCCACAAAGCCTGTCTGTCCTCACCTCAGCACTCGCCCCAGGCCAGTGCCAGGTGTCTGCCAGGTCTGGGGCTGTCTTCCTCCCCCATGGCTCTGGGGACTTCCTCACCAGGCTCTCTCCCTCTCCTGGGCCCATCATGCACCGTCCATCCTCCAGCGCTGGCCCTGGTGGTGTTGATGCGCTGGACTCCCTCCAGACTCCCTCCAGACTCCCTGGACGTAGAGAGGAGGGGGTTTCCACACACATCTGGTCATCTGTGGGTAACTGCTCTCCCACGCCTTCGCCATCTGTCCTACCTGCAACTGCACTGCGAACTCCCTGAGGACAGAAGGCTTCTGCTTATACTGAATGTGTCCATTTTTATTTACTGATATCCATTTGAAAAAACAAAGAAACAATTGGAAAATATCGAGTTGATTTTGAACTTTTAATTCAATGGTTCCTCCCAGTGTTGAGTAGTGAGAACACGCGATGAGAAGTCAGAAAATGTGATTTCCCAATTCACAGCAACCACCAGCCAGCTCTGTGGGCCCCATGGAGGCAAATGCAACCTCTCTGAGCCTTCATTTCCCCACGAATGGAAGCGAGTCTCCGAGGAGGTGATCTGTAAGACACCATCAAGCTTGAAACTTTTAAACGTCAGCGATATGCATGAAGAGACAATCTGAAGGCCAAGATGGTGGCTGGGAAAGTGAGCAGGGAAGAAAAACGTGATAAGAGTGACAATTTATCTAAATTAGAGATTTTGTGTGTATAAAGGGGAAAACTGCAACCCTAACCTGGTAATCTTTTGGCTACTATTTAAGTAGCCAGAAGTGAGTACCGATGGGAAAGTTAGGTTTTTTTTTGTTATTGTCACTGAAGAAAAAAAAAAGACCTTAGGGCAGTAAAGGATGCAGTCAGGTATGACAAAAAGATAAACATGGTTCTGCAACTTTATAGAGAGCCAGAAAGGACATGTCCCGGGGAGAGAGAATCCAGTGCAACTGCTTTCCCAGAGTCTAGGTTTCTCTAAATTCACAGGCTCTATGAAGCCTCTCAGTTCTCCTCTGTAATTATTTGATAAACTGTGCCTGTGCAAAACTTTCCACAAGGCTGTGGAAGCAGACAGGATTCTGTTATCCTAACTAAACAACAGAGAGATGCCCTTAGGAGGTTTGCAAGGAGAAGGAGACAGAGCAGATGCTTGGCGAGCATGTTCTCTTGCTGGAAGATTCAAAGACAGGGTCGACCCCAGCAGCTTCTGCAGTGTCCCATTGAGAGTGGAAGCCAAGGACACCAACCTTTGTGACTTTTGTGGTTTTCTGTATTTGAGTTAAATAAATTCCCTCTAGATTTTAACCCTAGTCTAGAAGAGTGTCTCTTCGAAGAAATGGCATAATCCCAACCCAGAGGCAATGGTTAAGGCAGACATCACTTCCCCTTGTTCTCTGGCTACTGGGAAATTCAAGCTTCATTTTACGTTCAGGCCCAACTAAGTATAACAAGCCAGAAGCCTGGAATATTTTATGTGTTCTTCTTTACAAGCCCCTATTTCATTTTTTAATTCAATTATATATAATTTATACATACCGTATATATAGTATTTATAAAATGTGTATGTAAAAAAGATATATATATATGTATAAATTTGGTCATTAGCAACTTATTTTATCATTATCCAATCATATGAACATCAAATACTGAAGTCATTTTAACTCCTTCCTCTTTCTTATTTCCTATTCTGTGGCTCACAATTCCTTGTCAATTCCTGCCCATGCTCCCCTCCCACTGCCATTAATAACAACCATCTGACACCAACTGTCTAACTGGTCTATCTGGCTCTATACTGTCCCTCTCCAGTTCTTCCTGTGTCCCACTACACGCTGATTTTTCTCAAACATATATGTGATCCCATCACTTCTTAATTCAAAAGCACCCCACATTTTGCCTTCCCTCTATTTTCCACTGCATACTGCTTAGGAGTTCCTGGGCAGTTCTATCATTTTCTTGCCTCCAAAAACCCCTGCCACTATTCTTGTGTGTCCAATCCTGACTTTAATAACTTAAAATGTCAACTCTTCTCTGATTTCCCATGATAGGAGTAATACCTCCCATCTGAAATGTTAGAGGAAATTTTATTTCCCTTGTCATGGCTTGCATTATTATGTATTAGTATTAGTAGATTATCTGCACTTAATCATTGGAAAGAGGCAAAGTACAGTGGTTAAAAGAATGAGGTCTGGAGCTTGTTTTAGAACCTTGACTACACCCTATGACTCACATAACCTTGAACAAGTTACTTATGTACCCTGAACCTCAGTATCCCTATCTGAAAAAATGAAGAGAATCATAATCCTATCACAGTGGGTTGTTTTAAAGGCTAAATTAGTTCATCAATACACGAATATAGCACTTAAAACTGTCTCAGACTAGTAAGTGCTCAATAAATGCTAGATACTGTTCTTAACTCTTGGTTAGGTACATGACTCTCTTGACCCCGTTTGGTCCTTGAAGACAAAGACCAAGCAGCTTGGTTCCTTCATTGCACCAGCATGAGATTCTTACTGCTTCCAATAATGAGTAGTGTATATGACACCAATTTCAGTCAGCAATCTTTGGTTTCAAGTTTTAATGACACCTGCCTTTGAAAATCTCCAACTCTTTATTTATTTGAGATGGAGTCTCGCTCTGTCACCCAGGCTGGAGTGCAATGGCATGATCTCGGCTCACTGTGACCTCCGCCTCCAGAAATCCCCAGCTCTTAAACATTAACTGTGACTGAAGTGGCATATGCAAGGACTTATGGTATCAAATCTAATATGAAAAAAAGCTTGAAGGTTGTCACACTCATCCTTACAATGAGAAAAAGCTGCACTAAATGAAAATCAATGACTTTTCTTGAACCCATCAGACAACTGCAACCACAGGGAAACCCCCCCTGAAATCTGCAGAGGCAGGTTAATAGAGAGTCACAGCAGGTATCTGTTTACCTGGAGCAGAAGCTGCAGGAGTCATAAGCTGGTAGGAACACTGAAATAATCATTCTGATGAATAGTGGAGGCTGAGTGTGAAGGGGCATGAGACTGAGAAACTTCTGGGGGACAACCACCTCAAGGGGTCCCCCAACACTTTCCTGAGCTTTTCCTCCAGGAATCCTATAAGGTTCTCAAAGTGAAAATGCAAGAAAGATCCCATATTTTCTCTGGCAGGGCTATCTCAGAATTAATCATTGTGAAATACACCAGAGCATTTGCCATAAAAGTGACCTACTCTAGCAGAGAAAGATCTTACCAGAGCCTTATCCCTCCCAGTCAAACTTCCTCTAGCCCTCCTGTTCCACTTAAGGGAGTGGGCATAGTAAGCAGGGATTAGGGCTTCTAGGAAATAGACTGGGGGGCACTGTAGCTGGGAAAGGGAAAAGGAGTAAGGGAGGAAAACCTATGCCACTGAAGAAACTTCTGAAGGCCACAGCCCAGGAAAACAGCTCCACTTAAAGATCAGAGTGCAAATGTAAGATTACAGAACAAACCTCCGTTGGCTCCACCCTAAACCATCACAGCCACAGGGCTCCAGGATAGTAAAGGGGATTAATGCTGGAAGCACTGCAAGATGCAGACTCTATGTGAGGAGAAGTACCTAGGGAAGCCCAAAGTCGAAAGAAGAGAAAAACACAAGGATGCTAGAAAAATATTAAGCCTCTGGCACCCAAAGCTACAGTAGACATTAACCACAGCCCAATTCCTAGTCAGACCAACATGAATTCTCATCCTAATGGACTATTTACCTCACGGTGTGTCTAGCTTTAAAAAACTATAAGGCATGCCAGAAAGACAAAAAGAAACAAACAACAAACAAACAAAAATCAATGTAAAGAGACACAGCAATCATTAGAGCCACATTCCTATATGCCACAGTTGTTGGAATTATTAGACAACCAATTTAAAATTACTGTGATTAATATGTCAAGGGTTCTAATGGAAATAGTAAATAACATGCAAGAGCAGTTAGATAATGTAAACAGAGAGCTGGAAACAAGAAGAAGGAAATGATATAAATGAAAAACTCTGTAACGGAAATGATGAATGTCCTTGAGCAGGAGGGGTCATCAGTAGAATTGACACAGCCAAGGAAAGAACATTGAGCATAAAAATAGGTCAGTTAAACTTCTCAAACAAATAAGGAAAAAAAGCATCAAAAAAAGCAAGACTAGAACATTCATGAACCATGGGAGAATTACAAAAGGTGTAACGTACACATAATTGAAATAACAAAAGGAGGAGAAAAAAGCAGAAGAAATATTTGAAGTATAAAAATAATGGCCAAGAACCTTCCAAAATTAATGACAGACAAAAAAACTACAAAACAGGAAGCCCAGATAACACCATGATTAAAGTAAATAAAGAGATAAATGTAAAATGCAATTAAAAGATCACTTGGTCATACCATATTCACACTGCAGGAAGCCAAAACAGTCAATTTTGGAAAAAGCTGGGGAATGAAGGGTGTAAATTTTAACATTTGAGAAAGAAGAACAAGAATTCAAATGTACTTCTCTTCAGAAACTATGCAAGAAGAGTGAGTGAAATATTTAAAATGTTGAAAGAAAGAAAAAGCTCCAGACTAGAATTCAATATCCAGATAAATTATCCCTCAAAAGAGAAATATAGAATTTCTTTTTCCTTCTTTCTTTTCTTTCTTTCTTTCTCTTTCTTTCCTTTCTCTTTCTTTCCTTTCTTTCTTTCTCTCTCTTCTTTCTCTCTCTTTTTTNNTTTTNGAGAGGGAGTCTCACTCTGTCACCTAGGCTGAAGTGCAGCAGTGCAATCTTGGCTCACTGAAACCTCCACCTCCTGGGTTCCAAGTGATTCTTGTGCCTCAGCCTCCTGGGTAGCTGGGACTACTGAGTGTGCCACCATGCCCTGCTAATTTTTGTATTTTTAGTAGAGATGGGGTTTCACCACATTGGCCAGGCTGGTCTTGAACTCCTGACCTCAGGGGATCCCCCTGCCTCGGCCTCCCAAAGTGCTGGGATTACAGGTGTGAGCCACAGTGCTCAGCCAAAAGTTTCTCATACAAACAAAAACTAAGGGAATTTGTCAAGAGCAGACCTACCCTGCAAGAAATGTTAAAAGAATTTAATCATGCAGAAGAAAAGTGGCGTGCCAGAAACTTAGATCTATATAAAAAAGAAAGGAGTACTAGAGAAAGTATAAAGGAAACAAAATGTATTTCTTCTTTTTCTTCATTTTTATAAAGGATAACTTTGTAAAGTAATAATTATAACAGTGTGATTATAACACATGGATAAGTAAAATAAAGGGCAGCAATGTTGCAGGATACAGGATAAAATAATTAGGAATTCTCTATCCAGGTTTCTGTACTACATAAGAAGCAGTATCATATTATTTGCAAGAAGCCTTTGCTTTGTTAAAAATGTAAAATGTGAACTTTAAAGCAACTACTAATATTTTTATAAGAAGTACAACTGATGTGCAAAGAGAGAAGTTGAAATGGAATCACATAAAATGCTCAATTAAACCAGAAAAGGTTAAAAAATGGAGAGGAAAACAAAGAACAAATGCAAGCAACAGAAAACATGGTAGATATTAATCCAGCTATATTCATAATCACTTTAAGTGTAAATGCTCTAAATATGTCAAATAAAAGACAGAGATTGTCACAGTAGATTAAAATCTTAAAAAGCCCCAACTCTATGTTGTCTAAAGAAACTCATTTTAAACATAAAGACTCAGGCAGGTTAAAATGAAAGGGATAGAGAAATATATACAATGCTAACACTAATCAAAAGTAAGTTAGAAAGCTATATTAATTTCAGACGAAGTGGACATCAGAACAAGGAGGTTTGTCAAGAATAGATAGTGGCCTTACACAATAATAGATGTGTTAATTCTCCAAGAAGACAAAATAATCCTCATCGTGCATGTACCTAACAAAAGAACATTAAAAGACAAGAGGTAAAACTGGAAGAATTGAAAGAGAAATATATATATATATCCACTGTTATACTTAGAGACTTAAACACCCCTCCGAGTAAATACAAAAATTTACTCAGCTACCAAATGGCAGAGACAAGACTAAAATTTAAATTAAAAAAATGGTTTATCAATTGGTAATTTCCCAATTAGTTAATCAACCTACAATCAAAGAGAAGTATACTAATTTGTGGCTTGGTATGCTTGATGTTGGTATGCAAATTTCTTAATTTTTCTAGAATTTGATACAATGATCAAAATAACTTTATTATAAAAATTACATATCCTTACAAAGGTTCTCAGTATTTAATTTAGCTAAATAGAGAGAACATTTCAGATACTGATTTCCATACAATATTAACTTTTCACTGCAACGAGACTTTAGTGAAACTTCTTTAGAAAGACAAGTCAACAGAATGAGCTTGCCTGCACACTAAATAACCAAAAAATATTTATATTGACCTTTACAACCTGCATCATGTCTACAGAGACAAAAATAAAAACAGGTCACCACCTCACAGTGCTAAGGTATTAAGATGATCAAGGAAATCCTTCCTTTAAACCAGGCCTGGGCCTTGGCCCCAGTGTCTCTGATACCCCATATATGCTAGTACAAGAAAGAGTGTGGGGTCAGAATAAGCCTAACTAGGGAGAAAATTCATGCTGCTCCTCACTCCCCAGACCCCTCAGAACAGATCACATTATTCATAAGATGAGGACTGAGATGCTACCCTCGCTGGTTTCTCTGGAAGTACAGCCTTCCACATGAGCTGAATGTCCTCCTTTTTATGCAAGCATCATCCTCAAAGCCATAGTCTCTGCCTTGCTGGCATGGCTGCAACACAAGGGGTGAAAATGCATAAACTTTTCTGATTTTTTCCAGATCCTGGTCATCCAAAAAAAGGAAAGGTGCCTAGAAGTATAGAAGGCAGTCCATCTGGCACATTTAAACATTACCCAAGTCCTCTGTTCTTGCTCCCATAAAAAATAATAATTGGATTGTTTGGCTGTATTCCCAGATAATCACAATCAGTCTAGAATGTGCCTCAACTATGCCTTTTTTAAATTTTGTTTCCTTTTCTTTGAGACACGGCTTTAGAATTTGTTGACGTACCGTGTTCTGAATAGGTAACAGCACATGTCCTCATTAATGAGCTAACCACCCACTTAGTTAAATTGCATTTCCCAAAATGAAGCATTACATGAGTTGCATCATCTTAAGCTATTAACGCAAATGATTTAGCTTAGACAGCCACCTACACATATAAATACCTATTAAGCACCTACTGTGATCGAAGCATTCAGTAGCCCACAGGAGACATGCTCCCTAACCTCCAAAATCAACAAGGCCAAACTTTTTTGAAAATATTGATTGGGTGCATGGAAATAGCAACTTATAACCAAAATACATTGACAGACTTTCTTCCTAATTACAGTAAGGCTGCAGCAGTCCAGCAGGGGAAACTATTTCACTTCCAGATTTCTCATTTCTATCATTTCATGCTGTTAAATCGGCAACAAAGCACAGGTCTGTTTGAGACACACCTGGCTCATGACTGAGGCACTGCAGGGCCAGCCACAGGGACTTCTGCACGCCAAGACAGTCTCGCCCTGCTAGAGCTGCCACGTGGGGGAGGTGCTGGCTCCCAGTCCCCCTTCCTCCCTCCCCTTCGTGTTTCCAACTGTGAATGGTCAGATGAGCCCGAGGCACTGCACAGTACCATCCATGAGCCACCGCGAAGGGCAGGGGAGCTTAAAGGAGAAAAATGTCAAGTTTTAGAGTAGACAGGTAGGGTCTTGGAGATAGTTTTGGTAGCAAGTCTGTTTTGAGAGGTAATTTACTGTATCTTGCTGTCACTTGCTGAGCGCATCCCCTTGGCACTGCCCAGGTGATCCTGGAACCAGCCCTGTACCTTGTGCTTTAAGCTCTGAGCAGAATGGGCAACAACGTGAAGCTTCTCAAGAGTCCAGACTAGGAGGCAGGAGCAGGTGAGGCGGGAGCAACGCTCTGCGTCCAGGAGCCCCTGGTCCAGGTAGAACGGAAGGAGTCAGGACCCAGGAGGCAGCCTCCCCGCCTTGGTTCACACTGTGGATCAAAGACAAAGCACAGGGGAAAGGAGCTCCAAGAAATCCTACTGCAATTAAATAAGCTGTTTTCGAATAACGTCCACAATACTCTGATGAAGAATGTTCCAGCTTCTCCCCTTGAAAGAGGCATCCTTCCCGTCCCTTGGGAATGCCCTGAGAATCTGCGAACCCTTGCATTTCCACGTTTCTTTTCTCTGGAAGGTCTGTGGGAATGGAAGCAGCAGCATTGTCCTGTCTGGCATGTGAGTCCATGTTTTTCACTCCTTTATTGAGAAGGCAGTGGCCAGAATATGAATGGAGATGATACAGAACGCTGTGGAGGGGTGATGTGCTAGCAGCAGCCAGAGACACAGGCTGGGGTAGTGGAGAGAACCCTGCACTTGGACAACAAGAGCTGAGTTCACATGGTTGCTCAACCACACACTAGCTGTGTGACCCTGCACCAGCATTTGAATTCTTTCCCTAAGACTCGGTTTTTGCATCTGTAAAAGGAAATTGGTAGGTGGGGACTGGGGTCAGAATGTGCTTCCCTGAAGATCAGCAGGAAACACATGCACAGAAGAGGGATCCTCACTGTTCTTTGGCCACTGCTTGGCGCTGGGCCTGTGTCAGGCCAGTGGGAAAGCAGGACATGGCCTTGGGACTGCGATGACGTGGCAGTGGCAGGACTCTGACATGCTCACACTGAGCTTCACTCGCTGGCATTTACTCCTCTTCCAAATTAATCACCCTGGGAGAATGGAACATTGTCTCTTAAAACTCAGAAAGCCAGGCAACATTCTCAGACATCTCTGACAGCTCTGCAACAGCAGTGACATTTTCCTAATAATTTCTCTGGCTCTAATATGGCTGCAGCCAACACAGTTGTCAGAGATAAACAGCACCACATATTTTTTAATCTTCATCCCAAGTGGCGAGCCAGGGCAGAGCATGCTGCAGCCGTGTACATCTCACACTCCATGGCCTGAGTGTCTTTTGGTTCTGACTGTCCTCCACCAATAACAACAATAATGGGGTAACAATAGCCGTGAGCCCCTTTCTGGCGCGTGATATATTGATCCCGAGAGCGCAGACTTGCTGGCCATTCTGCTCTGCTCAAAGCCTTGCCCCCTGCGTGATAGGGGCAGATGACCTCATCTCTTCGTGCTTGATGTTCCTCAGCTGGGAAGGGTGCTTAAAAAAACAGGGACTTCAAAGTCAAGGTAAGGATGAAACGGGATGATGGGCTGAATGTACCTACGGAAGTGTGCAGGCTCCATTTTCTAGCACGGAGCTTCCTGCAGGCCAGGCGCAGTCATCGGGCTGACCCAGGGCTTCCCTGACACTCAGCTTGGTTCAAGTTTGATTTTTAAAGTTTATAAAAGTTTTCTAAACTTTTTGAGTGAATACATGCATCATAAACTATAACAAAAACACACAAAGAAGCTAGCGGTTAGCTCTTTTACTCTCTACCCCCAATTAATGCTAATCTTAAAACTCTGACTAGGGCAAAAAAGAAAAAACATACTTAAAAAGGCAAATAATATTTCTATCACAAAAAAGTACCCTACCATTAAATGTCTTCTCCTACACCATCGCACTAGTAAAATTAATTCTGGAAAGCCACATATAAAAACAAAACAAAACAAAAATCTGGAACTAGATAATAAATACTCGGAAGAGTTGCTGACCTGGCTAACTCTTCAGTAGTTTGAAGAAGCTTTCAGGCCTCTGAAGTCTGTTTATTTCTCAGCACAGTGTTCCAGCCATCTTGCCCTTCTTTCCCTCCAAAACACACCCCAAAACAAAAGCATGCATCATTGAATCTCTGTTCTTAAAAAACAGCTTTCAAAAAGCAAATGCTGCACAAAAGTACATAACAGAACCATGAAAGATGTAGCATAGGACTTTTTTCTTCTTAGCAAAGTCGTCCTTGCTTTACATGGTTTCTTTTGTATACTCTCCAGGGTTTGTCTGCCCCATCAGTAAGACAGCACTTTCGGATTACATTGCATGAAAAATAGAAAATGTCTGACTAGTATAAAGCAAGGAGGTGATAACCATGTGATTAGAATTACAATTGTTGCTGAAGCTTTGGTTCCATTTTTATTGACTTCAGTTTTTCCTTTATGGAAGATGTAAGAAACATGAAGGTTTTCTGACCTTGTTATTTTTGCAAAATTTGCCTTTGACAGAGCAAACGTCTCAATAATGCCAAGAACTCTCAGTGGCTCCTTCAAGTTGTTTGTACTATGGAGAGGAGAGTATGGATCATACTCCTGGTTGCATGTTTAACTCAACAGAGAGCTTGGTATTTGCAATCTTTGCACAGACATATGTACATTGGTGGGTAGATTATTTAAAATTGAGAAGTAAGAAACCCAGTATGAAAGGCTGATGGCTTAGTGAGGGTTTGGCTATTTTCTCTGCCCTTGAAAACCTTGCCTGTGTAGAATGTGTCTACCACAACTGCACTTTCTTTCCCCTGGGAATTCCAGAGGCCGCAGAGAAACTGTGCAATTATCCCTCGCACCCGCTCCTGCCCATGTAGCCACAACACTCCCATGGTTGTACGCTTTCTGAGCTAACTTAAGTGGGAATCTATAACACCTTCACCTAGAGTCCCTTCCATCATCGTATAACTTGCTGTCATTCCCACCTTGCAGATGGGGAAAGGGAGGTTTAGAGGGGTTTAGAGAGATGAAGAAGGTTCCCTGACACAAGAGGAGAGGCTAGCTGCTGTGTGATGGAACCTGAGAGATGCTGAAAGTCACCCTCACTGCTCGCCTCCCCAGCCTTCCTGCCCCAACGCCTCCTCCCTCCATCAACTCTGGGATGTTTGAGGAAGGGGCACGATGCCTCCAGGTTCACTGTTACAAGTCACGCAGGGTCACCTAAATGGAGTGAGAAGGCCATGACCTTCAAAGTGAGAAGTCCCCTTCTTATCCTCAGAAGCTGGCGTCTCTTATCAATGCTATGATCATGTTCTTAACCTCTCTGAACAAATTACGTCACTAAAGCTGGAATAAAATAACCCACCTTCAAGACTGGGCAAAAGGAACCAGCGCAATCCTGTGTACCTGTACAGTGGTTTGCCCTCTGTAGTGAGTTTCCACCAAAGTAAGGAGGTCAGTTATTGGGGGACGATACTGAAGCCCTGTTACTTCACTGTCATCTTAGCAGGAATGCACAGCCAGCCCGACTGACTGCAACCAGCAGCCTCCCATTCCACAAGGTGTGCAAGTCTACAGTAACGGGAAGCAAGGACAGGAAGGGGTGGGAGAAGGCAAGGGGTGGAGCATATGAAACAGGCAAAGCAGGAGATGATAAACATCCACCTCACCTGTGGCAGAGGCCTGCCTAGCATGGTCCTTGATGGGAAGCCTGGTTCCCAGGGCAACAGCTTGATTCTTACTCACAGGTCCAGGATGCTGGACATGCCGCAGAGCTCCCTCTAGCTGCTTCCAGAGTTTGTGGATTTAAGAAGATGCTTGAGCATTTAGGACCTTGACGTCTACATGTCTGGTAGGCTCCGCCCTCACCTGGGAAGGTGGACTTCCTTTTGGATGTCCACACCTCTTACCTCTGTGTGAGAGGACCCGGGGCCTCTGTGGACACCTTGCAGAAGCTGCCATTTAGAGATTTACTCCTCCAACTAGGAGACAGGACCCTCCTAGTTGGAGTCTCCTAAAGGAGCAGTATGCTCCTTTCCTGCCACAGCAAAAGACATGGGGGAAGGCCCCACCTGTTGGGATGCCCCACCTGGCAGTGGGCCGCCTCATTAGTGCACTTAGGCAGTAGGCAGAAGACAAGGAGATTTTGACCTGGCTTATTATAATACACACACCAGATATGAAGCATTTGGATGACTAAAGAGTGGTTGATTCTCTCCCTAGGTCACATCAACAGGAGTTTAGAATGAAATACAGTTTGCTGTACTCTATATGCTCTGCAAACAGGAAGAAAGGAGGTATTAGTGCAAAAATATACATTTGCTGGTTTGTCTGTACCTCTGCACGGCCAGTCAATATTGCAAAGCCTGATAGCAACATAGATAAATGTAGTTGTCCTGTCCAGTTCAGGCACCTTACTGTCTGGAGGGAACAAAGCTGACCATGAAACGCACATGGTGCCTCCCTGGGGGCACTGAGCACCTAACTAGGAGCATGGTCCTCCTGCGATGCATGGAGAATCTTTCCCCAAGTCAACACTCTGCACAGACCTGTGGCCTGGAAGGATGCGAGTGCCGTGAACCAGCGTCTGAATCAAACTTAATAGCAATGAACTTAACCTCAGGACCACAGAACCACCACATCAGGGGACTTGATCATCTTAAATCGGTTTCCATTGCCCTTTGGTTTTCTGGCATCTCCTCATAGCAAGTATGTTTAAAAAGAGAGATGGAAAGAATGCCTGGGGTGGGGGGCATCACTGCAGGGAGAAGGAGCAACCACAGGTCTTTCCAGCACGTTCCTGGTTAACAGCACGTCCACAAGAAGTGTGTTGATGGATAACTTTTAGGGTACCAGTATCAAAAGCAGCAGGTGATGCGGACATGTGTTTCCATTTCCTGAGGCGGACAGGGCTTATTTTCAGACTGGCCCCACTCAAGGGCAGCCTGAAGCGCTGACCCCACATTCCCGACCAGCTCGGGCACATGAATTAATAGCAGAATCTCCCCCAAGGAGGAGCCGAACAGTAACAAACAATGACTAGTATTTCTTAGCTTTAAGACTCCCCTCGCTCCATATTTAGTGCTGAATTATCTATTAATAACAGTCCTAGTTGATTCAGAGACGGCGTTGCACTTGAAGGTATCTTCCTCCCCTTCTCTAGCCTGTGTTCCAATAGTGAATGTATAGGAAGGGGTTTAGAGAAGCACGGGTGGTCTGGAACTTTTTGAATCACAAGGCTTATTTGTGTGTGTGAGAGATTTAGTTTATGCACATACAAATACATGCATATTTGCATAGATTTTATGGCTTTTTTTAGGTTAGTCAAGACATCTCATAGTTGGATTTCAAATCTGGAACTGAGAGACTAGAGAGTGCAGAGCATGTATAAAGAAAGACGCTGGAAATAAACAGGGAGAAAAAATGGGAAAAGAGGAATGAAGAACATGACTGATACTAAACAAAATCTAGGGTTTTGAAGATGTGCATCTTGTGTGAAGACCTCTGCGTGGGTCTCAGACTGTGCTTTCCAGCAGCACGGTGGCCTTGAGAGGCAATAGGCTACTGAGCTGTGAAATGTGGCTGCTCTACACTGAAGTGTGATGTCATAAAACACACACTGGTGTCTACGACTTAGCATAAAAATATCTCAGGCTATTTTATTAAAATAGTTCATTGATAATTTTTCATATTGATTGCATAGCAAAATGACAATATTCTGTATAGACTGTATTGAATAAAATGCAGTAAAATTAACTCCACCTGTTCCCTTTTGCTTTTTATAATGAGACTCCTAGAAAATCTAAAATTGTATCGGTGGCTTGCATTGTATTTCAATCAGACAGCTATGATTTAAGAAATATTGTAAAAGATACAAGAAGTGTTCATCTGAAAATGAAGACATTTAGAACTAAGCAGACCATGATGCTACTCAGGGAATAAGAGGAAAGTGTCTGCAAGTTTGAAAGAGAAGCAGAACAGAGGAAAACCAATACAGATCACCTTGTAGAGTACTGTCATTTTAATAATATTTAGTATTTCAGTTCAAGAACACAAGATGCTTTTCTACTTATTTAGGTCTTCTTTCATTTTTTAAATAACAGAAGACACTTAACAACTCCACCTTAGCTCTCACTTCCTGCTTATTTTGAGAATGTTATATAAATGGGATCCCACATATGTGACCTTTGGAGACTGGCATTCTTCACTCAGCTTCGAATGCTGTTGCAGACCAAGTTCTTGCATATATGAGTAATTTGTTTTTCTTGTGGAGTAGTCATCCATTTTAAGGATGTACCAACAGTTTGCTTAACCATTAACCACTGAAGAACATGAGGGCTGTTTCTGGTTTGAGGCTATTAAGAATAGTGCTACTATGAATATGTATACATAGATTTTTGTGTCAACATAACTATTCATTTCTCCACGATAAATGCCCAAGCTTGCAATCGCTAGGTCATATGGTAAGTACAGTTTTAGTTTTATAAGACACTTCTGTACTATTTTCTGTGTCATTCTACATTCCCACCAGCAGTGTATCCAGGTTTTCCACATCCTTGCCAGGATTTGATGTTCCCACTATTTTTTTATTTTAGCCATTCTAATAGGTATGTAGTGATAGCTTACTGTGGTTTTAATTTACATTTACTATTAATAATAGCTGATGACATTGAACATCTTTTCACATGCAGATTTTCCATGTAAATATCACCTTTGGTCAAATGACTATGTCTCTCACCAATTTCTTCTTTCTTTCTTTCCTTTTTCTTCATCTTCTTTCTTTTCTTCTCCTTCTCCTTCTTCTTTTCTCTCTCTGTCTCTCCTTCCTTTCTTTCTTTCTTTTTCTTTCTTTCTTTTCTTCTCCTCTCTCTCTCTCTCTCTCTCTCTCTTTCTTTCTTTCTTTCTTTTCATACTGACTCTTGCTCTTGTTTCCCAGGCTGAAGTGCAATGGCACGATCTTGGCTCACTGCAACCTCTGCCTCCAGGGTTCAAGTGATTATCCTGCCTCAGCCTTCCAAGTAGCTGGGATTACAGGCATGCACCACCACACCCGGCTAATTTGTTTGTTTGTTAGTAGAAATGGGGTTTCACCATATTGGTCACGCTGGTCTCAAACTCCTGACCTCAGGTGATCTGCCCACCTCGGCCTCCCAAAGTGCTGAGATTACAGGCATGAGCCACCACGCCCAGCCTGTCTTTTACCCATTTCTAACTGGATTGTTTTGTTGTTGTTCAGTTTTTAGTATACATTTAAAATGTGATTTAAAAATCCATAATATAAAATGTATCATTTTAATCATTTTCAGTGTACAACTCAGTCATAGTAAGTACATTCCCAATGTTGGGCAGCAATCGCCACTCTATTTCCAGAACCTGCTCATCCTCCCACACAGAAGCTCTGTGCTCCCCTCGTTCTCTCCTCCCCCCACTCCCTGGTCCCCTCCACTCTGCTTTCTCTGTGAATCTGCCTACTCTAGATACCTCATGGAGGTGCAGGCATAGAGTACTCATCCCTTTTTTGTTGGCCTTATTTGACTTAAATGATGTTTCCAAAGGCATAGCATGCATCTGAACATCCGTGGTATAGCATGTATTAAAACATCCTTAGTCATTAGGGAAATGCAAATCAAAATCATAATGAGCTACAATTTCTCATCCACTAGGATGGCTGTTATCAATAAAAAGGGAAAAGATAACAAGTGTTGGTGAGGATGTGAAGAGACTAAAATCTTTGTGCATTGCTGGTGAAAATGTAAAGTGGTGCAGCTGCTGTGAAAAACAGGTTGTCATTTCCTCAGAGAATTAAATATAGAATTATTATATGGTCCAGCAATTCCACTTCTAGGAATATACCCGTAAGAACTGAAAGCTGGGACTCAAACAGGGTCTTGTCTACCAATGGGTATAGCAGTCACAACAGTCAAAAGGGGTCTTGTCTACCAATGGGTATAGCAGTCACAAAAGTCAAAAGATGAAAGCAAGCCAAGTGCCCATCAGAATATGAACAAACAAATCACAGTATTGCATATGATATAATATTGTTCAGTCATAAAAAGAAATGAAATTATTTAAGAGGTATTTATATATCACAGATTCAAGCCTTATCAGATTTCTGGTTTGCAAGTGTTTTCTCCCAGCCTAATTTGCCTTTTCAACCTCATGACAAGCTTTTGGTAGACCAAAAGTTTTCACTTTTGACAAGGTCTCATTTATCACTTTTTTGTGGGGGCAGGGATCATGCTTTCAGTGTCAAGTATAAATACTCTTTGCTAGCCTTAGTTCGTGAATATTTTTTCCTATGTATTTTTTCTAATATATTGTGTTTTTATGTTGACTTTAGGGCCTCAATTCATTTGGAATTAACTATCGTATAAGTTCAAGCTTATTTTTTTGCCCATAGACATCCAACCGAACTTCAGAAATCATTTACTTGTTGTTTGATAGAGTAATGATATATGCTACTTGCATACTTCTCATACCATAGCATTTTAAAGATAAGGTTCAAGACACGCTAACAGCAGCAGTGCCATGCATTAGTGTGACCAGTGTCCCAGGATTTAACATTGCACAATAAAGAGTCAACAGTGGGGTACTAATTATTTTACTGTTGAAAGTTTAATTAAAGGAATGGCATCTCAACTTTGGGATTTTAATCTAGTACATAATTTAAACAATTGCCAATGATCATTTATTTTGCATATATAATTTTCTATATCTCAAACTAAACAACAGAAAGAGATTATGTCGAGGTCCGGTGAACCCCTATATTAGCTTACAGAAGTGTATATGCATGTGTGTGCCTGTGTGTGTATGTGTGTGAAGAGATACCTCTCTTTAGAAAAAATAATGGCATAGAGTTGTAAAACTGGCATTCTTAACATTTTGTCATTAATTTTTTAGTTGACTTAAAACAGATTATGACATCTATGTATATTGCATCGTTTAGTTAAAGGTATATACTGCAGCTATACTAAGCTAGACACATTAATTTTTCAAAGGCAATACAACTTTTGGAAGTGAAATCATGAGTAAAATAAAGCTCATACTAATATATATTAACCAATCAGCTGGACAAAAAGAAACATTTATTTCATAATGCTGACATTTAATCAAAAGAAAACCAAGAAGAAAACAAATTATTTTCAAAACAACTTAAGGAATGAGGAACTAAATGACCAAAATTTGTATTTTGCCTTTTTATTTAATTTTTTCCATAAAATATATTAAGACACAGATTAAACAATACAGTTTGTCATAATTCACTGGGGAATGATTTTTCCTTTTAGTGAAATGTATTTTGGGCTTGTTCTGCTGTGTAGATTCTCCTGACAATCTGAGAATTGTGAGTGGCATATCGACCAGGCAGGTTCCCAGGTCTTGGAATGCTCTGAGTGACTAGTACTCGTGGCAGGCAAACTAGTAACCAGCAAGGACGTTCACTTGCTCAACCCCAGAACCTGCTACTGTGTCACTTTACGCGGCAGAAAGGACTTCAAAGATGTGAGTAAGTGAAGGATCTTAGATGGGAGATCATCTTGGCCCATGTGGGTGAGCCCAACCTAATCACACAGGTCTTCAAAACCAGGGGAGCTCTCCTGCTGTGGTCTAAGAGAGATATGACAACAAAAGTGGGATCAGAGAGAGGTGCTGTTTTTGGCTCCAAAGATAGAAGAAGGGGACCCACGTTATGGAATGCGGGCGGCCTCTAGGAGCTTGAAAAAGGCCGGGGCACAGATTCTCCCCCAGAGACTCCAGGCGGCAATGGTGCCCTGCCCACACCTTGATTTTAGCCCAGTTCAGATTTGTGATCTACAGAAATGTAAGATATTAAATTGATGTTGTTTCAAGCCACTAAGTTTGCAGTAATTTGTTGCACGAGTAATAGGAAATGAATAAAACAACCAATGCTGTTTGCAATTGAATATTCTTTATGGTTCAGTTTCTATGAGTACACTAAATACACAATTATGGCCAAGTTCTGGACACTAAAAATGTTTGTCCAAGAGTCCATATCAAAATCACTTTTAATTCATCCATATAAGTAATTTAAAATTTAGTTTTAATAATTTTAACAAGTTTAAATAAACTAATAACATTACCTTTTAAACTACATTTTAGGAATTTTTAAAATGTGATCCTTAACCACAATGACTACAGAAAGTGCTATAGGAAATTTTTAATTAATTAAAATATTATTTCAAAAATCTCAACTATTTAAAACATAAAAATCAAAGTTATTACCCAAACATGTTATATAGTAAATGTTACCACCTCATCTCTGTGCATATATTGGAAACTCAGAGAGCCAAGACCAGCCTAAAAGTTGTTACTCAATTTTATGATCACTTTATATCTTACTGTACATTTTGGGCAGTTTTCCTAACTTTTATTTGTATGATAGTGAATATAACAAGTTGTTCAGCTTTGTTACTATAAAATTTTTAAGTGGAAAAATACAGCTTCAGAGTGTATTTAATTGAAAAATACCAGGACATTGCAAGGTTAACTGTTCACAAACAGGGACACCACTTCACTTTCTTTTCTTTTCTTCTTTTTCTTTTTTTTAGACAGAGTTTCACTCTGTTGCCCAGGCTGGAGTGCAGTGGCGTGATCTCGGCTCACTGCAACCTCTGCCTCCCGGGTTCAAGCGATTCTTCTGCCTCAGCCTCCCAAGTAGCTGGGATTCTTCTGCCTCAGCCTCCCGAGCTGGCACATGCCACTATGCCCGGCTAATTTTTGTATTTTTAGTAGAGATGGGGTTTCACCATATTGGCCAGGCTGGTCTCGAACTCCTGGCCTCGTGATCTGCTCGCCTCGGCCTCCCAAAGTTCTGGGATTGCAGGCATGAGCCACTGTGCCCAGCCCACTTCACTTTCAGTTGCTTATTGGTATTAGGATTGGCCTCTTCCTGAAAATGGACACCCATCATGTGGAAACAACTTAGGTACCAAACTGATTTAGATGCAAGTATCCTCCATCACTCCAAATTACCAATGAGTGTTTTCATTAGGACAGTGTTATTATTCTCATTTATGAATAGTGAATCCTATACATATGAATTAATGCTACACATGTAAAGTGGTTCAAAAACTTATACTTTAAAGCACTGTTTTATATTTTGGGCATCCAAGTTTTTTTTTTTTAATTTGATAATATGGCTCTATCAGAACATTTTGGTTTATGATTGCAATAGATTCCTAATTGATTTCTTTACCTCCAATAAGTTTTTACTAGACTTTTAAAAAAGAAGCAGGTTTAGGTTCACAGAAAAATTGAGCAGAAAGTACAGAATTCCCAAGTACTCCTTTCCCCAACTGTCAACATCCCCCACCAGAGTGGTCCATTTGTTACCATCAATGAACCTAGGTTGACACATCATTATCACCCAAAGTCCAGGGACTGATTTTAGCATTCATTCTTAGTGTTGTACATTCTATGGGTTTGGACAAATATGTCCAACATGACAGTATCATACAGAATAGTTTCACTGTCCTAAAACTCCTCCCTCTGCCCACAACCCCTGGCAACCACTGACCTTTCTATTGTTTCCGCAGTTTTGCCTTTTCCAGAATATCATATAGCTGGAATCAGAGTATGCAGCCTTTTCAGATTGGTTTCTTTTACCTAGTAAATATGCATTTAAGTTTCCTACATGTCTCTTTATGGCTCGGTAGCTCCTTTCTTTGTAGTGCTGAATAATATTCCATTGCATGAATATGCCGTGGTTTGTTTATCCATTCTCTTACCAAAGGACATCTTGGTTGCTTCCAAATTTTGGCAATTATGAAGAAAGCTGCTATAAACACCTGTATGCAAGTTTTGGTGTGGACATAAGTTTTAATTCATTTGGGTAAATGCCAAGGAGTGCAAATTCTGGATCATATAGTACCAGTATGTCTACTTCTGTAAGAGACGACCCAGGTGTCTTCCAAAAGGGCTGTGACACTGTGCATCCCCCCAGCGATGAGTGAGAGTTCCTGTTGCCCCACATCCCCACTGCATTTAAGGTTGCCAGTGTTTCAGATTTTTGCCATTCCAATAGGTATATAACTGTGTACACCCACTTTTGCTCTTATAAGATCTTTCATACTATTCCTGAACATGAATTTGATCCTGCCACTCCCTGATTTTCAGATATGATAATTTTTCTTTGCTCATGCATTGAAGGTGCCACTTTCTGACATTATATATAAGACTGTCCACCCCCTGGCTCCTACATTCACTCTGACCACCCATCACTACCACGACACACCAGAAATAGGGAAATAGATGTGGTTGGTCACACAAACCATTTTTACTACTATGCCAGATTTCTTCCTAGTACTTTATGCTCATTGCCAACTAATTCCAGAAAGGCATTCACTTTCATGTATTTCCCTGAGTACTATGTGTGAATTGTCTTTAAGAATTTAAATTATTTTATTTCTATAAAAATCTTTTTAAAACAATTTATACAAGCACTATTCTTTCTGGCAGCATTGTGTAAGTCCATGTGCACACAATCCCCTCCTGGAACTGAGCACTTAAAAGGCTCTGTGAATGATTTAAACACATTTTTACAGTATGACAGAACAAGGGAAGCTATTACAGAAAGAAATAAGGTTTCCAGTGAGAACACGTGCATGGTGTGCAGAGCTCTGCTGGTCTCTGGATCTGGACCTGGGCCTCCACGGGCCGCACACTTGCGAGGAGCAGAAGCAAAAGTAAAATAAGCGATGAACATATTTTACATTTGAAGGTTCAGGGAAAAATCTATAACATTCAATGAAGAAAGCCACAAAAACTTCTACATGAGATTTCATCAGATTTGTCATGTTCCATATGCAATTTTATTTATTTATTTATTTATTTATATTTTGAGACAGAGTCTCCCTCTGTCACCCAGGCTGGAGTGCAGTGGTGCGATCTCAACTCACTGCAACCTCTGCTTCCTGGGTTCAAGCAATTCTCCTGCCTCAGCCTCCCAAGTAGCTGGGACTACAGCACCTGCCACCACGCTCAGCTAATTTTTTGTATTTTTAGTAGAGACAGGGTTTCACCGTGTTAGCCAGGATGATCTTGATCTCCTGACCTCAGGATCCACCCACCTCGGCCTCCCAAAGTGCTGGGATTACAGGCGTGAGCCACCACGCCCAGCCCCATATGCAATTTTAAAGAAAGCCAATACAATAAACTGAATTCTTATGAGTCATACATAAGTACTTGTGATTAATTCATTTAAAATGCCCCATTGTAAATTCATTCACCAGATATCTTTCCATTTTGATTTTAACTTAAAAATTGTATAAATAGATTTGATATTTGATATTCCTTTTATATGTACTCTTATACTAAGCAGTAGATGTTGTCTTTAAGAACTTGTAAAGGATTAACTGTGATATCTACCATAAGTAAAATGTTGGAAGATAAAATACTACGAAAAATTAAATCATCTTACAATGGTTCAATGAGACAAATATAAGTAAAATTAAAGAAAAATTTGTATCTTTCTACTTGGTAGACAAATCACCTTACTTTAAAATAATGTTAAATCAGCTGGGCACAGTGGCTCACATCTGTAATCCCAGCACTTTGGGAGGCCGAGGTGGGTGGATCACCTGAGGTCAGGAGTTTGAGACTAGCCTGACCAACATGGTGAAACCCTGTCTCTACTAAAAATACAAAAGTTAGCTGGGTGTGGTAGCACGTGCCCATAGTCCCAGCTACTTAGGAGGCTGAGGCAGGAGAATCACTTGAATCCCGGGAGGCAGAGGTTGCAGTCAGCTAAGGCTGTGCTACTGCACTCCAGCCTGGGCGACGAGAGCAAAACTCAGTTTCAATAAATAAATAAATAAAAATTAAAAATAAATTTAAAAAAGATAATGTTAAATCTAAAATATTACATAGGAATTTTGTATACTTCCAAATAGTATGCACAGCTCATTAGCATAAGGGTCTTTGGTAAATCAATGGTTCATCAGTTTCTGAATCCTTCCATGTCAATGGTCAAGTTGCTCACAGCCTTATCGAGATCACCTATTTTGTAACATGGCTCCTATGTGACAAGGTCTAGAGTGAAAACACCCAGGTGGTCAATACTGAAACCATCATCAGTTTTCTCTGTGTGTGCAGGGACACTGTGATCAATCACATGACTGTTTGACAGAAGCAGTACCAGGCTAGGCATCCCTCACACAGCATGCACACCCCGGGCTTGGACTGGTACTCACAGCTGGAGAAAATCAGCGGGCAGGAGTGTTCGTCCATGGGGAAGTTGTGCAGCTGCAGCTGGCACTCAGCATTGATGGTGAGCCTGCGAAAAAGCCAAGTGTCAGTCTAGCTCAGCACACAGCACAGGGCAAGGCCGGCGGCCGTTACGGCACCCCATGTGGGGATGGAGAGGGCCGTTCCGTCACCCAGGGCAGCATGTGCGGCTCACTCTTGGCCCGGGAACCATTCACGGTGAGACTGTGCTGTGTTGCTTTCATGTTGGGTTATTTTGTTTTGCTTTTAACTATCAGTGGCACAGAGAATTCCAGTTAGTAAAATTCCAACTGTGTCTAGAAATACACGCCAAGTCAGAGAGGAGACAAAACCAACTGTTGTTTTATAAGTTGTTTTCAATCTGTTTGAATTAAATCCTTCCTCCATTTGGAAACTGGTGTGTTTATCTAAACAGCTATTATGCCAAATTAATGCACGCATCGGGGGGGATTTCCTGTTTGGACAACTGCCCCTCTTTCACTAGGCAGGTGGTAGCTCTGCCAAATGGGGGCCCTGCATCCTCCCAGGGCAGCAGCCCCATATTTCAGTGTCTACACGGGGTTCCAGAACTGGCCAGGTCTTCGCCCTGGCTTGCTGAAGTTCCGTGTCATGTCAGAGTCTCCGGTGTATGGCTTTACAACTGATGAGGAGACAACTTCTACAAACTCCAGCTCGCAATGTTTTTCATCAGCATGGTTCCCAGCTGTGGCGTGTTTTTTTTTTTTGGTTTTTTTTTTTGTTTGTTTGTTTTTGCTGTAATTGTTCCCTCCCTGGCAAAATGAGGATTTCCCTGAAACTTTAATGCTGTCTCACAGTCTGCTTATTTTAATGTCCATCTGCGCCTGTGTGGGTGCTGTGGACATTTATTTAATGTGAGGAATCAGATTTCTCCTTGTGGGAATTCTCAGTACGCACATGGCTTTCATTCTCAGGATGGATGAGCTAAGCCAGCAGGGATGGGTAAGGAGAGTAAAGTGACAGGGGTCAAGCCCTGAGGCAGAAAGAGCAGAGTGGGGAGATGCAGCCACAAAGCAGGTGCAAGAAGGAGCCCTGTGCCCCGGGGCAGTGAGAGTGAGCCCATGACAGCAAAGCCTAGATGCACCCAGGGCTTCTGAGACCTCAGGAAGAAGGGAGTGCAGTGTCCTCTGGAGCAGCACCACCCGCTCAGAGGACACTGCTGGAGGGACCATCCAGTCCCTGTGCTGGGCGAGCAGACAGGAGTGCAGAGGGCCCGTCATTGCTAGTGCTGTGTTGCTGTGTGTTCAGTTAGACTCTGACCATCCCAGTGGAGAGACCTGGGAGAGACAGGCTCCCAGTGGTGACTGTGGGCGAGTCAGTTCCCTTCTTGGAAGCTCAGTTTCCCTTACCTCTCTGGGTTTCTTCGAAGACTTCCCTGACTCCAGGAGGACACACTCCAGGGGAGCTGCCACTTCCCTTAGGGATGTGCTGGGAAAGGGGCTGACTCTGCCCCTCTTCCTTGTGGTCTCAGATTTACTCTAACTACATTTGTTGATTAGTGCACCAAGACATCTGTATTTTCCTAGGGGAGAGGACCTATGGTGTAAATCTATTAAGAATAACTTTCACAGCCTACTTCCAGCAGAAATAGATTCTGAAGAAATGAACTTATATTCTCTGTGGATCATCTGTATGCTTTTATTTTTACACATGTTGCATGAGGGCAGACTTTCTCAGGATGCTGTAGTATGTCTCACGTGAAAGAGAATAGACTTAGAGATGAAAATAGGGTCTCATTCCTACAGTGATTCAAATTAAGGATCCCATTTTAAACCAGGAGTAATCAAAGATCGATGCAGCATCTTACCTCAAAGTGTAAAGGATTTTCCCGTCATTCCAAATCCGGAGGAGCTGATTGGGTGTGGTGATCCAGTGAGCCTCTGCGGTTTTAGAATTGCGGAAGATGGTGTCTGGGATCCAGATTAACCCCACCATGTTGCTGTTCAGAGTAAGAATTTTCATTGTGCTGTTGAATCGAAGGCGACTATCTGTCCAGGTCTGAGCAAAAAATATGTCAATTTGGTATTCCTGAAACAGAGCAGAAGGAGAGGCAAGACAGTTCTATTAATAAATGTTCTGTATAATTTGTTCTCTTTGTCAAACGTTGTGTTCTCTCCATGTTGACATCCTCACCTCCCCAATTCTCTTTCTGATAGAGACTGGTTCAACATGGCAAGCACTCAGTGAATGATGACCAATATTATTTGTCAACAGTGTAGTAACATTATGTGACATACTATAAATCTTAAGTTCCAATAAATATACAAAGTGTGAAGAGGGGCTAAGAGAGACAGTAGAATCTATTTCAGGGTGTGGAGGCAAACCCTAGGCTCCCAAGTCCAAGCCTTGACAGGTAGCAGGACCTATTGGAGCCTCTGTTCTCTGATCTATAAAATGGGGAACATAATAGTGTCCACCTTCTCAAGGTGTTAACGAAGATAAAAGGAAGTGATTAAATGAGCACCCTTAGTGCCTGGCAGAGAGTAAGTGATCCATTCATATTCATTCATATAATAGTTATGACTATTTGTACTTGAGTCTTCTCAAGCAACAAAAAGCAAAACAAAAAGAAAAGTAAGAAATAAAATACAACAAAGAACTGTAGAGAGGACGGCCACCCAGCCAAATGCCAATTCCAAGAGCAGGCTGAAGAGGTACAAATTACAGAGGCAAAGGCCCAGGGTTGAAGCCACTGCAGTGTTCACGGTGCCCAGTAAGACTTTGTGCAGCCATCAAATGGTTAGGATAGGACTGATTCTATCCTAGGGGCACTCTAGGAGACCCAAAGAAGTGCCTGCAGACTGGGCTGCCTCAGAGGCCACTCCCCTCATCACAGTTTAAAGAATTATTTTAGGTTCATGGTAAGAAGGATGTAGAGGCTGATTGTAAGGGATTTTTATATCTTGCATAATTTTTGTTATGTATTAGATATTATAAACATATTACTTTTGCAGAGTCTGAATTTTTTGATTCTCAACAAATCTCATATTTACCCTTTCCACTGAGTTTCCCATTAAAGAATCTTTCTGTGATAGGTAATTCAATTTCAGGTTTATAATTCAACTGGTCTTTCATTAACTAATGCATTCATTCATCATTTCTTTGCTTCACTGAGTATGCCAGGCTTTTCAAAGCAAGGAAGACCCAGCACTGTGCCAACAAGAAACCCCCTCCCTCCTAGAGCTTATATTCTATCCAGGGAAGATGGGCCTTAAATAAATAGGTTGGTGGTCATTTACACTGCACACAAAAATAAGGCTGGTGTATTATTAAGGATTCAAATTAGAGGAAACAAAAGGTATCCAGGCATCCAGCAGAGGAGGAATTATGGAACAGGCAATGTGAGTCTTGCATAAGCATTTGTGCAGTTGGGGGAGCAAATGGCAGGAAAGCAACAGCTGGGAGCAGGTTCTCAGCGAGCTTTTCCAGAAGCCTCTCATGGCTCAGCAGCCATGGCAGGTCACATGTAGCATCTCAGCAACCAGATGGACCCTCCCAAGTCCATGTGTCTGTCTGAATGTGCCCTTGGGGATGAATGGCCTCAGCCTTGTTTCTGCCTTCCGAAACTTGGCATGCCTCTCACTGACAGACTCTGAACCCAGAGCCACACAGTGAAGGTGTGTGTGTAAGTGTGTGTGTGAGTGTGTGCATGTGTGTGTTTCTGTCATATAACCTAGCATGTGCTGACTGATACAAAAATGGGGTTCAAAGAGTGGTGAAATGAAACGAAAGCAGGTAGCATTGATGCTTAGAGCTCAGGAATGTGGGACTGGAAGCCAGACGCCTGGTGTCATGCATGGGTGAAATCTCTAAGGGGACTTTGCAGTGCCAAAGTCCATTGAAACAACCTGGCAGAAATAATCACACCCATTGCTAAAGCCTCTAAATGGATTAGGCTGCCACCCAGTAACCTCTTTAATTATGCAAATATGGCTCAAGGGAAAGAAACTAAGGTGTGGCCCTTCCACTGAAAGCTGTAGGGCCCAAATACCTATACTTCAGAGAGAAAGGCTCAGAGTAAAGCCCTGGAGAGGGAGAGGTGCTGGCCTGCAGAAGCAAAGATGCACAGCAGCTCTTGGCATTGCACAGAGAAAGAACTCTGAATGTGGCTGTGCACATGTGAAGCTGGCCTCAGGTAGAAAGTTGGCTCGGTTTTAAGGAAGTTCTGCCAAAGGAACCACAAGTCAGGAAGAAAAATGACTACTTGAGATTGAATGGTACCGTTGCCTGCCTGTCTTTCATGGGCAAATGGCAGCCTCTGCTTGGACCCCAAAGGAGGTGTATTATCCAATGCCCACTTTACCATGGCAAAAATGGTTAATGGAAAAAGAATATATTCCCAGACAATGGAGGCAAGAGTAAGAGTGAAAACATACCTCAGGGGCCCCACCCTAGGGAAAGAATTAGAGCTGAATCTAAGAAAAACCTCACCTCATGGAACCCAGCCCATCAGGATCTGCCCAGTGGGGACTTAGGCTGGCCCTTTTCCACCTTAGTACATACACTGCACGTGTGGGGCAGGAGGGAGATCAGATAGGTCTTCTTAGTTTACAGGTCAGTGGATCAAAGAAAACCACATCCAGACTTGATGTCTCTACCAGGACAGGTATACGCATATATACATAACCTTGACCTTGGGCCGGAACAAGGTTGACCTTTTGAGTTGCCTCCTTTGAAGATGGGAGAAGTGTATTTTTCTCTGATGAGAAAGACAGAAGCTAATATTCAGTGGCTAGATACAGATCATGATAGTCATTGGTGCTGTTTGCCAAATACCGCGGCTTCCCTGCTTGCAGGCATGTGATAGAACTGTTGTTCCCCGTTTGGGGCTGGGTGTGGCCACATCACTCACGATGAAGTGAAACACAAGCAGAGTGGTATGTGCCACTCCTCGGAGGGCCCTGGAAGAGCCCATGTGGGACCTGCTCACCCATTCAGGCCCTGAGAGACTGTGTGGAGCAGAGCTCTGCTGACTCACGTGAACCACGTGCCCTGGGTGAGAAGCATCCAGAGCAGTTTGTCAGAGGAGCCCGTCCAGACTGATAGAGTGGGGAAGGAGGGAAAGGGTTCTGGGGTGTGCAGGTGCTGGAGACATGGGAAAGCCATACAGAAGCCAAGACCTCAGTGAGGTGTAGAGTGAGACAGGCATATAGATGGTGCAGCAGCAAGTTCAAAGGCATCCCTGCAGAACAGACTGTGAGCTGACAGCTGCCTTCCCTCCATCCTGGCAGGATTTGAGCTTAACGATGATTTCTGACTAAAATGTGTAATAGGCTATATTTGCACAGAGAACACACTCAATACTTTAACTAAAATTCAGTATGTGAGAATGGTCAGGGAGGCACATATGGGCATTTTTAAGTTTTACTCCCTTCTTTCTTTGAACACTGGTTTACTGGATTGAGGAACGAGACGAGAAGGATGAAAATGTCCTCCCAAGCACATCCAGGGCCCGCCAATGCGATCAATAATGTCAAAGTAACCAATATTCTCTACAAAAGCCCCATCTGAATTTTGGAATCTGAAATTGTTCAAAGCTTTTTGTTTGTTTAACCTAAGTATAACAGAGAAATTGAAGCTCAGAAAACTTGAAGAATTTTACCAACATTACTCAATATGTCAAAAATATTTTGAATTACAGGACCCTCCACTAACAATTTCTGAATGAGCCTTTTTAGTCTATACACAGGGTAAGGCAAAGAGTGACTGGCAATCAGGGCCCTCTTGTTCGCCCTTTTTCTCCTTATCTTCTGTCTCCATCCCCATTAGGAGCAGTTTGTGCCCCTTCCCCATAAAGCACTTTAAGATGCAGTATGAGATCGGGAGAACACAGAGCTGGATGGAAGGCGTGTTCTAGCATCCCTCCCAGGAGGCACAGGTGCATTCTGTGCCAGGCGACTGGATTCCTGACACAGAGACAGTGACCACCCTTCCTTCCAAGGGTAAACTGAGGCCTAAGACATTGAGTAACCTTCATCCAGTCACACAGCTACTAAGTACCAATTATTCTAAACTCTGCAGCTCAAATCCATTTCCCTGGATGCGACTGAGAGGGGCATCAGCAGCAGAGTCTGGGTGTTAGACTCGGGGCGTGTAGAAGAACCCCAGGGCAGAAGTGTCCTCCACATTTACACTGTTCATAAACTGTGCGACATCATTTACCTTCCTT
This sequence comes from Homo sapiens, assembly GCF_000001405.40. Lineage (NCBI taxonomy): Eukaryota > Metazoa > Chordata > Mammalia > Primates > Hominidae > Homo > Homo sapiens. The sequence continues at coordinate 27,322,667 of NC_000015.10, read as the reverse complement.
AGCCTCAGTCTCCTCATACGTACAATGCAAGTGTCGGATTGGATTAAATGTAACGACCCTTCTGACTCTAAAAGTTTACATTTCCATATCCCTGCCTAGAGTTAGCCTTTCCCTCTTGAAACTAATTTTCCACTTTTTTCTCATTTCTCTATCTTACTTTTGCAAGAAGAACATGATGGGATGGTTTCTTCCTATGTCCCATCTTCCATTATTGGAAGGACTTTCATAGGTCTGAATTTTGCATGAAGTATTCGAGAACCATCCATGAGGTGGAGGCTTGCAGAGCAAGGCGGGAATCCCCACCCCTGTCCCACACAAGATCGTACTCTTTCCCTGTAGCAGAGGGGAGCGTCCTACAGTGTTCCGGGTGCAAGCTCTTCTTCGTTCTGAAATCTTGCCATGAATGCCACTTTAAGACAGAGTGAGGCTATGCATGGTGTGGATGTTTTATTGTGTCTACATTTGACTAAATGTTGAAGAAACACTTCCCACCCACATAGAAATATTTTTATTTCTCTCATAAACTTACTTTGTAATGGCATTAATCATCCTTCCTTTTTGCAAAGAAAAAAAATTCTTACAATGTCTATCTGAAAATAAAGATTCTATATAATTCCTTAATGCTATGAAATTAATGTGTCTGAAATACTAACAGATGAAACTCATGCGGACCCTCCAATGTAAACCATCAGGCTGGTGAACAGCCCAAGTTCATGATTTGTTTCAGTCACTGCAGAGCTCAATAATTTCCAAATAAGCCACGAATTACCGCGACACGCGGATCATTTTAAGAAAACAGAAGAAAAGTTATGCTTATTCACAATATCCATCTGTAACTTCTAGAAAATTTGGAAACTATTTCCTCACACTTTTCTCCCTTCCTTTATTAAAGAAGAGGACCAAATGAAAAAAAGGAGATTAGAGCAGGATGGGAACCTTGAGATTCTGGTTGCAGGAGACACTTGCTGGGGGACAAAGCCTCTTTCCCCCTATTGGGCCTCAGCTCGTTAGCTTGAGTTAGATAAACAAATCAGGAAAAGAAGCCACTGGCTGTTTTCTTTACAAAATGGTAGTAATAGGCCTTTGCCAATTAAAGGTTGTTCAGGTTTCTTATCTAACAATGTATAATGCAGTGATTAGAGTAAAACCATTTTTATTTTTTCCTTCTCAGGTATGGAAGCATAACTCAAATATATGTTTTTTTGTTTCTTGCAGGTGTTATTTATTCAGTTGTCCTGGGAAACATGGCTTTGACGGTGGGCTTCCCTCTCTCCCTGGGCGCCTGTCCCTGCTTCACAGGCACAAGGGTTTTCCCAAGGTCTGGCCGCCTGGTTGAGCATTCTTCCCAGCTTAGCCCAGGCACCTCCCTTATTAAGAGTCCTTTGCGGGGCACTGTGCTAGATTTACATAAAGACTAACACCCCTGAGGACAGGTGCACCGTGGGGTCTGGTAAGCCCTGTGAAGGCCCCGCACCAGGGGAGGGCAGACACCTGCAGACAAGGAGGCCCTGTTGGCAAGATGGGAGCTCTCTGCTGGAGGCCACATCTGGTCCCCAGACCACCAGGCTGAAGTTGGAAAGGTGAGGGGTGCAGCAGTCAGAGAGCCACATCAGAGCCCAGAGGACCAAGGCTGCTCCGAGGAGGGCAGGTTGTGAAGGGTTAGTGACAGGCCCGGGGAAGCATAGCAGGGGGTGACGCCCTGTTGCCACAGAGGGGCACGTGGCTCCCCTGAGGAGGCCATGTCAGTCACCTGATGTTAATGCAACCCAGGCCCTTTTTAGGAAAATAATGCAAAATTATAACATTAATATAAATTATTAATATGAATTATGAAAAATCAATATTTGTTTCTAATGAGAAAAATGTCATATTTTAAAACTGCAAATATCACAAAAATCACATCTAAAAGGAATAGATCTTATTTTTATTAATCTGACCACTGGCCCTCCTTCATCATTCTCACCTGCCCTGCATCTTTTGGCTGCAAACTCTTTGATCACGACCTTCCATGACAATGATTTAATAACATTATTTTTTAGGAGCAAGACTCAGAATATATTTATTTCCTCCAGCACGGGGAAGCAGAATTACATTATAAATAGTTTTTAGAAGTTTACTTAAACTTGTAGCATTATTGGAAATAGGACCTGCATGTTTAGGATTCTGCAGTGTGGAAAAAGCCTCAGGTTTCTCTCGTGTAAAGTTTGGGGCTCCCACACACAAGCTGTGGGCTCCAGGTTTCTCCTTCATGCCACCCACACCTCTGGAGCCCTAGACCCTTGACAGACAATAACATCGGGGTGCACTTCATCCTAGACAGAAGTCGCCATGCCCCATATTCCACTAACCTTGTTTGGAAAGCATCCCCTTAGCCGGGTGATAATCACCTGCCCTTAATAAAAGGAGCAGGTGACAGGGGATGTCAGAGGAGAAAAAGACAGCAGCCTTGTATAAAACATCTTGCACTTGTAAATATCACAAGCAGTAAAAGACCAAGTGAACACACAGCTACGACCTTCCCCAAGGCCTGGGAGAAGGCTTCTGCTAGTGAGGGGTCCTTGGGCTTTACCTTTACAGGCTCTATGGTAAGTTTGCCTCTGGCTAGGAGGCCCTGGGAACCGGGTGATGCTAGCAGATCTGGGCCAGGACCCCCTGGTGGAAGCAGGTGCCCCTTGCACATTGCTATAGACATCCTGCCTTTTCTCAGTTTCCTTTCTTGTGTAGAAATCCTCCCTCTGCCCTCCCCAACCCACTGACTGCTTTCAGATTCGCATCCCATTGAATGCTATATTCTCCAACTATATTCAACCATATATGCTGCTATTAAAAAAATGTATCATGGCTACCCAGAGCCTACAGAATTGGGGTTAATATTCTTTGCATGATACTCAAGGCTCCGTGTATCGTGCTTGCTTACAAACCAACCCGTTACTATAGCCACCATGGTGCACGCATTGGTACAACATCCCGGCACAGACCTCCCTTCCTCCCCATCCCATTTGTGCTCTGCCCACGCCTGGACACCCTCTTATCCAGCCTCGTCCAGTCCTCTCCATCCTCCTGTCTGCCATCTTCCCGTGGCATTGGCATATTTGCCAACAGCCTGCCCCTCCTCATGGTATTACTCACTATTTTTTCTCCTTATGTTAACACTCTATGTCTTCAACTGCCGTATCACAATTATCCGCAAATTCCGCATAGAGACTGCCCCACCACAGTGCTGGTCAGCAGTGACCTGTGTTGGTAATAACTTGCACTTACTACAAATTACTAGGAGTCAGTCCACTTTCCAAATAATTGACATAGCCCCACTGTACCCAATGTTCACAACAATATGAATATCCCCATTCTACAGATAGGAACTAAGAAGAGCCACCCATCCACATCATCAAGAGAGCAGTGACCGAGGCTCACTGGAGCCCTTGTTGGTTTCAGACATTTTTTTCCCCCTGGCTTTACTGAGCTAGAATTGACAAATAAAAATTCTCTATGTTCAAGATGCATGATGTGATGATTTGACATACGTGTACATTGTGAAATCGTTACCACAATCAAGCTAATTAACACATCCATCACCTCACAGTTGCCTTTTATTTTTTTATGGTGGTGAGAACATTTATGATCTACCCTCTTAGCCAGTTACAAGTATACAATATTGTTAGCAGATTTCAAGTACACAATACAGTATTATCTATAGGCTCCCTGCTGTACATTAGGCCTGCGGAACTTAACTGCAAGTCTGGACCACTGACCAACATCTCCTTATTTCCTCTGTTCCCAGGTCCTGGTAACCACGCTTCTGTGCTCTGGTCCAAATGGTTTCCAATGACTGCACTCAGCAATAATGAGAGGCTTGCCTTGGACCCTTAGACCCCCAGAGAGGAGGAGGGAGGCAGAAGGCGGAGCTCTGCCCTTAGTACTAGCCCCCATTCCTGGAACTACTCGCCTGGGATCCACAGCTAGAAACAGTGTGAAGGGGACATATTGCAAACATCTGAATTCCCTCCAGGAAAAACAAAACAAAACAAAACAAAACAACAGTAAATGCACTGGTTCGAAACCTGACTTGAGGATCTGCAATGTTCCCTGGGCACAATCGGCCCTAGGGATGGGCTGGAATTTCTGACTCTGTCAGAAGCAGATGCTTTAGCTGCTGGACTCAGGCCTCCCCTTACTGATTCAGAGCATCAACACACGGTATCCCAAGGTAGCTCTACTGGAAGGAGGTGGGACTCACAGTCTTTCCCCCATCTCCCTGGCAGGGTGCAAGTCCCATCTGAGGGGACCCTTAGTATTAATGATGAGTATTACTGATGAGGTTAAAGAAGTAAATCTCCTCTCTGGGACATAGTTTTACACAAGGCCTTATAAAGGTAATAGTGGAAGGAGAAAAAAAATGACGTGGCTTTCCTGTGCCTGAAGAAAATGATTCCAATTCCACACTGGGTTATATTTTAATATTTAAACACACAGTCTCCCAGAAGCTCCTGCTTTGAGTACCCTTCCAAAGTGCTCATAAGTGTGCACTGCCACCCAAAACGGAATCATGAGAGCATTAGAATGGGGCTGGTTTACTCTAATACTCTATAAGGGAAGCTGTAGCAGCTGCGTTACAGGAGCACGGTTTTTATTGTATGTAATTTAGGGTTTTTGTAGCCTTGAAGAATGGGCATGGGTTCTTTATCCTATCAACAATGGCAAAAACTCGGGATTCCACACTTCAGAGTGTTCCGTGTTTTGAATGCAGTGAGTGTTTGCTGTATTGAGGATGTGGCAGATTTAAACTGCATGAGCTAAGGATGTGCAGAAGTCTTTCCATGCCTTTCTTGCTCACAGGGTCTAAATCAGGAAAATGATGCCCTATTTGGGATGTCTTGAAAAAACCTCTCAATCACTTTTTTATTTTTTAGCTCCAAAAGGTTTGATTTTTCCATGAGAAAATGATTTAAGTCATTCTAAATGCTTCACCAGCGTGAAGTTGGTCACAGTCGGTGACCATCCCAAGTTAAATCACATTGTCAAATCACGTTTTACCCTCAGACTGAAATGTTCTTTTAAAAAAAATATTTAGACTGAACATGCTTAGCCTTGCCTTGTGACACCAGCCAGTTTTCCAAAGATGAGGATGGGCCTCCTAGTGAGGCCTCTCAAACACAAAGCCCCTCTGAAGGAAGTCTGGCTGAGTCTGGCTGATGAAGAAGAAACTGAGATAAAGAGAAACAGTGGCCATCAAAGGAAATGGCAGCAGTGGGTTCCTAGGCTTGCATACTAGAAGGCCACGACTACATTGGTAAAAACAAACAGGATTAGCTTGAGCTGCTCCTCAGAGGAGACGCTGTTGACGTTTCTTCCCAGCAGTCCCTGCCATGGAATTGGGGGGTAGTGTCAGCTCGCTGCAAGTCCTGTGGGAGATGGCACCCTGGGGAGGCCACCATGGAGAGGGTAGAGGAGTCAGAGTTGCCATGCCAGGCTAAGAGCACAGAAACACAGAAGGAATGTGAGCTGGCATGGACTGAAGGGAACAGGGTGGAAATACACAAGGAGAGGCCAGGAAAATTATTATGAAGATGGTGAGGGGGTCCAAAGGGCACCGGAGTTCAACACCTCTGACCTAGAAAGACAAATCAATCAATCAAAGCAGTGCAAACCATGAATTCAGGGATTAGGCTTAGCAAAAGTGAGAAGGTTTTTCTGTATAAACAATAGACAGTACTTCGTGACCTCACAAGACACTGCTGAGACTGTTAATCTTCCTCTCACTAAAATTTTCAGATTCTCTGCAAATATTTAAGAAGAGCATTTAATTTGGAAACTGAAATGAAACTGGAATGAAAAAAAAACCACACCAAAATCCACCACTTTCTCACATAAACTAAGGGAGATTAAAAGCACCATTTAATGAAACCACACTCTCAGTTTCACAGCCATAGCCTTGACAGAAATTGAATGTCATGCTGGAAACTCCATCCACCTAAAACGAACGAAATTCCTCATCATTCAGGGGAATTTCCCCCACATAAAAAATGTTCATAAGTTAAAAGCGTAGAGTATCCTCTTGGACTACAATCTTAAACACTTTAAATCATGAGCAGTTGACATTTACCGTGCAGTTACTATATTATTTGATAGGTATTATTTCTTTAATCTGACCAATGACCTTGTGAGGTAGTCTTCGTGACTTCCCAATTTTCTATCCAAAGATGGTGTCAAGAAAGACACATTTTCTTTTCAACTTGAAGACAGTTTAACCATTTTTGCTTTTTTTTTTTTTTTTTTTTTTGAGACGGAGTCTCGCTCTGTCGCCCAGGCTGGAGTGCAGTGGCGGGATCTCGGCTCACTGCAAGCTCTGCCTCCCGGGTTCACGCCATTCTCCTGCCTCAGCCTCCCAAGTAGCTGGGACTACAGGCGCCCGCCACTAGGCCCGGCTAATTTTTTTGTATTTTTAGTAGAGACGGGGTTTCACCGTTTTTTTAGCCGGGATGGTCTCGATTTCCTGACCTCGTGATCCGCCCACCTCGGCCTCCCAAAGTGCTGGGATTACAGGCGTGAGCCACCGCGCCCGGCCCATTTTTGCATTTTTTATGTTTGCTGAAAATAGCATTTAATTATAAAGCAGAATAAGGAAATGAAATTTACAAGTACAATAGAAGGAAAATAGCGTTCAAAGTTGTCAAGTTGCATCAGACAAACGCTTACAAAAAGAACTCATCCCAGGTTATGATTATAATGTGGAATGCTGCATCTACAAAGACCAAGAGATGGATATTTTCAAAGATATAAAGTAGCTTGAGCTACATAAGGAGAAATGAACATCAAAAACAGAAGTAAATGAATATATACTTGTATAAGCTACATATAGGCTTCATAGGAAATCATCACATAAATCTAAGAACATTTTAATTATTTGCAAAGTGTGAACAGTTGTATAATGAATGTATCTTATAAAAATGGTGTTACCAAAATTATTTTAAAGTGCAAGATTTCATATGGTATTCATAATGTGAATAAAAATAATGTTGCTTGTGTCTGTCACCATAAGAGGAAGAATGCCTTTGAAGAAAATTCTTAGTATTCAGGGTCCAATTTGCCAAGGTCCAATTACCCAAGACTAACATTCATGATAATGGGAATATGTCTATATAATACGTTTTCCTAAAGTATCTCCAAACACATCACTATATTTTGTGCCAGGACCTTCTACTGCAATGGTTACATATACATGAAAGAGCATACATTTCAAAAACTGCAATGAGTCTTCCAGATTTGTAGTTCTGTATTTAATGTGTATATTTTGTCCTACTCAAGAGAGTTCTGGCTTCTCTGATTGCTAAAGGCATTACATTATTTAACCTATGATTTATCTAGACACTGTAAAGTAAGCACTCAGCACAATTTTGAAGTAGTTCACTAAAAGGTCTCAATGACATGCTAATCTGTTATCACTTAGAGATGTTGCACATAACTTCACCTTATAGTTTGCTTTTCTTCCTTTTAATTCTTTTTAAAATAAAAGACATTATTGATTTTAATAAAGTCCAATTTCTTACTCATTCACCTTATAGGTAGTGGTTTTGAAAAATTTTATTTTACTGCGGTAAGTACACTTAACATGAGGTCTACTGTCTTAACAAATTTTAAGCGTATGATACACTTTTTAAGTGTTGTAAAATACAATGACAGTGTTGTACAATAGATCTAGAGAACTTATTCATCTTTTATAATTGAGGCTTTATGCTCATTGATTAGAAATTTTCCATTTCTCCCTCCCTGCAGCCCCTGGCAACAACCATTGTACTCTCTGATTACATGAGTTTAATTATTTTAAATAACTCATATAAGTGGAATCATGCTTTAACTATTTTTCTGTGACTGTGTTATTTCATTTAGAAGATGTTCTTAAGGTTCACTGTGTTGTCACATAGTGCAGAATTTTCTTCTTTTTTAAAGGTTAAATAATTCCACTGAATGTATATACCACATTCTCTTTAGCCAACTGCCAATGGACATTACGTTGTTTTCATATCTTGGTTATTCCTACTGGTGCAACAACCACTGGAGTGCTAAGATATCTTTGAAAGACCCTCATTTCAATGCTTCTGGATAAATACCCAAAGCTGGAATTGCTGGATTATATGGTAGTTCTATTTTTAATTTTTGAGGAATCTCCATACTGTTTTCCATAGTGGCTGTATTATTCTGCATTCCCCCAAGGGTGTACAAGGGCTCCAATTTCTCCACATCCTTGCCAACCCTTGCTGACTTCTGAATTTTTGATGATAGCCATTTTAACAGATGTGAAGTGATAACTCCTTGCGGTCTTGATTTGCATGTCCCTGATGATTAGTGACATTGAACATCTTTTCATATACCTGTTGGCAGTGTGTATGTCTTCTTGGGAGACATGTATAGTCAAGTCTTTAGTCCATTTTTCAACCAGTTTATTAATATTGTATGTGTCAAATTGTAGGACTTCACTATAGTTGCCTTTTCACTCTGTTGATCATTTCCTTTGTTGTGCAAAAGCTTATTGGTTTGATGTAATCCCGTTTATTTATTTCTGATTTTCATTATCGAGCTTCTTTTTTCTTTCTTTTCTTAGTCTAGCTAAAGGTTTGTCAATTTTGTTTATCTTTTGAAAACACTCTTAGCTTTGTGGATTTTTTCTATTGTTTTTCTATTCTTTGTTTATTTATCCTCTAATCTTTATTTCCTTCCTTCTACTAGTTTTGGGCCTAGTTTGTTATTCTTCTAGCGCCTTGAGATGTAAAGTTAGGTTGTTTACTTCAGGTATTTATTCCTTTTTAATGTAGGTGTTTATTACTGAAAACTTCCCTCACAGTACTGCTTTCCTCATATCCTATAAGTATTGGTATGTTATGCTTTCGTTTCATTGGTCTCAAGGTATTTTCTAACTTACTTTTTGATTTCTTCTTTGACCTATTGCTTGTTCAAAATTATTCATTTTAATATATTTATGATTTTACATTTTCCTTCTGCTACTGATGTCACTTCATTTCATTGTGTTTGGAAAATATATTTGGTGTGATTTCATTCTTCTTAATTTGTTGAGACTTGCTTTGTAATTTAACATGTGATCTATCCTGGGGAACGTTTTAAGTGCACTTGAGAAGAATGTAGATTCTGCTGCCGTTGGGTGGAATGTTCTGTACGTTTGTGTTAGGTCCATTTGATTTATAGTGTTTAAGTCTATTATTCCTTTGTTGATTTTCTGTCTGGTTGGTCTATCCAGTATTGAAAGTGGGGTGCTGAAGTCTCCTACTACTATGTATTTCTATCGGTGTCTTCCTTCAGTTCCATCAATGTTTGCTTCATGTATTTTGGTGTGCTGATGTTGGGTATATATATATATATATATATATATATATATATATATATATATATATACACACACACACACACACACACATATATACATATACGTATATATATACATATACATATATATATATACACATATATATATATATGTTTCTGCTGAATTGACTCTTTTATCATTACATTATGGCCATCTTTGTGTCTTGCAGCCATTTTTGAATTAGTCTATTTTGCCTGATATAAAGGTAGCCACCCCTGCTCTCTTTTGGTTGCCATTTGCATGGAGTTTTTTTTTTCCACCCTTCATTCTCAGCCTATGTATGTCTTTAAATATAAAGTGAGACCATTACATCCATTTATATTGTGCACCCATAAACACATTTTTAGTTATATTTTATACTTTTTTTTAACTTTTAGACTAGAATTAAAAGTGATTTACCTACCATTATTACAATTAGTCTATATTTGTCTATATATTTACTTATACTAATGAGATTTTTTTATTTTCTTATGTTATAATGTTGCTGTTTAGTGTCTTTTGGTTTCATCTTGAAGGTATTAACATTTCCCGTAAGGCAGGCCTAGTAGTGATGAACTTTCTCAGCTTTTGAACATCTTCACCTCTCCCTCATTTTTAAAGGGCAGTTTTGCCAGGCACAGTATTCTTGGTTTCCAGTTATTTTAGTACTCTGAATATATCATCTGAATCCCTTTTGGCCTGTAAGGTTTCTGCTGGAAACTCCACTCACAGTTTTATGGGGGTGTCCTTGTGTGTGACAACTTGCTTTTCTCTTGCTGCTTTTCGAAATTCTCTTTTTCTGACTTTTGGCAATTTGATTATAATGTATCTCAGTATGCATTTTGGGGACTCATTTTATTGTCATTTGGGTTTCCTGGATCTAGACCATTTCCATCTTCAGATTTAGAAAAAAATTAGCTACTGTTTCTTTGAATATGCTTTCTGGTGTTTCTCTTTCTCTTCTTCCAGGATTCTCACAATCCATGATCTGCTTGATAATGTCTTTTAAATCCTTGAAGCTTTCTTTACTCTTTATTCTTTTCTTATTTTTGCTCCTATGACTGAATAATCTTCAGTGACCTGTCTTCATGTTCACTGTTTCTATCTTCTGCTTCATCTACTCTGCTGTTAAACCCCTCAAGTGAATTTTTCGGCTGAGTTATTATTCTTCAGCTCTACAATGTCTATTTGGTACTTTGTATTTTCTGTGTGTTGAAATTCTCACTTTATCCATTAATTGTTCTCCTTACCCTGGTGAGCATCTTTATAATAGTTATTCTAATTTTTTTCAGGCAAATCATATACCTCCATTTCATTAAGGTCAATTTTTGGAAATTTATTTTTTTCCATTGTATGGGAAATATTACCGTTTCTTCATTTTCCTTGACTCTCTGTGTTGTCTGCACATTAGATAAAACAGCGACCTCTCCCAATATTCACAGACTAGTCTCATACAAAAGACCCTTATAATCAGCCCAAGCAGAGATTTTCGGAGCCTCTTGGACCTTTGTGTTAGTCCAACCTGTTTTCTTGGTTTTAAGCAGTCCCTAGGCATCTAGAATATACTGTGTCCCATCAGTGCTCTGAGAACAAGCAAGACATAAGCCAGTTCCTCAGGCCACCTCCAGAAAAGTTGAATCATTGGATTCCCTGTCTAACTGTTTTTTTTTTCCCTATCCCCAGGGAGAAACTGACATTTGGGTTTTGTGTGTGTGTGTTTTATTGTTGTTGTTTTGTTTTGGTTTTTAGCTATTTGGTCTGCATCAAGCTGGAGAGAAAGCTGTGGCGACTAGCTGCATATTAGATCAAATTGTCATCTCTGTTCTCACTTACTTGTGGGTGGCTAGATGATGCAGGTGCATCAGCACTCTGAGACAGGCTAGACAGAAGCCCGTCCTCCAGGTATCTCCCAGCAAAGTGGGGTTCTGGATGCATAGTCCATCTTTTTCCCTCCCCAAGGAAAATCTGGGAGCTGGGGGTTTCCTTGCAATTACAAGGCACAGTGCCAAGGGCAGGGATTATGGCAAGAGGGTGTCTTAAATTTCCCTACTGACTTTGATGTGGGTAGTTTTGTGCTCACCTAGGGTGCAGAAGCCTCTCAGCTAGTTTCTGCATTCTGGACTTCACAGGAAATTTGTCCATGCTTTGTTGCTGAATTGGTGAGATCACAGGGTGGAAGGAAGGTCCAGGGCTTCCTATTCTGTCTTCTTGCTCAGGAAAGACTCATGTGAATAGTGCTTTTAAAATCCTATTAAATTCTATCTCTGAAATCAGGAAAACAGCCCTGCTTATTTATGTTCAGAAGTTTTATTCTCTTGACTTTTATATTTAAATCTATAATCTACTACAATTGGGTGTTGTGTGAAGTAGAGGACAAGTTTTCTTTTCTTCTCATAAGAGCATCCAATTACTCCAACACTATTCATTCACAGGACTATGTTTCCTCACTGCTCCACCTGCCATGCTTGTCACCAACCTAATGTGTATATATGCTTGGCTTTGTTCTAGACTCTAATCAGTTTCACTGACTTTTATTGTACCCTTGTTTCAATACCACTATCCTTCTCATTGTAGCTTTCTAATAAACATTGATAACCAGTGAAGCAAGTTCTTCAAACTTCTTCTTTTTATTCAGAAGTGCATTAGCCATTTCTGGTCATCTACATATTATATACATTTTAGGATCAGGTTGTAAGTTTTCACAAAAAATAAAAACCATTGAAATTCTGATAAGGAGTTGCATTGACTCTGCAGATCAGTTTATGGATAATTGTCTTGTTTCCAATACAGAGTCTTCTAAGCCATAAATGTAGATATGCTGACCTTTATTTAGGTCTCTTTTAATTTCTCTCATTAATGGTTTATAGTTAACTCTATAGAATAATACTCATCTTTTACTAGATTTTTCTTAGACATTTAATGTTTTTGATGCTAGTGAAAATAGTGTCTTTCAAGTTTTATTTTTATATCATACATTAACTTTTTCCATTGATGTATCATGCATGACCTTCCATAAATTTTAGACACATGTATATATTTGTGTAGCTATCAACATAATCAGGACACACAATAGTTCTATCACCCCCTGCCCAAAACTCCCTTCTGCTAGCCTTTTGTCATTGCCCCTTCCCTACCCATAACTGCTGCCAACCACTGATCACTTCTCCATCCTTCTACTTTTCTGTGTGTGACTGGATTCTTTTCGTTGGGAGGGAGTAGAATATACATGGAATACTATAGTATCAACCTTTGGTGTGTGGCTTCATTCCCTAGCATAATGCCTCTGAGATTTGTCCAAGTTGTTACATATATTAAAAGTTCATTATTTTTTATAAATATTATGCCACTGTTCAGATGTGTCACCGTTTGTTTATCCATCCATCACATTAAGGACATTTGGGTGGTATTCAGGTTTTAGCACTTATTAGTAAAGCTGCTGTAAATATTAATGTACAGGTTTTTATGTGGAAATAAATTTTTCATCTCTCTAGGCTGAATATCCAGAAATGGACCACTGGGTTATATTTTAGAACAGATTAGCATTTATAAGAAACTGTCAAACTGTTTCCCACAGTGATTGTACAATTTTATATTTCAACCTGCAATTTACAAAATTTCAAGTTACTCCACATCTATTACTTTCCTTGCTCTTGTCAGCAATTTTTATTGAAGTTAAAATAGGTGTTTAGCACTATCACGTCATGGTTTTAATTTGCATTTCCCTAACAGCTAAGAATGTTAAACATCTTTTAATGTGCCTATTTGTCATCCTTATATCCTCTTTGGTGAAGTGTTTGTTCATGCCTTTTACCAAGTTTTTTGTTTAAGGTATTTAAGTCAAAGTTCATTTTTTATATGTAGATGTCTAGTTCTTTTTCAAAACTGATTTGCATAGGCTAGTCCCTCTGCCTTTCCAAATACATTGTGAAATACCTTACCCATATCTACAAAAATTCTGCTAAGGTTTAAATTGGTAAATATATATATATACAAACACACACACACACACACATATATAAAACACAGAATTCATATACATATGTATGTGTACGTGTATATGTGTGTTTATATATAAATATATGTTTACATTATGTTTCTATACAAACATCTATGTTTACATTATATGTGTTTCTATATAAACATCTGTTTACATTATATGTGTTTCTATATAAACATCTATGTTTACATTATATGTTTCTATATAAACATCTGTGTTTACATTATATTTCTATATAAACATGTTTACATTATATGTGTTTCTATATAAACATATGTTTACATTATGTTTCTATATAAACATATATTTTTACATTATATGTGTTTTCATATAAACATGTTTACATTATGTGTTTTCATATAAACATGTTTACATTATATGTGTTTTCATATAAACATATGTTTACATTCTGTTTTCATATAAACATGTTTAAATTCTGTTTTTATAAAAACATATATGTTTACATTCTGTGTTTTTATATAAACGTATGTTTACACTATATGTGTTTTTATATAAACGTATGTTTACATTGTGTTTTATATATAAACGTATGTTTACATTATATGTTTACATATAAACGTATGTTTACATTATGTTTACATATAAACGTATGTTTACATTATATGTTTATACATAAGCGTATGTTTACATTATATGTTTATACATAAGCGTATGTTTACATTATATGTTTATATATAAGCGTATGTTTACATTATGTTTATATATAAATGTATGTTTACATTATGTTTATATAAACATGTATGTTTACATTATATATGTTTATATAAACATGTATGTTTACATTATGTTTATATAAAACATGTATGTTTACATTATATGTTTATATATAAACATGTATGTTTGCATATGTTTATATAAACAGGTATGTTTACATTACATGTTTATATATGTTTATATTATATGTTTATATATAAACAAATGTTTATATGTTTATATATAAACGTATGTTTATATTATGTTTATATATAAACGTATGTTTATATATGTTTATATGATGTTTATATATAAACGTATGTTTATATTATGTTTATATATAAACGTATGTTTATATATGTTTGGATATATAAACATGTTTATATATGTTTGGATATATAAACATGTTTATATATGTTTGGATATATAAACATATATGTTTATATATGTTTGGATGTATAAACATATATGTTTATATATGTTTGGATGTATAAACATATATGTTTATATATGTTTGGATGTATAAACATATATGTTTATATATGTTTATATTATATACATTTACATATAAACATGTTTATTTTATATATACGTTTATTATAAACGTATATGTTTATTTTATATATGTTTATATATAAACATGTTTATTTTACATATATGTTTATATACAAGCATATGTTTATATATAAACATGTTTATTTTATATATATTTTATATATAAACATATACATTTATATATATTTATATATAAACATGTTTATTTTATATATGTTTATGTTTATTTTATATATGTTTATGTTTATTTTATATATATGTTTATATATAAACATATGTTTATTTTATATGTTTATATATAAACCTATGATTATATATTTATATATAAACCTATAGGTTTATATATAAATATATAAACATAAACCTATGTTTATATATAAATATATAAACCTATAAACCTATGTTTATATATAAATATATAAACCTATAAACCTATGTTTATATATAAATATATAAACCTATAAACCTGTTTATATATAAATATATAAACCTATAAACCTATGTTTATATATAAATATATAAACCTATAAACCTATGTTTATATATAAATATATAAACCTATAAACCTATGTTTATATATAAATATATAAACCTATATGTTTATATATAAATATATAAACCTATATGTTTATATATAAATATATAAACCTATATGGTTATATATAAATATATAAACCTATATGGTTATATATAAACATATATAAACCTATGGTTATATATAAACATATATAAACCTATGGTTATATATAAACATATATAAACCTATGGTTATATATAAACATATAATATGAACATGGTTATATATAAACATATAATATAAACATGGTTATATATAAACATGTTTGTATTATAATATAAACATGTTTATATATTATGTATAAACATGTTTTTATATGTTTATATATGTATAAACATGTTTATATTATGTTTATATATAAACATGTTTATATTATATGTTTATATATAAACATGTTTATATTATACATGTTTATATATAAACATGTTTATTTTATACATGTTTATATATAAACATGTTTATACATGTTTATATATAAACATGTTTATATTATATATGTTTATATATAAACATGTTTATATTATATATGTTTATATATAAACATGTTTATATTGTATGTTTATATATAAACATGTTTATATTGTATGTTTATATATAAACATGTTTATATTGTATGTTTATATATAAACATGTTTATATTGTATGTTTATATATAAACATGTTTATATTGTATGTTTATATATAAACATGTTTATATTGTATGTTTATATATAAACATGTTTATATTGTATATGTTTATATATAAACATGTTTATATTGTATATGTTTATATATAAACATGTTCATATATATGTTTATATATAAACATGTTCATATATATGTTTATATATAAATATATGTTTATATTATATATGTTTATATATAAACATATGTTTATATTATATGTTTATATATAAACATATATGTTTATATTATATATGTTTATATTATATGTTTATGTTTATATTATATATGTTTATATATAGACATATGTTTATATTATATATATGTTTATATATAGACATGTTTATGTTTATATGTAGACATATGTTCGTATTATATGTTTACATGTAGACATGTTTATATTATATATATGTTTACATGTAGACATGTTTATATTATATATATGTTTATATGTAGACATGTTTATATTTTATGTTTATATATAGACATGTTTATATTATATATATGTTTATATATAGACATGTTTATGTTATATATGTTTACATATAGACATGTTTATATTATGTTTATATATAGAACATATGTTTATATTACATATGTTTATATTATAAATATGTTTATATTATATGTTTATATATAAACATATAGGTTTATATTATATATGTTTATATATAAACATATAGGTTTATATTATATATGTTTATATATAAACATATAGGTTTATATTATATGTTTATATATAAACATATAGGTTTATATTATATATGTTTATATATAAACATATAGGTTTATATTATATATGTTTATATATAAACATATAGGTTTATATTATATATGTTTATATATAAACATATAGGTTTATATTATATATGTTTATATATAAACATATAGGTTTATATTATATATGTTTATATATAAACATATAGGTTTATATTATATATGTTTATATATAAACATATAGGTTTATATTATATATGTTTATATATAAACATATAGGTTTATATTATATATGTTTATATATAAACATATAGGTTTATATTATATATGTTTATATATAAACATATAGGTTTATATTATATATGTTTATATATAAACATATAGGTTTATATTATATATGTTTATATATAAACATATAGGTTTATATTATATATGTTTATATATAAACATATAGGTTTATATTATATATATGTTTATATATAAACATGTAGGTTTATATTATATATATGTTTATATATAAACACGTAGGTTTATATTATGTTTATATATAAACATAGGTTTATATTATATATATGTTTATATATGTTTATATATATATAAAAAACACACAGACCACACACACACAATCCATATATAAATTTATGGAGAATTTACATGTTGACATGTTTACCACGTTGGGTCTTCTATTCCTTGAAGACAGTATGACTCTCTATTTCTTTATTTTTCAAATATCTTTTATTAGAGTTTTAGTTTCCTATAAACTTACACTGTACACATTTTGTTACATTTATACCTAAATATTTCAATTCTGGAGTTATTTTAAATGATGTTTTAAAATTTTTCTGTTTTCCAGTCTGCGTTCTACTGTATAGAAATATACTTGATTAGAGTACCAAAATAATTCAATGGAGAAAAATCGTCTCTTCAACTAATGATGCAGAGACATTGGAATGATACTGGACTGTTGCCTTACACCATATGGAAAGTTAACTCAAAATGTATTAAAAACCTAAAAGTCAGAGATAGTACTATAAAATTCTCATAGTTGTGACACCTAAAGTAAAGCCACCAAAGGAAGAAATAGATAAATTAGGCTTTACGAAAATTCTAACTTTTGGTGTATCAAAGGATATACAATAAGTGAAATAACCCACAGAATGGGAGAAAAAAATGCAAATCATACACCTTGTCAGGTTCCAGTATCCATAATATCAGAATATGTAAAGAACTCTTTCAACTTGTGGTAGACAGAATAATAGTCCCTAAAGATGTCTGTGTCCTAATCCCTGGAATCTGAATACATTATATCACTTGGCAAATAGTACTTTGGATATCATTAAGTTGAAGACCATGAGATGGGAAGATTACCTTGAATTATCTGGGTGGGCCCAATGTAATCACTGAGGCCCATGTAAGAGAAAAACAGTAAGATCAGAGGCAGAGAAGGAGATTTTACAATGAAAGCAGAGGTCAGAGTCATGCAGTCATGGATGGGGGAATGTGGGTGGCTTTAAGAGGCAGAAAATGCCTAGGAATGAATTCTCTCTTTGAGCCTCCAGAACCTCTTCAAGCATCCATTCTAGAACGAATTCTGCTCCACTGACACACTGACTTGAGTCTAGTAAGACCCATTTTGAACTTATGACCTTCACAACTATAAGATAATAAATTGATTTTTTTAAAAAAATAAATATACCTGATTAATAATGAGTGCTGATCTTGTATCCTGTGATTTACTAACTTCATTTATTAGTTTTGGGAGACTTTTTGTAGATTTCTTGTGATTTTTATATAAAGTGTCATATCTTCCACAAATGGCACTTTCATGTCTTCCTCTCCAATTTGTACACTTTTTATTTTCTTCTTGCCTTTTCCACTGACCAGATCTTCTACTAGGTTAACAGGAATGTTGAGTTTGCCACTAAGCTTAAGAGAAAAGCTTTCAATGCTGCACAATTAAGTATATTCTTAGCTATAAGATTTTCCTAGATGTGAATTTTTGAGGATGTTCCGTTCTACTCTAGTTTGCTGCGAGTTTTTATCATGAATAGATGATGTATTTTGTCAAATGTTTTTTCTGTTTAAATTTCTATGACCGCGCAGCTTTCCTTCTTTAGGTTATTAATATGGTCAATTACATTAATTATTTTCAGAGTACTGAACTAGTCTTGTATTCCTAGTTTAAATTCCACTTGGTGCTTTGTATTATGCTTTTTATATATTGCTGGAATCACTTTGTTAATATAGTTTGTATTTGTGTGTATATACATATATACACACACACACACACAAATAGATATATGTATATACATAGATGTGTGTGTATATATATATATACACACACGGATATATATATAGTGGATATACATATCCACACACATGGATATATATATATACACATCCATGAAATATATTGTGTAGTTTTCTTTTTTCTTGTCAGATTTTGGTGTCAGGTTGATGCCAGCCTCATAAAATGAGTTGGGATACGTTTCCTTTTCTTCCATTTTCTAGAAAAGGTTCTATGGAATTAGTCTAATTTCTTTAAATATTTTATTCAATTAACCAGTGAAACCATATTTAGGCCTGGAAGTTTATTTTTCAGATTTTGGGGTAGGTTTTTAAAACATTTTTTTAAACTATGAAATCAATCACTTTAATGGTCATAAGACCATTCTTATGATCTATTTCATCTTGGGTAGGCTTTGATAGTTTGTGTTCCTGGAAGAATTGGTCCATTACATCTAAGTTGTTGAAGTTATTCCCATAGAGGTGTTTCTAGTACTCCCTTATTATCCTGGAAGGCCTTGTAGTCCCATTTCTTTTCAATTCCTGATATTGGTAATTTGTGTCTTTTTTTTTTTTAACTTTGTCAGTCTTGAATGCATTTACAAATATTTTCACAGAATTAGATTTGATTTCACTAATTTCATCTACTGTTCTTGGTTTTCAATTTCATTGATTTTTACTTTATTATTTCCTTAATTTGGCTTGATTTGAGTCTGTTTTACTCTTTGCTTTCCAGTTCTAAAGGTGGAAGCTTAGGTTAGTGATCTGAGGTCTTTCTTCTTTTCTAATATAAGCACTTAATACTATAAATTTCTCTCTAAGCAGTCTTTTAGCTGAGTTCTACAATCTTCATTATGCCATATTTTTTATTTTTACTCATTTCAAAATATTTTCTAATTTCCCTTGAGACTTCCTCTTTGGTCCACGGCATATTTAAAGGTATGTTGTTTAATTTCCATGGGTTTCGATATTTTTCTGTTGTGTTTCTGATATTGATTTCTAGTTTAATTGCATTATGATCTGAGATGATACTCTGAATAATTCCAAATGATTTAAACTTTGGAGTTTGTTTTATGACCCAGAATATATTTTTGTTATGAATGAACTATGGGCACTTGTGCCTTCTGCTGTTTTTAGGTAGAATGTTCTGTAAAATCAGTTAAATCTGGTTGGTTCATGGCACTGACTGATTTTTCTATATCTTTGTTGATTTTCTACCTAGTAGATTCATATATTACTGAGGTGTGGATGTTGAAGTCACCAACTTTAACTGTGGATATATCTATTTCTGTTTTCAGTTTTGTCTGGTTTTGCTTCATGTATGTTGCATCTCTGTTGTTTGATGCATATGTATTTAGAACTCGTATCTTCTTGGTAAATTTATCCTATTTCTCATTATGTAGTGTAACTGTCCCTGGTAATTTTCTATGCTCTGAAGTTTACTTTTCTGATAAAACAAGTCAACTCTTCACAATCTGCTTAGACTGAGTATTCTGCCACTTCATTTGGAATGTATAGCTAATATCTTATAGATTCCGTTACCCTCTCCACTTTATTCTATAGCTGTCTTATACATACATGGAGAATTCTATCAGACACTTTTATGTATTTTTTCCTTTTATATATCAAACATATTTTGAAGAATTTCAGTATAAAAGAATATCCTATTTTCTAATACATCTACCATTTCTCTCACTTTTCCTTCATTTCTGATGCTCCAAGTTTCCTTCTGGTATCATTCTTTCTGTTTTAACAGCTTCCTTGTGTAATTTTTAAGGATGGTCAGATTCCTAGTTTACCTTCATCTGAGAGTGCCTTTATCCCTGAAGGATATTCTTACTGAATGTAGAAGTCTAGATTGGCAGCTCTTTCCTCTCAGCACTTGAAAAATGCCATGCCTCTTCTTTCTGGCCTCCATGGTTTCTGATGAGAAAGCCACCATTATTGAATCACTGTTCCACTATAGGTTATGTGTCATTTTTATCTGACTGCTTTTATATTTTTTGTAAAAAATGTAATATGGAATCACCCTATTGAGGTTTGCTTAGCTTCTAAATCTTTAGGTTTTAGTCATCTACCAAAGTTTGGGAGTTTTCTTCTTTGTTTGTTTTTGTTTTGTTTTTAACTGTTTTATATTTTTAAATAAATTGTGATACATATGAAATAATATATACACACACACACTCACACACATATATATGTAACATTAAGTTATAAAGCATAATGATATAATGAACAATTAAGAACTCAAGCACCAGTATTTCTAACTTCCATTTACCTATGTTTTCCCTTGTGCCATTCCCCTTCTTCCCCTGACAGTTATTTTCCTGAATTATGCTTTTTTAGTAATAGGAAAAACTAGAAATAACCAAAGTGTTTCATTAGCAGGAAACCAGATAAACTGTAGTATATTCACAGATATTATTCAGCAGTGAAATAGAATAAACTATAGCTACAGTGATATGATAATATAGATAAACCCTAGAAACAAAATGTGACTTTAGAAAGCAAGTCCCAAGAAAACAACACACAGGTCAAAATAAAGCAAAACTAAATTATATATAGTCTGGGAGTTTTCAACTATAATTACCTCAATTTTCTTTAGCATCACATTCGCTTATCCTTCTTCGATGACAAGAACTTTAGATGTTGTCATTTTCCCTTAGGTTCCTCTACCTCTGTTCTTTTTTCTTCAATATTTTTCTCTCTGTTGTCACTTTTGATAATTGCTACTTATCCATCTTAAAGTTCACTTAACTTGATCATATGTCATATATGTCATCTCCATTCCCCCACTGATGTTATCCTACAAGTTTTTGTTTGTTTGTTTGTTTTTGAGATGGAGTTTCCCTCTTGTTGCCCAGGCTGGAGTACAGTGGTGCGATCTTGGCTTACCGCAACCTCCATCTCCCAGGTTCAAGCAATTCTCCTGCCTCAGTCTCCCCAGTAGCTGGGATTACAGGCGTGAGCCACCGTGCCCAGCATATCCTACAAGTTTTTGTAGTTATTTCTTATTTCTAAAATTTCCAGCTGCTTCTTTTCTTAATCTCAATTTCTTTGCTGATAACTTCTGTTTTTAACATTTGTTGAAATAATAATCCAGGTGTTTTTTTTTTTTTTTTTTTGCTTATTTATTTATTTATTTTGAGATGGAGTTTTGCTCTTGTTGCCCAGGCTGGAATGCAATGGCGTGATCTCGGCTCATTGCAACTTCCAACTCCCAGGTTCAAGCGATTCTCCTGCCTCAGCCTCTCAAGTAGCTGGGATTACAGGCATGCATCAGCACTAATTTTTGTATTTTTAGTAGAGATGGGGTTTCACCATGTTGGTCAGGCTGGTCTCCAACTCCTGACCTCAAGTGATCTGCCAGACTCGGCTTCCCAAAGTTCTGGGATTACAGGTGTGAGTGACCGTGCCTGGCCTGCATGTTTTTAAAAATACGTGCCTTCATTCTTTGTAAGATAATTCCAACATATACTTCATAATGGCATGGGTGTCTGTTGAGTCTGTTCTCATAGGAGTTGAAATGTCCATGGGTCTCCATATGCCAAGTAATTTTGGATTGTATTCTTCACATTTTAAATGTTAACATCATAAGACTGTTTTTCTTAAATTCTGTAGAAAATGTTGATATTTTCGTTTTCAGCCAACAACTAACTGATCTGGTTCACACTGCAGGTTCAATGGTGTTCTGTGGTTCCAATAGAAGCTGTATGTAAGAGTTTGAAAGATTTGTGTGCTCCTCAGATTTATTCCACATGTTTCTGGAACCTAGGCAGCTGTCTATCAATGTTAGCTCTCAAAGTCTTTGATATGCTAAGTATAACTAGATCTAGACATACACAAGCCAAGACAAACCTGGAATATATAAACAATTTTTATGGAGTCATTTTCTTGACCTCTTTTCTTTCTGCAAGCTACCTAGTACTTTTTTATTCTCTGGCATGTGTTTTTTGGGCCTCTGGCTAGAAACTTGGGGCTCTGGTTACCCCCTCTCTGTCACACACTCCCATATCCTTTCTCAAGTGAGGAAAGACGCAGAGAGAAAAGCCAGCATGCAGTCCTAGGAATGCAGCCCCACTTACTGGATAGGAGGTCCCTCTGTCTCAGAGTTTCGTGTTTCTGGGCTCCAGATGCAGCAACAGCCATCACCTGAGTGGAATTGATTCCCTGGGGACTCAACTTTGAGAGAATGGAGGAAATGGGAGATTTAAACATCCTCTAAGGATTAGGAGTGTTCGGTTCCAACTCCCCATCCAGAACTAGAGGGCTTACATTAGAACTCTCACTGCTTGCAAAACAGTGCCAACTTTCAGATTTCAAGTTGTGTTGAGTTCAAATCAAGAAGTAATGAAGGAGAAATAATGTAAATTCATTGATGATTTGGCAGTACTTCAATTTCTGGTGTTCTTCAGCAATCCACCTATTGTTTTATTTTTAGTGTCTTCAAATAGCTTTTCCAGGCATTATGGCCATGGGCCATGGTGTTTTTTTGTTTGTTTTTGTTTTTGTTTTTTCTGAGATGGAGTTTTGCTCTTGTTGCCCAAGGTGGAATGCAGTGGTGCAATCTTGACTCACTGCAACCATTGCCTCCTAGGTTCAAGTGATTCTCCTACCTCAGCCTCCTGAGTAACTGGGATTACAGGCACCTGCCACCACACCCAGCTAGTTTTTGTATTTTCAGTAAAGAAGGGGTTTCACCATGTTGAACAGACTGGTCTCGAACCCCTGACCTCAGGTGATCCATCTGCCTTGGCCTCTCAAAGTGCGGGGATTACAGATGTGAGCCACCATGTGGCCATGTTTTATGTCTTACACAATGGGAGATAAAAATGAAGCATTTTTTGTTGTTGTTGTTCATTTAACCCAGAACAGGAACTTATTTTTTGCTGCTGGATAAAAAACATTGATCTTGAACATATTAATTATATGGTCAGGAACCTGACCCCTGTTGGGGGGTGGGGGGCTAGGGGCGGGATAGCATTAGGAGAAATACCTAATGTAGATGACAGGTTGATGGGTGCAGCAAACCACCATGGCACATATATACTTATGTAACAAACCTGCACATTCTGCAGATGTACCCCAGAACTTAAGGTATAATTAAGAAAAATAAAGGATTGGAAATATAAAAAAAAAATTAAACTTAAAAATTAAGCTTAAAATTGAGTCATGCAAGAAGCTACCTTTCCGTTTGTTTCTAAGCAAGTACCTACAAATAAAAGGTTAAATATCCCCACAGTTAGCCATGCTATGCTCACCTTATCTTATGTAACGTGCTGATTTACTGAGTACCCAACGAATACATAATTGACTATTCCCCTACCTGCTCCTTTTCTCTTGCGACATATGGATTACTACAACCTCCCTCTTTCCCCTCCAGCCCACTTTTCCTTTTCAAATGCTGAAGCCCTCAAAATCATCTTTGGAGAAAGGCATAAACCTTTCTCCCAGGCACGTCCTTGATTTTGGCAAAATAAACTTCTAAACTGATTGAGACCTGCTTCAGATACTCTCTGGTTTACACATGGTATATCTTTCTTCATCCTTTACTTTCAGCCTAGATTCCTGAATCTAATGTGTGCCTGCTACAGACAACATCTTAGAGGGTCTTTTTATTTTTATTCAGTCTGATAATCTCTGCCTTTGACTGGATTGTTTAATTCATTCACATTTGTTATTCATAGGGTTCAATATACATCTACCATTTGCTTTTTACATCATTCGTATGTTTTTATTCTTTTGCTCCTTTACTTACTTCTTTTGGATTAAGTGGATATTTTCTGATGTAACGTTTGAGGATCTATAATGATTTTTAATTTATTAAAAAAATTATATTATTAGTAGTTGTTTTGGGATTTCAATATACATGTTACCCTTTAA
Source organism: Homo sapiens (assembly GCF_000001405.40). NCBI lineage: Eukaryota > Metazoa > Chordata > Mammalia > Primates > Hominidae > Homo > Homo sapiens. The sequence continues at coordinate 27,297,920 of NC_000015.10, read as the reverse complement.
AATATATTTTAAATTTATTCCAATTTATTCAAGTGGAATATAGAACTTTACTCCTATATAACACTATTCTCCCTCCCCAATTTTCTGTGCTATTATTGTTATAGTATAAAACTTACATATGTTACAAACTCAACACATTGTTACAATTATTATTTTATATAATCTATGTTTTTAAATCTCTGAAAGAAGAAAGGAAAGCAACTATATAGTCATACATTGCTTAACATTCTAAGAAATGCATTGTTCAAATCTGTTGTTGTGTGAACATCATAGAGTGTACTTACACAAACATAGAATGGTATAGCCTTCTACAAACCTAGGTTATGTGGTATAGCCTGTTGCTCCTAGCTTACAAACTTGCATTGCATGTTCCTGTCCTGAATATTCTAAGGAATTGTAACACAATGTTAAGTATTTGTATATGTAAACATAAAAAATGTATGGTAAAAATATAGTATAAAAGATAAAAAATGCTACACCTGTATAGGTCATTTACCACAAATGGTGCTTGCAGAACTGGAAGTAGCCCTGGGTGAGTCAGTGAATGAATGCTGAGTGAATGTGAAGGCCAAGACATCCCAGTACGCTACTGTAGACTTTAGAAACACTGTACACTTAGAGGCTACACTAAATGTATAAAATATATTTTTATTTATTCAATAATTAACCTTAGCTAATTGTAACACTTTTACTTTATAAACTTTCTTTTGACTTTTTGACTCTTTTGTTATATCTAGCTTAAAATGCAAACATATGTACTACTATACAAAAACGATTTATTTCTCTACATCCTTATTCTATAAGCTTTCTTTTATTTTAAAATTTTTAAATCTTTTTTACCTTTTAAACTTGTTTGTTAAAAACTAAGACACAAACACATACATTAGCCTAGGCCTACACAGGGTCAGGATTTTCCATATCACTGTCTTCCAACTCCACACCTTGTCCCACTGGAAGGTTTTCAGGGGCAATAGCACACATGGAGCCGTCATCTCCTACGATAACAGCGCCTTCTTCTGGATACCTGGACCTGCCTGAGACTGTCTTATAATGAAATTAAAAAAAAAAAAAAGTAGAAGGAGTACATTTTACAAAAAAGATAAAAAGTATAGTAAAGCAAATACATAAACTAGTAACATAGTCATTTATTATTATTATGAAGTCTCAGGTACTGTGCATAATTGCCCGAGCTATACTTTTATAGCAGTGCAGTAGGTTTGTTTGCACCAGCATCACCACCAACACCGTGTAATGCTTTGAGCTACAACATTACAATGACTATGCTATCACTAGGCGATAGGAATTTTTCATTTCCATTATAATCTTATGGGACCACCGTCACATATGTGGTCCACTGTTGACTGAAACATCATTATGTAGCACATCATTATGTAGCACATGACTATTTATACGTATAGAATTTATTATATTAACCATCTTGCTTACCATTTCTGATTCTTTTCATTTATTCCTATGGAATAAATGAAAGTTACTCAAGTTAGCACCCAGTGTCAATAATCCTACTCAAATACAGTTGTTCCCAGCCACTTCCTTGTCTTATTGTATATGACATTTCTATATGTTATAACCATAACACAATTCTACACATATTGTTTATGCAACTTCTTTTTCAGTCAGTTAAAAGAAAAAGAAATATGCAAGTATCCTGTATTTCATAATTACATAATCACATTACTCATGCCTTTGCCTTTTTCATGTGGATTTAAATTACTGTCTAGGGTCACTTGCTTTCAGCCTGAAGAATGTCCTTTAGTATTTCTCATAAGGCAGGTCTTCAAGTCAGGTGCAGCTGAGAGGACAGAGGCTCCTTCTCCACCCAGGTCCTGCTCACCAAGGGCAAGAGCTCTACTCCTGGCACGGAAGACCAAGAATGAGGGCCCCACTGACCCCTGCCACAATTCACTTGTAGGACGAAGGTTCCACACCAGGAAAGGCAAGGCTAGAAGATCAAGGGCTACCATTTCCCCCATTGCCAGCTCATAGAGCAGAGAGAGGCATTCTGGGAAAAGCAGAATGCTACTGTCCCCACCCCAGCTCCTTTGAAGTGGCCTAGATCACACTTACCCTTTCCCCCTTTTAGGAGTGGGACTCAGGGTGCATCTATTTCTATTCCACTTTTACTCCTTGGCTGTAGACTCTGAGAGTTACAACCTGAAGTTTGCAGACTTTACCAGACCCCCTCTGGGAGGGGCTTGCACTCTAATTTTTGTCCCCCATGCCTGTAGGCCTGCCTAGAACTTCTGCTGAGAGTCTCCGCATATTGTTAACAGCTTATTTTCAAAGTCTGAAGATGCTCTTAAAATAGCATGGCCCTAACTGCCTGGCTACCCATGGTGAATTTTTTTTATCACTTGAATCTTTGTTCCAAAAGTTTTCACAGCCATCTCTCATCTCAAGCAGGATTTTGACAGTTTGTCCAGCCCTTGTGGTTACCTTCACTGGGTCCCTTGTTCTGATCTCCCTCGTTCGCCATTATCAGAAGCAGAAGCCCAGCCCGTGCTTTTGAAATGGTTACAGGAGAGTTGAGGTCTAGCAAATCTTAAAATCTAAAGACAGTTAAATAAGGCTTTACACCAATTAAAGTGAGAGAAGTAGGAAGATGCAAGGCAACCATGTACTTTCCCACTCCAAGCTGGAGTACCATTCTAACATTAAGAACTGGAAAGGAAGGCGAAATAATAAAATTTAATTTTAAAACTTACTCTGCCTCACTTTGGGTGAAAATCCAGCAGTGACTTTTGATGGGTTTCTCTTTAGGGACACTTTGCTTTCAGATTAGTTCTAGAAAGCTTCTTCTTTCATTCACCATGAATGGAACTCTTTTCCCCCAGAATTTTCTCAAGATTGGGTGAACTGATGCCCCGGAATCTGACCAGTGCTTCATTTGTCCTTCGAGAATTGCACCTGGCCAGGTCTCCTTCCTCTTTGGCCAGCTATTCTGACCATTCTGGGTTCTGACGAGGGCGCGCTGAGGGTGTGTCTTCTCCATTCCGGAATAAATTCTGTTGCACCTTTTCTTCTTACAAACATCCAGATCAGGGTGTAGGAGGCCTAGAATAGCGGTTGGCAAATTGGGACTGGTTTCTGAAAGATTCTACAGACAACAGTCAGAAGTGAGAGGGGTCACTGAAAAGAATGCGCCCCTGGTTTACAGACGTGATTCTCAGAATGACCTGAGGGCGTGTTAAGACAGGCTGCTGTGCCTCACCCTCCACAGTGCTAGATTATGGAAGTCCCAGCTACAGCCTGAGAATCTGCTTTCTAACAAGCTTCCTGGTAATTCCAGTGCTGCTGAGTCCAAAGACAACCCCGTAAGAACCACTGCACTGGAACAAATGAGCAAGAAATGACATTGGTGAACCATTGTCCAAGACTGGGAAAAGAGGCCAGGTGTGGTGGCTCACATCTGTAATCCCAGCAGTTTGGGAGGCTGATGCAGGAGGATCCCTTGACCCAAGAGCTTGAGACCAGCCTGGGCAACATGGCTAAATGCTGTCTCACCCAAAAATACAAAAATTAGCTGGGCGTGGTGGTGCACACCTGTGGTCCCAGCTACTTGGGAAGATGAGATGGCAGGATTGCTTGAGCCCAGGAGGCAGAGGCTGCAGTGAGCCATGATGGAGCCACTTTACTCCAGCCTGGGTGAGAGCTTGTCTCAAAAAAAAAAAAAAAAAAAGGAAAAAGAAAAGAAAAGGTAGCAGGATACAGAGATTACAGATGACAGGGATCTGGGCTCTTGCCTGGACTTGCTGCAATCTGGGCATGTGATATTTGTCCTCTCCCTTCTTACTGGAATGCTCTTCCCAGAATATTGGGATGGCTAACTCCCTCAAGTGTTTCATACTTAATGGAGCCAATTCTGATATCCTAATTTGAATCACAATCCCACCTTTCCGCTCTAAATTCTGCTTATTTTGTTTTACCATTTGTCACATGCACAGACATACCTTATACTTTTCTTATTTATAATCTTTACTTTTTATGGCCTATGATTTCCCTTGAGAATGTAGCTCCCTGGACATAGGGATTCCTGTCTGTTTAGATCACTGATGTGTATTTCCCAAGAATGGAAAGTAGTATCTGGCCTGTAGTAGATAATCAATAAATATGTGCACAAATGAATACCTCTTAACATTTCATTTGCAAGTTGAATATGCATAATCCCTAAAGTGCCTTCCAGCTCTCCAGTTTTGTTCTGTTTTTTTTTTTGTTTGTTTTTTTTGAGACAGAATCTCACTCTGTTGCCCAGGCTGGAGTACAGTGGCATGATCCTGGCTCACTGCAACCTCTGTGCCTTCCAGGTTCAAGCAATTCTCTTGCTTCAGCCTCCCAAGTAGCTGGGATTACAGGCATACGCTACCACACCTGGCTAATTTTTTTTGTATTTTTAGTAGACAGGGTTTCGCCATGTTGGCCAGGCTGGTCTCCAACTCCTGGCCTCAAGTGATCCCTCAAAGTGCTGGGATTACAGGCGTGAGCCACCATGCCTGGCCCCAGCTCTCAATTCTTAACCTCTAATTGTTCTCTCTGCATTCCCCCCAGCATTTACTCCCAATAAACACAGCTGCATCAATTATATTTTTTCTTTTTTATCAGATCTTTGTTATATAATGTTGCAATTCCATTCAGATTCCCTCCATTAATTCTAAATCTAATTCTATTTATATCACTTCTCCAATTTCTACTTACTCTACATCTCACACTCATCCACCATCATCTTTGGTAGAAACAAACTAAGGAAATTTCCTCTGAATTTCACAACAAACAAATTGCAACATTAGTAGTAGCAGTCAGTAATCCCTCAGCCTTTAAAGGTGTCAGGCATGCAAGTTCACGGCATCGCCCCAGGAACCTTCGTGGCATTTTCAATGAATGCAGTTTCCCTATCTTATGCTTTAAGCTATTAGTTCAGGATTAGGGCTTTCTATATATCTCCTCCTGTAATATTATTAATGACTAATATCAATATCGTTAGGTAGAGAAAAGTGTAGTCTACCCACGATCAGCAGATCTCCCAGTTGCTATGGAAATAGTCCTGATTTCTTTTCCTTTTGTCCTTTATCTGAAATCTCTTCTGTTTGCTGCTGTGATAGAAATAGTCTGCATCCTGGTAGCTATAGTAACAACTTCGGAAAAGTTGCTTTTCACATTGTTGCTTCTCCCCCATCTGTCTGCTCAGACACAGTCCTCATTTCAGCTAACTCAAGTGAATTATTATTATTTTTTGTTTTGTTTTGTTTTATGCTAATAGAGAAAGATGCCCATTATACTTTATTTGAATAGAGAAAGTTCCAGAAAAAAATTATGGTACAATTCTATTTTTGTATCATCTATAGTATGATTACATATATGTACATAATATGTGGTTATACATAATTAAAATAGAAAATTTCCAGAATGATACATAAAAACAAGTTGCTATATTCAGAATATCTGAATTAGGGGAAGGATTTTTTTTTCATTTTTTTTTTATCATACTTTAGGTTCTGGGGTACATGTGCAGAACATGCAGTTTTGTTACATAGGTATACACGTGCCATGGTGGTTTGCTGCACCCATCAACCTGTTGCCTATATTAGGTATTTCTCCTAATGCTATCCCTCCCCTAGCCCCCCACCCCCCGACAGGCCCTGGTGTGCGATGTTCCCCTCCCTGTGTCCATGTGCACTATTCACAATAGCAAAGACTTGAAACCAATCCAAATGCCCATCAATGATAGACTGGATAAAGAAAATGTGGCACATATACACCATGGAATACTATGCAGCATTAAAAAAGGATGAGTTCATGTCCTTTGCAGGGACATGGATGAAGCTGGAAACCATCATTCTCAGCAAACTAATACAAGAACAGAAAACCAAACACCACATGTTCTCACTCATAAGTGGGAGTTGAACAGTGGGTTATTATTTAGCAACAATTATGGGGAGGTAACCTGTTCTATCCTTGCATACAAATGTCCCAATGACACTTGCAGAGTCAGTTATGTGGAGAGGCACCGCCATACCCTTTCTCTCTCACACACATACATCTGATCAATACCCAAATTTATTGAACATAGAAGAAAAACACTAGGCTCTTCTCTCTATTGGAGAGCTGATCCAACAGTGTGTAGACACATATGTGTGTAGTCAAACCATGTGGGTTCACAGTTTCCACTCTGCCACTGAGGACGCAGATGTTTGTTCTTCAATTCACTTTAAAGAAGTTCAATGATTTTGACAAAATTTGGAACATGAACTCTAAAAAGACAAGATACTCATTTTCTTTAAACTGTTTTCATTAAATAAGAAACTTGTGAAGTGGACTGTATAGTTCAGCTTTTCATCTTGAAATTAAATAGAAACTACTGTTTTAAAATAAGCACATCTGCTGCCACTTTGATGGATTTTGGTGGGACTCAGTTATATGGGGAGTGATCATAGATGGGAATGATTATAATGATTAATGTTTAGCACAAAAGCCAAGGTTACGCTAATATTTCATCCAAGCACAGGGCAGATATTAACATACAAAGCATGATGACTCAAGAACAACCTACAGTGAATTTAAAATAACATTCTTAAAATATAAGTGATATCTAAAGTTACATAGAAAGCCATATTTATCCCCAAATCCAAAGCCATTAACCATTGATCTACTTTCATAAGTATGAGTTATGTCTAACTTTAGAATACTCAGTTATGAAATGTTGCTGAACATCTTGGAAATGTTTAGTACAAGCAACTTGGCAAAGAATTCACACACACTCCTTGTATAAAATTATCTGTGAATATGATCGTTTCTATAATTACTGAAAGAGGTGTTACAAGAAAATATGAGCACTTCCGTTGTTATTGGGGCACTTATAATTCATTGTACAATTCAGTAAACTCCAAATGCATTTTCCATGACTTATTATTTATTTTCTTAATATTAAACAAACTTTTATAAGAGTTTTAGATTTACAGAAAAATTGCAGTGGTGCTAAACAGTTAAATATTCCACACCTACTTTTTCGTATTATTGACATATTACATTAGTATGGTATATGTGTTACAATTGATGGGCCAGTATTTTTACACTAGTATGATTAACTACAGTGTATACTTTATTCAGATTTCCTTAGTTTTTCCCTAATATTGTTTTCACTTTTGGATTTCGCCCAGGACACCAGATCACATTTAGCCATCATGTCCCCCTTAGGCTCCTCTTGGTTGTGACAGTTTCTTAGATTTTCTTTGTTCTTGATGACCTTGACAGTTTTGAGGGGTACTAGTCAGGACTTTTGTAGAATGTCCTTAAACTGTGATCTTTCTGTTGTTTCCCTAGTGATTAGATTGGTGTTATGGTCCTGGGGGGATACACAGAGGTGCAGTGGTGCTCTCATCGTATCATAGCAAGAGTACAAGTGGTCACCATGATTTAGCCCTGCTGATGTCACCCTTGATCATCTGGATAAGATCATATTTGCCAGCTTTCTCCACTGTAAAGTCACTTTCTTGCCCCTTTCACATATTCCATTCTTTAAAAGAAAATCATTTTACTGAGCCCACACTCAATTGTGTGTGTGGATGGGGCAGTTAAGCTCTATCTCGTAGCAGGAAATACCTACATAAATCATTTGAAATTTTTCTGTATATAAGATTTGCTTCTTCTAATGTCTTATTCAATCTTTTATTTATATCTGTTCGTCAATATTTATTTTATATTTTGGCTTATAATCCAATATTACTTTATGTATTTTATGGCTGAAAATCTTCAAGCTTTTTGAAGGGAGGTCTCTCAGCTGGCTCCGACATACCTCCATCAGTGCATTTTCTGTTTTGTTTTGTTTTAGCATGTCCTTGCTTTCTGGCACTAGAAGGTATTGAAGAGTCTTCTGATATATTTCCTTCTCCAGTGACAGAATCAGCTCTTTCTCCAAGGGGCTCTGGTTCCTTTTATTAGAGATTGGGATTATAAAACAATATCTGGGTACTAGGTATGCTTGTTACCACTGGAGTCTCATTATCCCCGGCCAAAACAAGGAAATGATGTGTGTGTATTAGTCCACGTATATACACATATCTATAAATATTTCTATACGTAATCATCTATATCTATATTAGGCTACATGTGGGCTCATACTGATGTCTCCAACTATAAATCATTAACACATACATAATTCCAGCCTCCTCCCCTTGTTTATCTGTAAACTCTCATTCCAACTGTGGGAAACCCAGATCCCACCATCTTCCATTCATTCACTTAATTCTTGTATACTGTACAGTGGTATCAGAATTGTTAGACCATAGCTCCATGGATACAACTTGATCAATTAGAGCACAGTGCTTATGTACAGTCCTAGATTCTTTGTCTTGAGTCTTACAGATGCCACTCATTTGCAGATAGCTAGGACAGCAGGTTTTCCCCTGCCCCCATCACTGAGATTGTTTCATTTGTAAATAGTTAAGATTATTTTGTCATATTCCACATTCATTATAGGGCAACTTAACAGAATAATATAGATGACAAGGTAAAGTGCCAGAAACTCAAAGACAGATCATCCAGTTTGAAGAATAAAAAAATAAAAATAAAAATATACAGAGGCTTAGGGACTTGTTAGATTTAAACATTTGTGTAACTGGATTCTCAGAAAAAAAAAAGAGTAGAGGCATAGAATGGGCGGAAAGCAATTGAAGAAATAATGTACAAATACAAACCTAAATGGATCAAGGAAAAAAGTTACAGATTTAAGATGCACAGGAAACCTAAGCAAGACAAATATGAAGAAGATCTTGTCTAGGTATATCATAATCAAACAGGTGAAAACCACAGATAAAATCTCAAACACAGTAACAAATAAAAGACATTATATATATACAGAGGAGTAATGATTTCACTGAATACTGATTTCACCTCAAAGTTATGGAAGAAGATGTTGGAACATTTTTCAAGTGCAGAAAGAAAACTCTTAACCAAGAATTCTATACGCAGTGAATACATCCTTCTAAAGTTAGTGTAAAACAAAGGCCTTTCAGAGAAGACAACTAAAAGAATTCATTGCCAAGAGACTTGCACTACAGGAAATGATGAAGGTTCTTCAGGCTCAAGGAAAATCACATTATGTGGAAATTTGGACGAGCTTCAGAACTGGTACATAACTGGATAAATAAGACCATTAATATTTTAACTTTTTCCTCTTATTTTTTTTTTTTTTTCTGTGAGACGGAGTTTTGCTCTTGTTGCCCAGGCTGGAGTGCAATGGCGTGATCTCGACTCACTGCAACCTCCACCTCCTGGGTTCAAGTGATTCTCCTGCCTCAGCTTCTGGGATTACAACTGCTCCCTATCACTCACATTAATGCCTGAGCTCTACCTCCTGTCAGATCAGTGGCAGCATTAGATTCTTAGAGGAGCATGAACCCTATTGTGAACTGCATGTGCAAGGGATCTAGGTTGCACACTCCTTATGAAAATCTAATGACTGATAATCTGTCACTGTCTCCCATCACCTCCAGATGGGACCATCTAGTTGCAGGGAAACAAACTCAGGGCTCCCACTGATTCTACATTATGGTGAGTTGTATAATTATTTCATTATATATTACAATATAACAATAATAGAAATAAAGTACACAATGAATGTAATGTGCTTGAATCATCCTGAAACCATCCCTTGCCCCCTGGTCTGTGGAAAAACTGTCTTCCACAAAATGGGTTCCTGGTGCCAAAAAAGATGAAAACCATGAAGACCACTGATGTAACATATTCACAGTTTCCAGAGATTGAGAAGTAGACATGTCTGGGGGCCCATTATTCTGTCTTCCACAGATAAAAAGGCAAAATTCCTAAATAAAATACTTTTATCAAAACTAACAGTGTATAAGACACAACAAATTGGCCAGGCACGGTGGCTCACACCTGTAATCCCAGCACTTTGGGAGGCCGAGGCAGGCAGATCACGAGGTCAGGAGATCAAGACCATCCTGGCTAATACAGTGAAACCTGTCTCTACTAAAAATATAAAAAATTATCCAGGTGTGGTGGTGGGTGCCTGTAGTCCCAGCTACTTGGGAGACTGAGGCCGGAGAATGGTATGAACCCAGGAGGCGGAGCTTGCAGTGAGCCGAGATCGCGCCACTGCACTCCAGCCTGGGCAACAGAGCGAGACTCCATCTCAAAAAAAAAAAAAAAAAAAGACACAGCAAATCATCTTGAATGAATAGATATTATTCCAAGAGTTCAGGTTAACTCAACATCAGAAATTATAAAGGAGAAAGGCTGTCAGAGATCCTCAATAGCTCAAGAAAAACCTTCCTTCATTCATAGTAAACATTAAGACTCATTCACAATGAAATATTTAGTTAAAATGGTATAATTATAAGGTATAGAAGTATATCACATTATGCTCCAAAGTAATTTGCCAATTTTCATTTCTTTCAGGAAGATATACGAGTTCCTATTTTTGCATATCCTCACCCAATATTTGGTATTGTCAGATTTTTAGGATTTGCAATCTAATAAATCAATTATTATTTCACCATTAATCTCTGAATACTGGATCACTGTTTAGTAATGGGTTTCTTTTTTCTTTTTGATTCAGTTTAACTCTTCTCCAAATCCCTGGTCCATACCTTTGGCCCATTTTTCTGATGTTCTGTCATTTTGTTTCCTTAGGTGATTTAAAGGACTTTTTAATATTTTCTGAATAATAATTCTTCCCATGTACATTTTATGTAAGCAACAGGGGTGCAAAATATACACAGAAAATGTGCTGAAGGATACATAGGCACATTCACAATGGTAACTGGGGGCTTCAACACCTCATTTTCGAAAAGGATAGAACTACTAAGTAGAAAAATGAAGGTATGGAATAACTGGACAAAACCATCAACCAACAAGATTTAAATGTTATTTCTAGAACACTCCACTTAACAACCGCAGCATACAGTGCCATGGAGCTTTATATCATGGAGCCACGGATCACTTCAGTCGCCTATTACACGCCCAGTTCTAGACCGACACTGTGGAAGGATCTGGAGGGAGAGAGTAGGGCAGCCCAGAGCAGGCGTGGAACTAAGACTTGCAGGGACACGTCTAAAAAGGAGGGGCTCTCCCTGCCATAGGTAATTGGTCCACTCATCAGAATTATAACATGTTTCTGTTCTTCACCAAGGTACTCCTTATATTTCTACTACTTGATGTGAGATTTTATATTTATTAGTAGTAATTCAAAACTTCTTTTCTAAAAGCACTTGAGCTCTCTAGACTGAATTATTGATGCTTCTTGTCCATTTTCCCAAACACTATAAATACAAATTGTACCATTTCTATGTAAGTTTGTTTATATTTGATTTCTCTAATTATTGGGAAGATTTAATTCTAACACTACTCTCCTTTCGCTACCATTCCCTTCTCTTCCATTGTTGCTTTCTCTCCACATTTGACCGACTTCCTTTGTCTGTATCCCTATCCCAAGTCACAGTCTCAAGAAGTCCCTGTATCACTCCTTGAAGGAAGAAGATGAAACTGTTTGAAGCTTTCCAAGTGGAAAGTGGAAGAGACAAAGGAGTCAGCCGTGGAAAAAGAAAATGGCCCAGATTCCAGGACCTTCCAAACTGAACCATCATCACCTGCTTTATGCTGGAGAGAAGTGGCTACCTCATTTAACTTTGTAAATCCTAAAGCAAGTCAAACAGTGCCCTGCATGTAAAGGGTTGATGCTCCATACGTATCAGTACATATCCGTACATATCAGTTCATTTCCATGGAAGAATTCAGAAAATGCTTGATGAGTGAATGAAAGTTGAATGCACAGCTCATTTCATTTGCACTTTTGCCTGGTGTATAAAGTATAAGATTAATTTCATGTTCTGTGATCGATCCCCATGATTACTTAGTTTTTAATGGATTATTTCTAAGTAAGATCCCAACCTAATTAATTCATCAAATATTTACGAAGATCCTACGATGGGCCAAGCACTGTGTCATTGATAGAGAGGTGAGTGAGATGCACTCTCATTGGTCATCATATGTCGAGAGCAGCAACAGAGACGAAGGAACTGCTACTTGAGCAGAAGTAAGGTGGAGGTCTGCTGACACAGTTCACTTCCTGCCCAGTGTGAGCCAGTCTGCCTTGTGGATGTCAGAGACAATGGGATCCATTTCCCCACCATAGGCCTTAATTTTACTCAAGAAGATAAAGATTCTGTAGTCAGAAACAGGACCATGAAAAAAGCTGGAATAGCTCAGTGTCTAATGGCAGTGCCTCTGTCATCCTAATATTAACAGCTTATGCTAACAGACTTGACATCTCTTCTACATCACTTGATGTTTTATATTACCCACTCAGTAATAACTACTATATTTATTTTTCTATTTGTTATAACTTTTATTGAATGTCTATGATAATTCAAACATGATATACAATTTCAGATACTTAAAAAATGTTCACTAAATTCTGACAAAATTTTTGTGGGGACATTGTAATTCCATTTTTCTGGTGGAACAATGAGGTTCAGGGGAGTTGAATGACTTTTCCTCTCTCTCGGTCCTTGGGCAGAGAGCTGGTCCTCTACCTCCCCCTTGGACCCAAGATTACAGATAAGGTGACTTTTTTGGGCAAAGAAGAAAACACACACACACACACACACACACACACACACACACACACACACACACCTGAAAGCTCAGCAAATTTATCTAGGGAAGATGCAAACTGCAGCTACCACATTATACAAAACATATTATAGAAAAACTTCAGTCTAAAATTCTGGAAACTACACCAGCTGAGCTGGGTAGGAAGGAGCAGGTTGATCTGCTCTGAGATACACCCATCACAAAATCTCCAAGGCAACTACGACCCATAGTTCTTAGGCTCCAGTGGAAACACTCTTTATTATATCCAAAGTAAAAGAAACCCTCAGAACAAATTTAAGGAAATAATACAGGCATTAGACTAAAAGCCTGGGATTCATCTCTAGCTAGATCTAATCTCTGCTTTCAACAAGTTTCTTTCCTGTTTCTCACCTCCAAAAGAGGAAAGAAAATATGTATATAATTTCCATAGGTTGATTTCTCTCTTGAGCAGCCTCTCTCCTCAAAGCTGTTAGAAACACAGATACAAGTGTTTTTGCTTTCATCATTATGGCCTGGAGCAAAGTTGAGGAAAGAAGCAACAGTCCTGTCTGCAGATCGCTGGTCAAATTATCTAGTTTATAGGCCAGTAATAAGTTATGTTCTGTCTCCATGGAAACTCTTGTCAAATCTTGCTTATCTGGACTCTGAGGATTTTTAGACTTATCCAAGTGCCCACAGCTTTCTCTTGGTCTTGAACTCTTGCTAGTTTCCAGGCTCTTTCAACAATAAAAAAGGGGTGAAGATGCCATTTCCTCTGGTTCTGTGGACAGTGTGTGTGAGAGAGAGAGTGTGTGAGACACAGAAATGTAGGTTACACACAGAAAATGTCGTGGTATTCTTACGTATATAGATGATACTTTTATTTTTCTTATCTATCAAATCCTGTTTCTATTTTTTCATGCCACTGATATCAAGGGTCACTTGGCAAATATTTGGGGAATTTTTAAAATTAAGTCTTAGACTTTTACAAACAAATTTAATTCCCAATGAAGCACATCCTAAATTGGCTTCTAAATATTTTTTCTGTGATTCGTAACATCAAATAAAGTAACTTACCTTTTATAATAAGCCCCAGTTGTTAATAGAAAGGAAGAGAATACCTGTACTGCTTAGTTTGTCATTTATTTTATCAGGCCACAAACTTTTAATTCTCAGTTGAAGTCTAATATAAGTCTCTACTTCTAATTCTACATCTCTGAGTTTTCCTCTCTCTCAGTCCTTGGTTACAGAGCCTGTACTCTGCCTCCCCCCTTGCACCCCAGGTTACAGATGAGGTGAGTTCTTTGGGCAAAGAAGAAAGTCTAAGTCTCTACATCTAAGTCTCTGAGTTTTCCTCTCTTAGAAAAGAGACTGAGAACTTTTAATTCTGGAGAAGATGAAATAGACTTATCTATTTTTATATCCCCTATGAAGTATAGCTAAAACTCTGGATATTACACTCATAATTTGTGAAAGACGACCCTGAAAGGTAAGAAGAAGAAAGCAGATGGGCTAGAGATCCAAGGACTCAAAAACCAACATGGCTGTGAGTCTCCTGAATTTCCTTTATGCCTCATATGCCTCAGAGTGCTGGGGAAGCCTGTAAACTGGAGATGCTCCTGGGCACAGACAATACAGTCCCTGAGCGAAGACTGATCTCCCACCAAAGGAATGGGAAAAAATAGCCTACCAAGATAGACCACCTTTATTTTTTGACGGAGTCTTGCTCTGTTGCCTGGGCTAGAGTGCAACTGTGTGCCATCTCTGCCCACTGCAACTGCGGCCTCCCGGGTTCAAGTGATTCTCCTGCCTCAGCCTCCCAGATAGCTGGGATTACAAGCACACACCATCAAGCCTGGCTAATTTTTGTATTTATAGTAGAGATGGCGTTTCACCATGTTGGCCAGGCTGGTCTTGAACTCCTGACCTCAGGTGATCCACCCGCCTCGGCCTCCCAAAGTGCTGGGATTACAGGCATGAGCCACCGTGCCCGGCCAAGATAGACAACTTTTTCTAGTAGACATCCTACTCCATCAAAATACCAGAAGAAAATTCATGCCCCACCCCAACACCATCAACAAATGCTTGGCAGTGACAAAGTGCCCCAACCCCTTCATGGTGCTGGCAGAGACCAAGTGGGAATCTTGGACTTGGAGCTCCATCCAGCAGTAGGAAAAGCCCTCCACCTTGCCAAGAGGATGACGTGGGTTGGGGGTGAATGCGCAGCCTGAATTTCCACTGTAACTCAGCACAACAAAGCACCCTGCTCCCTTGCAGTGGAGTGTCATCTATATACTTAAGATAGATCATCTACATACTTGAGAATAGCAGGACTTTCTCAGGTGTCAGAGGGAGCCAAGGGTAGCCTGAACCGTCTCCACCACCTTCTGTTAGGAATGCCCCTCCCTACCTGGGGCCAGTGAGGCTGGGGGGGTGTCCACCTAGCACGATTTTAGCAGAGGACTGATGAGGTAGAAGATCCAGTTTCATCGCATAATACTCAGGATAAAATTGAAAATCACTCATGCTACCAAACCAGGTAGATGCTAACTCATGCTATCTCAACTTGAATGGAAAAACATAATCAACAGAAGCCAACAACCAGATGACAAGACATTAGAATGATCTGACAAGAATTATAAAGCATGTATGTAGAGGAAATATTTAATTGCTCCAGTGAGCAGTTAAGAACTCTATGGACACAAATGAAAAAATGAAAAATCGCATACACAAAAAAACCTATGATACAAAGTAGAACCAAATGGAAATGTTAGAACTGAAAAAGACAGTAACTACTACTTTAAAACCTTACTAAATGGGCTTAATAGAAGAATGGATGCGAGAGAGGAAGCAATCAGTAAACTGAAGCTAGAGCAAGAGAAATTACCCAATGTTAACGACAGAGGAAAGATACTGGGGAAATAAGAAGAGCAGGGCCTCGGGGACTTGTGGCCTCTGTGACAAAAGATATGACATTCACATCATTAGAGTCAAGAAAGGAGAGAAGAAAGAAAATAAAACAGAAAGTTACTCAATTAAACTTCCGAATTTAGGCAACAGACATTAACCTACAGTTAAAGAAGCTGAGCAAACCCCAAACAGGCTAACCCCAAAGTAATCCATACCAAGACACATTAAAATCAAGCTTCTGAAAACCAAAACCAAGGGAGAATATTGAAAGCAGCTGAAGAGAAACAAACACTCATGGGGAGCAATGATTTGGATGATAACAGGTTTCTCATCAGAAACACGAAGGCCAGAAGGAAAAGGTATAGCATTTCCAATGCTAACAGAAGATAAATGCCCATACCCAGAATTCTGTGCACAGCAAATAATGTCTTTAGGAATGAAGGTCAAAACAAAACATTTGCAAATGAAGGAATAGTGAGAAAATTTCTTGCCAGCTTAATAAAATTTATCAAACAGAAAGGGAATAATAAAAGTAAAAAATTTAGAACACAAAAATTAAGAACAGTAGAAAGAGTGAAAATATGGGTAAATATAATAGATTATTATTTCCTCTTCAGTTTTTTAAAAAATATATTTATTAAAAATTATAATATTGTCTGCTGTATTACCCTATGTATGTAGAGGATATATTTAAGACAAACATATTATAAAAGAAAGGAATAAATTCAAATTTATCCTAATTAAAGTAATATTTCTATATTTAAATCAAAGTAGGAAAAGTACAGTGTCCGAAAAATACAAAGTACCAACAGATTTTGAAAAGTTGTATATGTATCATGTATCACCCAGAGAAACCATTTAAAAAACTATACAAAAAGATATACCCCCTAAAAACTATAGGTAAATCAAAGTGTAACTGTAAAAAAAAAAAAATTAACCACAGGAAAATGAAACAAATAAAAAACAGAGAGATGCTATCCTTTCAATTTTTCTGTATATCTAAAATTGTCCTGAAAAGATGAAGTCTATTTATTTTTAATCTGGAAAAACAGGCAAAGGTGGGAAAAAGAAAAAAACAAGTGATAAAATAGCAGAGGGAAGGCTTAGCACATACATAGCTACATTAAATATAATGATCTGAATACACCAAATACAAGATATTGGTAGAATGCATTTAAAAGCATGATGTCTACAAGAAACTCCATGAAATTTAATAATATAGGTAGGGTGAAAGTAAAAGGATGATAAGGATATATCATGCAAGCATTAATCAACAGAAAAGCATAAGATAAAGTAGATTTCAGAGCAAAGAGAATTACCAAGGTCAGAGAGGAACATTACCTAAGAATAAAATAGTCAAACTATCCAGAAGACACAGCAATCTTAAGGTATATACATAAACAGCACAGATTCAAATATATGAAACAAAAACTGATAAAACTGAAAAGAGAAATAGACACATCCACTGTTATAGTTGGAGGCTTTAACACCCCTCTCTCAACTTTGACAGAAAAATTAGTCAAAAAATGAGTGAGAATATAAAAGGGTTAGACAATATATTTAATGAATGGGCTTAAATTGGCATTTGTAGAATTTACCATCACCAACAAAAGATATTATTTTCTTGCAGTCATCAAACATTTACCCACATAAACCGTATCCTAGACACTAAAACAAACCTCAACAAATTTAAAAGAATTGAAACCATACAGTTTGTTTTCTGATCCTAACAGATTCAAACTGAAATGTAATTACAGAAAGATTACAAGAAAGTTTGCTAACATTTGGAAATTATAAAACATACTTCTAAATAACTTATGGGTCAAAGTAGAAGTCAAAGAAAATAAAATACATTCAACTGAATGAAAATAAATATAAAACATAAAAAACATATCAAACTGTGTGAGATGCAGCTAACTCAGTGCTGAGAGGGAACAGTGTAGCACAAAATGTTCACACTAAAAAACAAGATTCTATGGCCATACCACCCTGAACATTTCCAATCTAGTCTGATCTCAGAAGCTAAGCAGGGCCTGGTCTGGTCAGCACTTGAATAGGAGACTGCCTGGAAACACCAGGTGCTATAGGCTTAAATTTTAAAATTGTTTTTAAAACATTTTAAACTTTTGTATTCATTTTATTTAAAAATAAAAACATTTTTTAAAAGAGGAAAGAAAAACATATCAATAATCTAAGCTCCTACCTTAAGAAAAAAGAATAGCAAAATTTTTCCAAAGAAAATATAAAAATCACAGCAGAAATCAATGAAATTAGAAAGAAAGAAGTAATGGAAAAAAATCAGTAGGGGAAAAAAATGAACTAATTAAAAAAAATCACTAGTTCTACCAAAGGAATTTCATTTCAGGAATGCAATATAAATAACAAACCTGTTACAGTTTCCAATCACTGTAAAATATGAAATATATAGCTTTAAAAATGTCAAAATCTATATAGGATCTATATGCTGAAAGTAAAAAACACGAATTTTAAAAATCAAAGATATAAACAGAAAGACATCCTTTTTTCATGGATTGGAAGATTCAATATTTCAGATGTCACTGCTCTAATCATAACGCTAACCTGTTAGTTTAATATAATATCTACCCAAATCCCATAGCTATAAAAATGTATTCTAAATTTATATAGAAAGGCAAAGAAATCAGAGTAGCTAAAAAAATTTTTTAAAGAGAAGAATAAGTAGTAGTTTATTACTTTACCTGACTATAAGACTTATACATACAACTACAGTAATCAAGACCGTGTGGTACTAGCAGAAGAAGAGAAACATCGATCAATAAAACAGAGTAGAGAATCCAGAAATAGACCCATGAAAGGATAACCACCTGACTTTCAGCAAAAGTGCAAAAGCAATTCGTTTGAAGAAAGAGAATCTTTTCAATTTATGGTGCTGGAGCACTTGGATATCCATAGGGAAAAAAATGAACCTAAAACTAAGTCTCATACTTTACACAAAAATTAATTCAAAATTGATCATGGACTTAAAAGCAAAATGTAAAACTATGAAACTTTGAGAAGAAAACCTAAGAGAAAATCTTCAAGATGTTTAGCAAGGTGAAGAGCTATTCTACATGAAATCCAAAACACAATGCATAAAAGGAAAAAAATCAATAAATCAGGACTTCAAAATTTAAAATCTTTGCTCTCCAAAACCCTGTTAAGAGGAAGAAAAGACAGTCTACAAACTAAGAGAAAATAGTTGACAAAGACCACATATCTAGAATATATAAGGAACTCTCAAAACCCAACTATACAAAAACAATTCACTTAGAAAATGAGCAGAAGAAACTAACTGACATTTCACAAAAGAGGAGATACTGATGGCAAATAAGCATACAACTTCATTAACCTTAGTTCCGGAAAGGCAAATTAAAGCCATAAACTTAGAAAGGAAACAGAACGTAACAGCACAGGCTGGAGAGGAGGCACAGAACTCAGATTTCTCCTGCATTGCTACTGGGAATGTAAAATGATCCAGCCACTCTGGGAAACAGCTTGGTAGTTACTGCAAAAAACAAAACAAAACAAAACAAAAGCAAACATACAAAACTCAACATACGCTTACCATATTACACAGAAATTACACTCTTGGCTTTTATGTCAGAGAAATGAAAACTTATGCCCATACAAAAACCTATACACAGCAGCTTTCTCATAATCACAATATCCAAAATAACACCAATGGCCTTAAAGGAGTGAGTGGTTAAACAAACTGTTGGGCATGCATACCAGGCAATACTCTTCAGGATTAAAAAGGAACAAACTATTGATACACATAAGTTGGAGAGATGTCAAGGGAATTATGCTGAGTGAGGAAAGGCAATCTCAGAGCAATACCTAATATACAATTCAATTCAAAACCCACTCTTGGAGCACACATTAGTGGTGTCCGGGATTAGGGATGGGGGGTGGCATGGGTGTGGCTGTAAAGGAACAGACAAGAACATATTCTTCCTGAGATCCTTGTGGTGACAAGACAGTTCTGTGTCTCCTCTGTAGTGGTGGTTACAGGCACCAGACATATAGTAAAAATGCACCGAGGCCAGGCGCAGTGGCTCACGCCTGTAATTTCAGCATTTGGGGAGGCCGAGGCGGGCGGATCACAAGGTCAGGAGTTTGAGACCAGCCTGGTCAATATGGCGAAACCTCGTCTCTACTAAAAATACAAAAATTAGCCGGGCATGGTGGTGCATGCCTGTAGTCCCAGCTACTCAGGAGGCTAAGGCAGAAGAATCGTTTGAACCCGGGATGGGGAGGTTGCAGTGAGTGGAGATCATGCCACTTTACTCCAGCCTGGGCAACACAGTGAGACTACGTTTCAAAAAAAAAAAAATGCATCGAGCTATATACAGACACACACAGATGCGTGTGTATAAAGCTGGTGAAATCTGAATGAGGTTTGTGAATTGTGCCAATGCCAGTGTTCTGGTTTGGCTATTGTTACTATAGTTATTATGATAGATGTGGTCCCTGAGGGAAGTGGGGTAAATAGTACCTAGACCTTTCAGTACTATTTTTTCAAATTCCTCTTAAACTATAATAATATAAAAATTTAAAGTTAAAGAAATAAAAGATAATGCTTTAATGGCCTCTAAATTTCTTCCTTTTTTATTGTTGAACAGTAGCAGATTTAATTGCAGTTATTCAGAATTACAGTAGTTAGAATTAAGGTCAAAGTCTTTTGTAATCTTTATAGGTACTGTTGTGAAGCAGAGAATAAGGAGAAAAAGTAGAGAAAAAGGCTGAATCCATTGCAGTCACCAATGTCACCAATGTCAGTTTATCAATAGCTCATTATATAATTATGAGTTTTATGTCCTGGAACAATGAACGTCTGGGAATATTTTTATACTGATTCCACTAATTATGGCTATCAATCTCCTCCAGTTAGGCATCATTGATTCTCAGAAGTCATCAAAGAATTTAAGGTAACTAATTACAAGCTCTGTCTTCATAATTAAACAATATAAACTAGTTTGTACTCAAATGTCTATACCCTGCAATGTTACATAGTTATTAGGGAGCAGGTAAACAATGAACAAAGTGGATAAGGGAGAGAAGGCTGGAAAACAGCAGGTGACCATCTGTCACACTTTTTGCATGACCGCTCATAGAAATCCTCTTCTGTAATGTTCATTTTATTTGCCCCTTTCTCAAAGAACTGCCTTTCTGGATTTCATCAGGAAAATAAAATGAAGTTGTTTGCAAGATGTCTCTCTGTTGCCAGCCTATACATGGACCTGCCCTCATCACCAACCTTCCCAGCAGATTCTCTCCTCCTTCCCTGCCACAGGCAAGGATGTCAGCCCCTGGCTGCAGACCTCTATCTCACTCTGGCTTTCCCTTCTTGAGCATCTTATTAGTTACCAAGTTCTGATTTTTTTCTTCCTTTACTTTCATCTAAACAAACCACAAACTTCTCCCAGATAGCCAATCAATCAAACTCCTGTTTCTATTTTAGCTGGGAAGAAGTGATATAGAATAGAAGTGTTTGTACTACCCTCATAAAACATGTGATCCCAATGGCATGGAATGATAGCTACACAAGCTACATAAAATACGTGTCTCACAATCCAAATTTGGAGCCTGCTTCGACTTTGCTTTGTCCAAATGTTTTCCTTACCCTTTAATGCATTGTGTGGACCAGGCATTTCCTGTTTTGAGATGCTATGAGCAAGAAGGCAACACAGACCTGCACCACGCCACTCTTGTTCCTTTATGATTAGTGAACTATAAAACAAAATTCCTTAAAAAAAAAAGCTAATCATTCCCATTCCCAACTCTCTTAGTAACTCGGCCCAGCCTTATTTATTTCTTAATAATTTAAAATTATCATACAGTACACTGAAGCTTTACTGTGCATGAAGTGCTGTTCTGGGTGCTTGGCAGCATCTCATTTAATCCATGAAATATTCTAGTCTGAAAGAACAGACAACGGACAATGGCCAGACCACAGAACTCTGAGTTCTGCAGCCAACAGCCTGGGAAACCTCTGCAGCAAACAGCCTGGGAAACTAAACCACCACATTTGCACCATTGGCACAGCATATTCGGGATCTGTCAATAACTGAAGCTTCCCTAATTTGTGCTGTCATTTCCAACTCAGAACCAACCTGAAAAAGCCAAATATGTTCCCCAAATCCATCACAAAGAATGCCTGGCTTTTTGTTAGCCTGTGCCAGCTTCCTCAAGGGAAGGCCTACCCAAAGCCTTCCCTTCTACCACAGAGCCTTCCCACCCTGCCTGCTCTTAAGTCTCTGCCAAATGCAAGGGATGGTGGCTGATCTCCCTTACTAAAGCAACTCTGAATGAACAGCCTTTGCTCGTTCTCATTTGCGGGTTCTTATTTGTTCCCACAAGTCCTGTGGTCCTGCAGGATCATGCATATTTTTTGCAGATGCAGAGACTGATGTGCAGTCAACAGAAACCTGCAGAAGGTCATTATTGCCCAACAGGATCTCTCTGCCACTCCAATCTCAGAGCCCCCTACTTTCTCCCACCTCCTTGTGCTCATTGTCATTTGCTCTCACCATTAAATAATGCCATAAGCCTCCCCATCGGACCTGCAGTCACAGAAATCAGGGGCTAATGTTTACATTTCTCTTGGTGATTTTAATTTAAATGATTAGTTTCCTTTTGTCATAGGAAAAGGAATGCGAAACCTGGCCACACACTGAGGACAACTGATCATTTGTCTGTTCTTAACAAGAAGATACATTTTCTCCCATGCCAAAACAGACAGAGGAAGAGTGATGAGCACTGGGAACCATCAGAAATTCAGTCCAGTCTTTGGGGGAACTGAACTGGCTGATCTGGCTGATGCAGTCTGAGACACGTATATCCCAAGAGGGGGATGAACTTTCCTGGACACTGCTCATTAAACACCATTTTCTCCATTCAATTCCCATAGGTCCTGACTGAGTAGGACCAGTTTAAAAGCTCTATCTCAACAAAATGTTTAAGATACTAAAAATATTGTTATTTTACAATATTTAAAGTATTTGCTATATGAAAGCTGGTCTTACCCCCTGCCAGAATGGGATAAAACTACATATATAATTCAAAGGGATAGCAGGTACATATAGAAAGAACCATGAAATTTTAAACAATGATACTTAGGTATTCACCAAAAGCTCAAGGTTACTTGACAACCTGGGGACTTTTAAAATGCATAGACTGCAAATCTACTTAACATTTGAGACTGTCACATGCATGGCTGAGTTCATTAATGCCCCTCATCATGGGTAAAATCCTTACATTTTATTGTTGCTTAAATCCTAGAGGTCATGGTTAAGCAAATTCACTATGCTCAGGCAGCACGCTGTGGCTCCAAGTTCAGGTTATTGCAGCTCTAATTCTATCCTCTTGCCCTCACTAGACTTCAGTTTAGAAACTCTCGGCATTTCTATGGCGTTGGTCTTTATGTCTACCAAAAACACTTTACTAACTTAAGAACTGGTGGAAAATGCACAATATTTAAATTAAAAAAATCTCTCATAAGGTGGTGCCTTAAGACTAATTTATTTTTTAATGAAAATGCTATTACTTGTCATGACTCATTGCAGTGTCATTTTAGGTAGGATGATATAATAATTGTTTGGGCATTAAAAGTAAGCAAAGCACTATGCATGTATAATGTCTGTGTTATATAAGTAGGAAGGATGGTAAATCAGATGAGGGTAGAAGTGCTCCATGGAGGAGTGGGTGAGTCTTGAGGGTTGCTATGGTTTGGATATGGTTTGTTGGTCTCCACCAAAACTCGTGTTGAAATTTGATCCCCAGTGTGGTGGTATGGAAAGGTGGGGCCCATAGGAGGTGTTTGGGCCACTGGGCTTGGTACAGTTCTCATGGTAGTGAGTGAGTTCTTGCTGTGGTGAGGCTGGTCTGGTTCTTGAGAGAGTGGGTTGTTGCAAAGCAGGACAGCCCTTGGATTTGGTGCCTCTTTGTACCTGTCCACTTCCCCTTTGACCTTCCCTGCCATGTTATGACAAGACACAAAAGCTCCTGCCAAAAGCCAGGACCATACCCTCGAACTTCTCAGCCTGTGGAAGCTCAACAAGCCTCTTTTCTTTATAAATTACCCAGCCTCAGGTGTCGTGTTACAGCAACACTAAACAAACTAAGACAGAAAAGCAAATACCACAGTCTTTGGGTAGCTCAGCAGCAGGACAAGCAGTCGGACCATGCAATGGCACATGGATTGTCACTTCCAGTCACTACTCTGTCCTTGATCCTATACAATACATAAGTGAAGGCTGTGTCCTCCTGGAATGCTTATGTCTCTTTCTCCAGAGCATCATGACCGCCATGTTGTCAGGAAGCTCAGGCAGCCTATGGAAGGATCCACACGGTAAGGAGCTGAGGTCTCACACCAACAACCACATGCGCAAGCTTGGGAGGAGATCCTCCTTCAGCTGAACCTTTAGAAAGGAGCTTGACTATAACCTCTTCAGAATCCATGAGCTAGAACCACCTAGCTAGGCTACTCATGAATTCCTGAACCCCAGACATGGCAAGATCCCATTTGTTGTTTTAAGCTAAGTTTGGGTGCAATGTATTATGCAACAATAGATAATAGATATACCAGATAAGAAAGTCTGGGAAATGTGATTAGGATTATACTCGGGAAAATGTTTCAGTCATTCAAATGTGTATTATACTGATACTATGAACCAGGCACTGCACCAGGCACTGATATACAGCAGCTGACTAGGCAGATAATCCTGTTACCTGTCTTATGTTCAGGTGACTGTACTTCCTTATCTCCCATGCAACACAGCATAAGACTAACCATTTCTTGCCAGTGGACTGAGAATAGCTCATACGACTTCTGCGCCTTGAGCCATCAGCTTCCTCTTCTGTGCTCCCTTTGTTCTTGCTACCTACTGAAGACAGACTCGACCTGGTTTCAACCATGCAGAACATGTTAATGTCTTGGTAGTGATGGATCAAAACAAGTTAGAAACCTGGATTTCTGATTTACAAGAGCAGAGTCACTCCACTGACCTGATGGCTCAAAGCAGGGCCATTACATGAAATAATAAAAATAAACTTCTATGTTTTTTAAGCCCTTGACTGTTCAGTTTCTTTGCTGTAGCCTGAACCTTATTGACAAAATTTATAATCCAAAAGAAAAATGTATTAGACACATGATTGAAATAAACTGTATACAGTTACTCCAAAAAATGCAGCATCTTTCATGTATCAGATAGAATCCCGAGACAATTCTACTTTGGGCTTAGAGGACACATTTCTCTATCATTTTTACTCCTTGTATTTTTTTTTATCATTGTAGAATAAGAGTCAACAAACTATGGCCAAATCTAGCCCACCACCTATTTTGGTAAATAAAGTTTTATTGGAACAGAGCCACATTCATTTGTTTATGTGTAGTCGATGGTTGCTTTTGCACAAGTGCAGGGATGAGTGGCGGCAACAGACCAAATATTTACTCTATGACCCTTTATATGACAGAATCTTTCAATGCCTGTTGTAGGGTATATGTTTCAATGGTAAAATATTTTAGTGAAAACACTTTTCTATTAGCTCATTATTAAAACTCATAATGTCTACTTGTCCTGATTCTATTTTGAATCTCTGAGCAGCCAGGGTTTTTTTCTGTTACTTTCTTGAAGGAAAAAAATAAAACAAGCAATGCCTTTTTGAAGCACTCTTCTTTCTGAATGAGAGCAAAGCACACCCCCACCAGTGTTCTGCTCCCTTCAGAGGTGGCTGGAATGGTGCACTGTGGGCTGTAGCCACTCTAATTAGTCTTTAACTCTTGTCTTGGTGTGGATGATTCAGCCCTGACTTAGCAGTCAGACTTTCAAAAAAATACAAAAACACTCTTTGGAACAGCTTAGAGTAGGTGCAGTCATAGACACCTCTTTGCAGAGGTCTTTGAAAATACCACTGTACTATACTGTTACAGACATACCATGGCTCTAAGATCAATGACAACATAAAGCCCACTCAGGTATCTCACAGAGCCCAAACTGTATGTCACTTAGCAATATGACACAACCCCGTCTGGGGGTTCCAACCCTGGCCCAGTGATGACTGAGTCTTTGTGACAGTGGAACCTAAATACTCTGGGTGCCCAAGAGATGAGGCCACCTCAGCACAGATGCAACTTCCATGAACCTTAAAGCTCACCCTTGTGAGAATAGCTAAAACTCCTTTTGTCAAGGAAACACCTAGTTACCCACGGGGAATGAATACAGTATAAGAAAGAGGGAAGAAATCCACTAGCCTCTGAGGACAGTCTGGATGGAAACCCTGCCCAGGGCATCTGACACCTGACTGTATCTGGCCCATGCCAGCAGCTGCTCCCCACTTCCCTCTTGTGAGTGCCACTGAACAAACTGCCTGTGCACCAGGCGGGGCCTGAGACTCCCCTCAAGGAGAGTCAGAGGGAAGCGGAATAGTCACCTCTGGGGAAACTGGTTAACTAGAACCACCCAGGGCCCCAGAATGCACAAGCTCCCAGGGGATACTTATGCAATTAAGCCACCCCAGTTTAAGTTAGATGTGAACCTCAACAGTAGTTAGCATGATGGAAAAGACAAGTTTTAACAGCAAAGCTTCCTCCAGACCTCCCCATCACCTGCCTATGCGTCCCTGACCGCTCTCCTCTCTCCTGATCTAAGGTGCATTGGCTCTTGGTGCAGGAGGTCCCTCTGGCGCTGTGCCAGCCACCACACACCTGCTCCCACACGGTTCCCAGGGGAGGCTGTAAGAGTAGGTACTTACAGACAGCTTATTTTCCTGCCATGTTTGTGACTGACTGACTGACTCTAGGTTGCATACCCAGCAGCCATCCTCTTCTGTACCCCTCACCCCAGCTTCTGGGGAGATCTCCTAAAGGGCGTGGCCTGGGGGCTCCGGGGCGTGGCCTGTTGCTCTGAGGGCATGGCCTGAGCTCCGAGGGCGTGGTCTAGGCCTCATTCATCTGCAGCACCTGGCATACCAGCTTGCGCAGCTCCCTGCGTAAGACCCGTGGAAAGCAGTGAGCACGAGGAGGACAGAGTGCGGGTGGCAGCGAGAGGCACCCGCGGAGGCAGTTCTGGTGGAAGAGCCACACACACCTCAAAGGTCTGTCGCAGGGCTGGAGAATGGGTCAGGATGTCGGGACAAGCCCTTTCAGCGTGCAGGGCAAGTGCAGGGAGCACTCACTTGTGGAACAGCCTTTCTCCCTTGTCCTCTCGGGTACTCCTTGTTGTCTGCAGGACCTCCTGGCATGGGAGGACAGAGGGACAGAGAGCTAAACTCCTGTAGGGTTAGCGCTTCACCTCTCTGCTCAGGCTTCCATATCTCAGTCCTTAAAGTTATTGTAAAATCACAACAAATAACAATCCTCACCACCCAGGACCTTGAATTCATCCGTTGAATTTCCTCTACTGTTTCTTCCTGGCCACCCATTCCCCCAAAGAATGGCCTGAGTTAATCCATTCCCCTTATAATGTTTGGTCCTGGATAGTGAATCATGGTGCATCACCTTTTTAAAAATTACATTTTCATTTATGATTGACATGAAATAATGTTACACATTTATGAGGTAAGGGTGATCTTTCAGTGCACGTATAAGCTGTATAATAATCAAATCAGGATCGTGACCATATCTATCACTTTAGCCATTTCTTTTTGGTGATAACTCTTAGAGTTACATCTCTAACACTCTTGAAATACGCACTCCATTGTTATTTGCTGTAGTCACCCCACTGGGTCACAGAACACCAGAACTTATTCCTTCTAACTGTAACTTTGTACCCGTGGAACAACCTCTCCAATTTCTCCCTGCCCTCCCTAGCCTCTGATAACCACGATTCTTCTCTCAACTTCTGTGAAATCAACTTGTACAGACTCCACATATGAGTGACATCAGGCAGTATTAATATTTCTGTGCAGGGCTTACTTCACTTACTATCTTTCAATAGAACTTTTCCTCTCCATCTGTCTGGCTATGATTTCTGAGTCGAACAAACAGGGCCACATGACCAGCTGTTGAGGGACTCTACTAAACAAACTGGCACGGTCAAGCTCCACACCAACACCAACGTTCGTATTTTAAAGACATAAGGCACACACACAAAAATCAATTATCAGACATCTACACACCTCCTCTTCATGGCTTTTCTCTCCTGCAACAGAGACATTTCTAGATCCTAAGCCCAAACACACATCATTCATAATATTAATGGAGAAAAACTTGATTCATTTTTCTAAGAGTTGTATTATTATTGTCACCATTTTTATATTACTCTACACCCTGCTATTTTGGATTCTATCTAGAACACTCATTATCTATTCCTGACTTCCCTTTTGCAATGGACTTGAATTTCTTTGAATTTTGGGTAGAAAGGGAATCACTTCTCTATAAGAGGACATAGCAGAAGTATTCAAATTTCAATGTTTCAATAACATAGCTAATATTAGTGAATATTATAGTTAATATTAGTTTATATTAGTAAAATATTTCCCAAGATTCTTAAAACTTAATATAGGCATATATATTTGTAACAGACATGTAGATAGATAGACAGATATGGATATATATATATGAAAATTAACAATGAAAGATCATTCGGCTGCCCATCACCACTCCTGCTGACCCAGTGATGCCTTTTGATACATGATCCTCAGGCCGATTTCAAGCTGACTTATGTTTTAGCCCATAAATGTACTCATGTCACCTATTAATGTCAGGACTACGCAGGGCCTGAGACACAAAAGATGAAATATAAATGCTGTGGTTTGCTTTCAAGGGCTTTAGAGTCTTGTAGTCACATAGATGTGTGAAAATTCATTTAAAATATGAAACTTGCTGGGAGGGAGATATGTAGAAAATGCAGTGCAAACACAAGAGCGAGAACACAGTGTGGGGAAGTGATGGTTAGAGGATACAACTTTGAGCTGATGCTTGAAATTAGGATAGGAACTTTCTGGGAAAACCTGGAATTAGAGGCCATGCTAGGAAAAGAACAGCACACACAGAAAGCACAGGGTAACAAGAACAACATGTCACTTGAAATTAGTGAATCAGGTGGTGGTGGGCAGGTCCAGGGGGCCTAAGGGAGGTACAGGATAAAGTAGACCAATAGAAACTTTTAAAAAAGTATTGGTTACAAATTAAAGTTGTGTAGATATTACACTGAAATCACGGATACCACTGAGGAGTTCTGGGTGAGGCCAACTGACCTGGCAGGAGGATGACAGATTGGTTAGGGGGCAGTGGAGAGGCGATGCAGTAGTCCAGCTGAGAGGCATGCCTGCTGGACACTGGCAGAAGTGAAGGATGTGATTCATGCTTCTGGCCAAGATGAAGGAAGAAGGATTAGATATACCCTCCTGCCTGAAATAACTACAAAAAATGAACAAGATAAATGAAACAAGAGATTTGCAAGACAGACCCTGGGCAACAGTGTACGAGGTTCAGTAATCCCTGAGAAATGAAAATCAAAGGAGGTGACCCCTATGATTGTCCCAGCTAACTGGCTTAGAAGAGTTTCTGGGTCTTAGTGTGAGAAAGGAACACCCAGGGGGAAGCCAAGAGGACTCCTTGAGGTGAAGAAATGAAGCTGAGAGTATGGGAAGGCCAAGTTGGGTAGAGTTTGCAAGACAGAGTGTTAGAAGGCAAACTGCACAGAGATAAAATATTTGAAATGAATTTGAAAAATACAACATAGCAAAACATGCAGAATGTATCTAAACCAGAACTAGTAGAAAATATATTGCACTAAAGGCAATATTAAAGATAGACCTTAAATCAATCACCTCAGCTTTCACCTTAAGAAACTGGAAAAAGAAAAGCAAATTGATACCACATCTGCCTCCAAAAAATAGAAGAAAGGAAATATAAAAATCAGAGTAAAAATTAATGAAATAAAAAAATTGAGAAAATCAACTGAACTAAAAGCTGGTTATTTGAGATTAATAAAATTGACAAATCTATATCCAGACTGAGCAGGAAAAAGAGAAGACAAATTAGTTGTATCAAAAACCAGAAGAGGTGACATTACCATAGATTCTACTTATATTAAGAGGAGAATAAGAGGATATTTTAAAGAACTTTATGACAATAAATTGGTATCTGAAGTGACATGGACATATTCCTTATAAAACACAAATGGCCAAATTGCACTGAAGAAATAGATAATCTGAGTATCTTTATATCTATGTTAAAATTGAAATTTCAGTAAAAATTCTTCCCATAAAAAAACTCCATGTCAAGATGACTTCACTAGTGAATGTACTAACAATATCAGTAAAAAATAAAACCTACTGTCTACACACCTTCCAGAAAACTACAAAGGAGGGACTACATCCCAACTCATTATATGAGGCCAGGATTACCCTGATATCAAAACCAGAAAATGACATTGCAAGAAAAGAAAACTACAGAGCAATATACCTCACTGGGGATAGAAGCAATTTTTTTAAAAATAGTATATTGAATCCAACAACACATAAAAAGGAAGATGCATCATGATCAAGTGAGGTTTAATGCAGGAATGTAAGGTTGGCCTAGGATCTGCTCATCAATTAATGTAATTCACTGCAATAATTTAAGTAATCATATTAATAAACTAAAAAAGGAAAGCATATAATCATATCAATAGATGCAGAAAAATAATTTGTCAAAATTCATCTATTTTTGTGTTAAAAAAAACTCTCAGTAAACTAGAAATAGAAGAGAACTTCCTTAATCAGATAAATGGCATCTATAAATTCCTTGAGCTCAGCTTGGGCAATATAGTGAGAACCCCTCTTTACAAAAAATTCTTAAGATTAGCTGGACTTGGTGGCCTCTGTAGTCTCAGCTGCTTGGGAGGCTGATGTGGGAGGATTGCTTGAGCCTGGGAAGTTGAGACTGCAGTGAACTATGATTGCACCACTGCACTCCAGCCTGGGCAAGAGAGCAAGACACAGTCTCAAAGAAAAAAAAAAATCCTTGAGCTAACATGATACTCTAAAGGTAAAAGATGGCCAGGTGCAGTGGCTCATGCCTGTAATCCCAACACTTTGGGAGACTGAGGCAGGCAGATCATCTGAGGTTGGCAGTTCGTGACCAGCCTGGCCAACATGGTGAAACCCTGTCACTACTAAAAATACAAAAATTAGCCAGGCATGGTGGGGCATGCCTGCAATCTCAGCTACTTGGGAGGCTGAGGCAAGAGAATTGCTTGAACCCAGGAGGAGGAGGTTGCAGCGGGCCAAGATCACGCCATTGCACTCCAGCCTGGGCAACAAGAGCAAAACTCTGTCTCAAAAAAAAAAAAAAAAAAAAAGTAAAAGACTAGATGTTTTCCCCCTAAGATCAGGAACAATGTAAGGATATCTGCTCTCCATCTGTTAAACTTTTATATTGAAGGTTCTAGCCAATGTAATAACACATGAAAAAATAAAGAAATAGAAGACATATAGATTGGGCAGGAAGAAGTACAAGTGTAGTTATTCATAGATGATATAATTACTTATGCAAACTATAAAGAAAGGTATTAGCAAAGTTTCAGGATACAATATCAATATACAAAAATAAATTGTATGTCTATATACTAGCCACAAACAATTAGAAGTTCAAATAAAAAAATACCATTTACAATACCATCAAAAATGTAAAATACATGAGCATAAATCTGGCAGAAGATGTAAAACATATGTACATTGAAACCACATAGCATTACTGGGAGAAATTTTAAAAGACTGGAATAAATGGAGGAATAGACTGTGTTTGTATGTCAGAAGACTCAATATTGAGAGCTAATTCTCCCAAATGATAGATTTGATGCATTCCTAATCAAAATCCCAGCAGGACATTTTTTAGAAATTGACAGGCTATTTCTAAAATTTTTGTAGGAATGCAAAGCACCTAAAACAGTCAAAGTAACTTTGAAAGAGAAGAACAAATGTGCAGGATCAAAATCTGATTTCAAGGTTTATTAGAAAGCTACAGT
The DNA here is from genome assembly GCF_000001405.40 of Homo sapiens. Taxonomy (NCBI): domain Eukaryota; kingdom Metazoa; phylum Chordata; class Mammalia; order Primates; family Hominidae; genus Homo; species Homo sapiens. Next base: position 27,266,436 of record NC_000015.10, on the reverse strand, counting down.
AATCCAGACAGTGTGATAAAGACAAACAGATTGATCGATGGAACAGAACAAAGTCCATAAAACCAATTTTTTGACAAAGGTAAAAACCAATGCAGAAGATAATCTTCAGCATAAAGTACTGAAAGATGGGATATCCATAAGCAGAAAAAAAAAGAATTCCAATCCATACTTCATATTGCATACAAATATTATCTCAAAATGAATGATTGATGTAAATGTAAAATTGAAAACTAAAACTTCCAGAAAAAAAAAATCAGGTCCAGGTGTGATGGCTCACGCCTGTAATCCCAGCACTTTGGGAGGCTGAGGCGGGCAGATCACCTGAGGTCGGCAGTTCAAGACCAGCCTGACCAACATGGAGAAAACTCATCTCTTCTAAAAATATAAAATTAGCCAGGCATGGTGGCACATGCCTGTAATCCCAGCTACTTGAGAGGCTGAGGCAGGAGAATTGCTTGAACCTGGGAGGTGGATGTTGCAGTGAGCCGAGATCCTGCCATTGCACTCCAGCCTAAGCAACAAGAGCGAAGGTCACTCTCAAAAAAAAAAAAAAACCAGGAGAAAATCTTCTTGACCTTGCATTTGGTGATGAGTTTTTAGATAAAACACCAAAAGCATGATCCATGAAAAGAAAACAATTGATAAACTGGACTTCATCAAAATTGAAAACTTCTGCTTTTAAAAGACACAGCTGAGAGAATGAAAAGGCAAGCTGCAGACTGAGAGAAAGTATTTGCAACGTCCATACTTGATAAAGGACTGGTAGCTGGAATGGAAGTGCTCGCTCAAATCATGTTTCCTAGTTGGGACCAGCATGGTCCTTGAAGACCTGTGTCTGTTCATGTAACTCCCTGCCTAATGCTTTCGGCGCTTCCCTTCGCTCCGATGTGAAGCCCAGGGAACCTGGGTTGTCTTCCACCTGTCTCTATTGCTGTATCTCAGGTACCCACCCTTTGCTGTCTGTTAGAAATAAGGCTTAGAGTTTTAAGGAAAAATGAGTATTTAGATAAAGGATTTTTATTAAAATAAATTTATTTTTGCATAGACGGGTGTTTTTTGTACGGCTGGTTGTTATGAGAGTATTTAGAACAAAGGAGAGTAGAAGTTTTTATTTTTAATATGACTTGTTTTTGCGTTTCATTTTCAACTGACATTGGCTTTTATACTATAGAAGTGACTGGGGGCAGGCTTAGGGTCAGCGGAGGTAGAGGTAGTAATAGAAATAAGGATAGGTTTGTATTGGTGAGATTGGCAATTAGGGAGAGTGGGTTTTTTGGTAAAATGGAGGAGGGGCTTTAGATTGATGTAAACTTTTTTGTAGAGGTTTAACTTTGGTATGGGGTGGTTTAAAGGATGTAGTTTTAATTATTATAAGGTTGTTAGGCTGTGGGAGTAAAGGAACGGTGTTTTGGTTGTAGATGATTATAATGGTGAGAACTAGGGTTAATTGTAGAAATTAGAGGAATAGGGTAGAGATATTTATTTGAAGAAGTTGGTTGTTTTTGTTTTTTTAAATTTTTATAAGGTATAAAAGATAAGTATTAAGAATAATGGTTTGGGGTGAGTTAGATTCAGTTATATTAATAGTGAATTAGTAATAGAGTGAGGAAAGAGGGAGAGACGATATAAAAGGTATAAAAGAATTAAGAATTAAGATTTTTTTGTTTTAATTTGGTAGGGCTTGACTTTGGAATAATGGCTTATAATTTTGAAGGTGATGGTGGTGGTTTTTTGACTTAGGTGTGGTGAGTTTACTTTTTTGTTGTTGTTTGGATTGTAGTTTTAGTAGTTAGGAGTATTCATAAGGTTTTTTTTTTTTTTAAGCTGGTTTGAGGGTTTTTTATAAATTTTTTGACGAGGATGTGATTTTTAGGTTGGTGTTGATGTGCTGGGAGCTTTAGGGGTAGTGTTTGTGTTAGGATACTTTGTTTTAAGAGAAAAGAAAGTAGACTATAGGTTTTGAGGAACTGATGTTTGGTTTTAAATGTAGGGACATTAGTAGTACAATGTAAATAAGGCAGTTCATATAGTATTTTATAAGGGGATAAACTAATATTTTTGAGGGGCAGTTTTGATTTTTAATAAGGCAGTGGGGAAGCATTTAGTTTAGGGTAATTGGGTTTTTAGGACTAATTTGGTTAGGTGGATTTTTAGAGTTTGATTTTTTTTTATTTTTATTTTTTGAAAAGGATGGATGCTAAGGGATATGGTACTTTTATTTTATGTTTAGTATTTGGGCTAATCTCACACTCTCTAACCATTTCTCCAGTTTCTCCAGAGGCCGCTGTCTGTTTCTTCTGGCTTCTAGATCCTCCCTCTGCTGTTACTTCTGATTTGAATCCTGCCCTCTCCTCTGTGCCCCTCCCTTGCCCAACAGTCTCTCAGCTCAAGGGAGCGGCCCTTCCCATCCCCTACTATATCTGGCACGTCTCCCCGGTATATGTTCTCAAAGCATCCTGTGCTTCTCTTTTCCAGCACTTTTCTTTTTTTTCTTTTTCTTTTTTTTTTTTTTTGACAGAGTCTCGCTCTTTCGCCCAGGCTGGAGTGCAGTGGCGCGATCTCGGCTCACTACAAGCTCCGCCTCCCAGGTTCACGCCATTCTCCTGCCTCAGCCTCCGGAGCAGCGGGGACTACAGGCGTTTTACCACTGCAATTTATTAAGCGACAGTCCGTCCGGTGGTTGTCTAAACATGGGACCATATGCACTGTCTCAGCCTGCAGTATGACCCCACACATAAAAAGAATTCACAAATATGTGTGTAAGAAATCATAACTGAATACCATTAACTTTGCAGAGATGAGTCAGGCATAGCATTTGGGGTTTATAAATTGAAGTTTAAAAATTTTCCCACAGATAGATGGAAAGAAAACAAAGGTTTTAAATATTTTGGGTTCCATCTGTGCATCGGACGCTCCTATCTGCTCCTAAAATGGCTAATCACAGGTCTCATCTGCTTGTTTGAGAAAGTGTTTGACAAGTTCAAACCTCTTAATGTGGGGAAATATCCTAGTATCAGTCGTTTCTGTCATAGAAGGAACAGCTAGAGGAAATTAGGACCTGGTGACTTCAGCAGAAAACAGCATTACATATTGCAGGTTAATTTTCTCAGGACTTAACAGTTTACAGATGACTGACCACAGGGGTTGAGATCAATGGATCACTAAACTCTGGAAAACAAGATTCTGGCTGTAACGCCACATTTCTGTGCTAAATTTAAATCACCTTTGTTTCTCCGTATAAGCCCTAGTGGTAAATTTCTCATCGATTTCTTTCCGAGAAGTTTACGGTCACTGTCACCTTGTCATGACTGCTGATGCGGCACTAGCGTTCTGCATTATCTGTGACAGCCCCTGGCATTGACCTAAGTGGGTTTTGATGGTTCCCTTTCCAAAGTGGAATTTATTTAATATTTATCCTGGGCTACAATGGGAATGAGAGTCCGGTTGATTCAAAACCAGTAGCTCTCACCTGTGCCAAATCAATATAGTAATCAGTGGAGAAAATATGTGTTTCTCTCTTGCAGAAAATAGCACTAGGCATGGTGAAGAAAGAAAGAGGAAACATATAAGTTAGTGCACTCTCTGTTATCTCAAAATTATTTGCTGATTTAAAAAAATGTATTTATTTTGTGCGGAAAGTGGCACTAAGCAGAATAAAGAAACAGAGACAAGGCATATAATTACGTGGACTCCATTTTCTCAAAATCATTTGCAAATTTTAAAAAGAACCTTAATTCAATAGATTTCTTCTAAGTCATGTAATTGTTTTCTGATTCTACATACGCTTCCCTACAAAGTTCTCCAATAGTCGAAGACAATATCTACACCAGGTAAGGACATCGTCCCACTTCAAATGAGTAAGAATGACAAACATGTGACGGAAATGTGTGAGCTTCCTCAATACTCAGATGGGGTAGGGGCGGCAATGAGAAAGGTGACCCAGGTATCAACCTCTGACGCTGCAGAACTGGGTCCTGAGAAGAAACTGTTCACTGAAGAAGGGAAGTAGAGATGGAGAAAGGAATCACTAAGGCCCTCAGTGGTGATGAGCTCTACACATCCTGTTGCATTCTTGCTTTGGACATAGCACTCTTACCATCAGCAATGTGGAGAGGGATCTTGTTTAAAGACACCCAGGATTACTGGGTAGAAGAGTCCACAGACTACCTCCAGCTTAGACCTCAAAACAGCAAACAGACGCAAATGCGCGGGAGGGCCCATTAAAGACCGAGGCACTCAGCTCCCCTTGCCTGGTGCACGTGACCTTTCCTTCTCCTTCAGGGACACATGGTCTCCTGCCATCGCCTTAGCAAGGATGCCCAGATGCAGGATGTTTATCATTGACTTCTGCTCTAATGAAGGAAGTCTAGAAGGGAAAGAATTTGAGAGAGCATGGCTGGCTGGAAGGCATGATGGAATCTTTCCTTGGGGATTCGTTGGAAGAGAGGGAGAAAGAAACCATAAAGAGTAAAACCATTTAGTGAAGAGGTTTTGGGCATACATAAGATGCAGCCAAAATGGAACCCAGAGGCTTACAGGGAAAATAACAGAAGAAACATTATTATTGGCCTAAACTCTCAGATATAAATATAGAGAGTGGAGGCATTTTTATTCTAATAGAAGTGTAACAATGTAAAAGCATCCTTTGTTTGGGTTGAAATAAACTTTTCAATAATCTTGCAAGGTAAGAAGTTGCTCCCACAGATGGAAATACGCCAGGGAAGGTTTATATGAAGAAGAAAGGAAAGGGATAGTTTTTACTCATAAGTCTTTGTCAACAAAAATGTCAGTTTGATGAATATCAAATATATTTCATATGTTTTAAAAATATTTTACATATTTAATTACACACCTTCATATTCAATTACATACACATATATTAAAAATATATATATACATATATATATGTATATATATGAATACTGTAGTACGTAAGGGTGTGTGATGGGGATTAACAGCACCCCTGCCCATCTCACCAACCCGAATCCCTCCATCTTGAGCAGAGACAGTGGCACTGGGGGGACTGGGGAGAGATTCATTCTTTCCATTCTTTCCAGTCCTGACAGTTAACTGCAGATCTCTAGGTAATACCTTCTCATTAAAATACATCTTGATTTATCAATTTTAGACTCCAATACATCAAACCAGTCTTCCCAATATGGATATAAGACTATTAGTTATATTGGTTACCTTTGTAACTTTAAATAATCTACCTCCAACCATTTTCTTCTTCTAGAGACACCTTGATTCCTAGTGCAATAGAATAAGCTGACCTTTGCTTCCATCCTTTCCTCCCATTCCTCAGATCCTAATTTCTGTCATTTATAAACATAATTAAAGTTTGCGTATTTGTTTTTAAAGTTGAAAATCAATAAATAATTATCATGATTGTGACTATGCAATGTATACTTTTTTAAACCCACAAAACAGGTAGAATACTACTGTAGAATACCATTGTGTCCTTGTATTTCCATGCATCCTGTGCGTTTCCCCGTGATTTCCTCTTTCTGTCCTGTGCTGCCCCGTGTCATACCTCTCAGTGCACACCTGCCTCTTCCCAGAGCCTCACTCCTGCTCCCGACCACATCAGCTCATTAGGACAGGTTCTCCAGCCTGCCACCCAGCAACACCTGGGGCCCCTTCATCAGGCCCCTATGTTGGCCTTCCTGTTTCCTGGATCCAGTGTCTTTCTTGACATTTGATTTATCATGCCATTTTGCTGGAAGGAGGCCAACTGTCTGAGTCCTTGAACATACAATCATCCCTCAGTATATGTGGTGGATGGGTTCCAGGACCCCACAGACACCAAAATCTACAGATGCTCAAGTCCCTGAGATAAAATGGCATGGTGTTTGCGTCTAACCTATGCACATCCTCCAGCACAATTTAAATATTTTTTATTTACGATTGGTTGAATCCTTGGAATGCAGAACTCGCAGATAAAGACCTACTGTTTACAGGTGTCTTTATTTTACCGTGCACCATGTTATAGACTGAATTTTGTCCCCTAAAATTCATACGCTGAAGTCCTATGCCCCCATGTGACTGTGTTTAGAGATAGAGCCTTTAACAAGGTGATTAAGGTTAAATGAGGTAGTAAGAGTGGGCCCTAATCCAACAGGACTGATGTCCTCATTCGAAAAAATAGATGGGGACTGCCTGAGTAAGAAAAGGCCATGTGAGGACACAGCAAGCAGCATCTGCAAGCCAAGGAGAGAGGCCTCAGGGGAAACCAGCCCTGCCCACACATTGATCCTGGATTCCCAGCCTCCAGAATGGAGAAAATACATTTCCATTGTTTAAGCCCCACTGTCTGTGGTACTTAGTTATAGCAGCCCGGGCAGACTAGGACAACACATGATAGACAGGAGTCCCGAGGATGGAAATTAGGACACAACATTATTTTTCTGGAGAAGTTTCAACACATCTTCCCAGGCCCTTTGTCTTGCAACATCCAGTGTCACTGAGGAAGATTCTCAATCTATCTAATTCTCTTTCCATTCACAGCTGAATTTGATCCCTGGGGTCGCAAAATTTCACAGACAGGTGTTGTGGTACAAATTTCTGTTTTTCTAGCCATTGAATTTGGCGTTTGATCTTCCCCATATGTGGATTCCCTACTCCACCTGCCTTCCACCTTCCAAGATATTTCACATAATATCTTGTCTCCATTGTAAATGAAGTGCCATTTAATACCTCATTCAATGGAAAGGATGGTGGAAAGAGGGATGAATATGCACCTTCCCTCTCTATCTGCTAAGTGAAGAGACTTACTGACAAGTTAACCCCCAGAAGGCCAAGAGCTCTTCTCAACTTAACTCTTACTACCAATGGAAGGGTGTGGAGGAGCTGGGAACTCTAAGAGAGTAGGACCTTGCTGCCCTGGAATTAGTAAAAGTAAGGAAATAATGATTTCTTTGCATCTCAAGTAGACACATTCTCAAGGCTTTGAGACAACAGGAGAGCCTGTAAAGCTATGTCCTGACTACAATAAGTAGAAACAAGGAGGCTCTGCAGAAAGCCTCCGCTCTGCTCACCCTACCAAAGGACATCCCCAAGACAGAGAAGGACGGAGCCCAATGGCACAAAGCTGCACCTCCAAACTGGCAGGGGAGTGAGTGGCAGATGTCAGGAAGCTAAAGCCTCCTGATAGGCTGAGTAGTCACCACATGACCCAGCAATGCCACTACTTCCTTTAACCAAAGGAAGGGAAATCAGTACATCAAAGAGATACTGCAGCCCCATGGTTACTGCAGCACTATTCACAATAGTCAAGACAGAATCAACTTAAGTGACCAAACAGACGAATAAAGAAAATGTGGTGTATACATGGAATACCATTCAGCCATAAAAAAGAATAAAACCCTATCATTTGCAGCAACATGGATGAGTCTGGAGTTCATTATGTTAAGCAAAATGTCAGGCTCAGATAAATACCACATGTTTTCATGTAAATGTGGAGGCTAAAAGGAAATGTGAGCTCACAGAAGTAGGATGTAAACTGAGTATTAGAGGCTGGGAAGGCGTGTTGGAGGAGGCTGCGGAGAGAAGAGGTTGGCTATTGGATACAAAACTATGGCCAGATAAGAGGAATGAGTTCCAGTGTTCCGCAGCACTGTAGGGTGAATACGGTTAACTATAACTTACTGTACATTTTCAAAAAGCTGGAAGAGAGGATTGTGAATGTTCCTACTACAAAGATATGATAAATATTTGAGGTGGTGGATATGCTAATTACCCTGATTCGATCATTGCATACTGTATGCATGTATGGGAATATCACTCTGTATCCTGTAAATATGTACAGTAATTACATGTCAACTAGAAATAAAAGGGCAAAGAAAGTGCTAAGCAAAAGAGTCTTCTTTTGCTTTGGTCTCAGAGCAAGCCAAAGGAAGCATCAGGCTGGCAGTGTAACCCGAGAAGGCCAGGAGGGTGCAGTGTGTGCCCCACGGCTCACACTCAGCTATGCAGAGGGTGCAGAGACTCTGGAAAATGGTCCCGCATGCTGCATGGGTCACTCAGAACCAGGAGTTACAGAGGAGCCATTTCTCAGGCTGCGAACAAGGTGAACCTGGAAACTAGAGGGGGAGGAGAGACAGAGGTGAATGGTGCAGGCACTTTTTAAAATATCATGCTTTCATTACTATTGTTTATGTTGGGCATTAAAATTACCATGATACTGAAATAAGGTAATAAGGTATAGCTTTATATGCCTAATCCTGTTTGCACCCACTAACCATGGGTGCCTGAGGTCACCTCCCCACTTAGGCTGCCCTCAGAAATTGCAATTTTCCCTTACAATGCCCTCGTGAGGCCATGGCCACCCCTCAGCCCGTCATTACCCATTAGCAAGGACAGCAGGGCGTTTCCAAGGAAGCTGTGGGGAATCCACAAATCACTTGATTGTTCTTTAAATATAAATAGCATTTTCCCTTTTGAACTATGAAGCCTTATAACTTTATTAACTAAAATAAGAAAGACCTCACGCTGGGCACAAGGCTCACGTCTATAACACTTTGAGAGGCAGAGGTGGGAGGATCACTGGAGCCCAGGAGTTCAAGACAAGTCTGAGGAACATAGCAGGACCTCATCTCTATAAAAAGTTAAAAAAAAAAAAAATAGCCACGTGTGGTGGTGCATGCACATAGTCCCAGCTACTTGGGAGGCTGAGGCTGGAGCCCTGCAGTGAGCTACGATCATGCCACTGCACCCCAGCCTGGGCAACAGAGCAAAACCATGTGTCTAAAATTTTTTAAAATTACAAAATCCTCTCAGTTTTCCAGAACTGGAAATGGTAGGTACAGCTTCTTCAATAAATGGTGCTGGGAAAACTAAATATCCCCATGCAAAGAATAAAACTAGATGGACCCTTATACTATAAATGAAAATCAACTCAGAAATATCTTAAAGACTTCAATGTAAAACCTGAAACTATAGAACTTCTAGGAGAAAACAGGGAAAAAGCTCCATGACATTGGTCTGGGCAGTGATTTTTTTGAAAATGATCCCAAAAGCACAGACAATAAAGGCAAAACCAGAAAAATGAGACTGCACCCAACTAAAGGATACAATCAACAAAGAGACAACCTATAGAATGTGGGAAAATATTTGCAAATTGTACATTCGATAAGGGATTAATACCCTAAACATACAAGGAACCCAATTCAATAGCAAGAAAATAAACTGATTTTAAAAAGGACAAAGGACCTAAAGAGACACCTCTCAAAAAAAAAATGGCCAACAGGTTTATTAAAAAATGATCCATACCACTAATCATCGAAGAAATGCAAATTAAAACCACAACGAGGCATCACTTCACAGTTAGAATGATTATGATCAAAATGACAAAAGATAATTCTTGGCAAGGATGTGGTAAAAAGGGAACCCTAGTGCATTGTTGATGGGAATGTAAATTAGTATAGCCATTAGAAAAAAACAGCATGGAGGTTCCTCACAAAATCAAAAATTGAACTGCCAAATGATCCAGCAATCCCACTGCTGGGTATCTGTCCAAAGAAATGACATCAGTATGTCCAGGAGACGTCTGCAGTCCCGTGCTTTGCAGCAGTATTCACAATATGACATGGACCTAAGGGCCCTTCAAAGTGTAGCAGTGGAACAGCAAAAGAACTAACATAACTCACTCCATTTTTGTTTAAGGGGTCTTTACCCATTCCTGTGCATAGGATAGGATAATCTTAGAGCACTGAGGTAACAGGCAAAACCAGGAATCATGTGGTTTTTAAAACTAACCTGGGGTTAAAGAAGACGTATGTAAACAACTGACCACGTTTTGTTAATGATTTATAGAAGCAAAGACTGTCCTGACCAAGGACAAAGGAGTTCCCACCCTCCTCAGAACCTTGCTGGCACCCCGAAATGTCTGAGGTCATCGGTCATATCTTGATCCCAGCCCCCTTCTCTTCTCCCCGCCCCCCCTACCCTTAACATAAGAGCCTAAAATTTGGGTTTGTTTTCTTTTTTTTTTTTTTTGAGACGGAGTCTTGCTCTGTCGCCCAGGCTGGAGTGCAGTGGCGCCATCTCGGCTCACTGCAAGCACTGCCTCCCGGGTTCACGCCATTCTCCTGCCTCAGCCTCCCAAGTAGCTGGGCCTACAGGCGCCCTCCATCGCACCCGGCTAATTTTTTGTATTTTTAGTAGAGACGGGTTTCACCATGTTAGCCAGGATGGTCTTGATCTCCTGACCTCCTGATCCGCCCGCCTCGGCCTCCCAAAGTGCTGGGATTACAGGCATGAGCCACCACACCCGGCCCCTCTGTCCTTTCTTTCTAGGTCACATCTACTCTGACCCTCTTGCCTCCCTCTTACAAAGACCCTGGTGATTGGATTGGGCCCACGTGAAGAATCCAGTATAACCTCCCCATCCCAAAATCCATAACTCAATCACATTTGCAAAATCTCTTTTGCCATGTAAAATAACATAGACACAGGTTCTGGGAATTAAGAAGTGAACATCTTTGGTGGAGAGAGAGGGTCATTATTCTGCCTTCCACACTCACTAACAATGGGTAAAAAGTCACTAAACACATGCTCTTCCCGTTTCTAGGGAGCTTTGGCATCTTCAAAGCCAATTTGGAAGAAAGGTGCTGTGCATCCCCAGAACCTGCCCACCCTGAAGGCAGCAGACCTGGCTACCAGCCTGGCTCTGCCCTCAGCAGATGTATCATCCCCTGCTCCTGTGAGCTGAAGTTCAGAAATCAGCATTTCCAAGGTCTGGGAGGATGCATGTGATAAAATACATAAGGTGCTTCCTGGAGCTGAATAAGTACCAGGATTTAAAAGAGTGAGGACAGATCATCAATACATTTCCAAAAAAAAAGGAAAGATGAAAATGGAATACAAGCTGCCATTTGAAAAGATATCGGTAAAAGGAATGGTCTGAAACAGAATGGTAACTGTGAGAACAGGCAGCACCCAAACACCTATTTAGTTCCGTTTTGTCCCTGAGTAAACTAAGAGTGAAACAAGATCTGAGAATCCTAACAACTCTGATCACTGCCATGGTCTGGGTCCTATAGAATTGGCACGTGGCAAGGGTTCTACCTGCCAGGAAAGTCTGTTAGAGAATCATCCCACGGCACTGACTGTACCACCCTTGGTGTTTGGAGCTTGGGACTCTTGATTTCACAGGACATTCTCGAGGAGGAATCCAGCCCAGGGGGTAAGAGGCAGAAGGGTGGATCCACAGGCTCCTGCTCCCGCCACCCCAGGTTTGCCTGAGGATGAGCCCTGTGGGGAGGAGTGCAACTTGTTGCCTGCTTGGCATCAACAGTGAAGCCCACAGGAGGCAGCCGCTGTCAGGCAGCCCTGGGAGCAGGAAGGAGTCTATGTAGAGCCAGGATCTTTGCAGGGGCTGGGCCTGGACAAACTGCAAAGGCCTGAGCAGAGGGATCAGAGCCCAGAGTGGCCGTGGGAGGCATCTGGTGCAGGGGGTATCAGGGCCGGCTGTGGTTGCACCTCCCAATTCTGTCTCAGAGCACCCCAGGCACCTCACCTCTCATTCCATGTCTGTCTGTCTGTCTGTGTCTGTCTCTCTCTCTCTCAATAAAGCTCTAACTATTTGTCTCCCTGCTCCCTGACTTTGTGCCTACCCAACTGTGCTCTATTTCCACAGAGCAGTGCTATGACCTGGGTGTTTGTGTCCCCCCCAAATTCATACATTGAAATCTATCTCCCAAAGTGATTATTTTAGAAGAAGGAAGGGCCTTTGGGAGCTCTCACAAATGGGATCTGCACTCTTATGAAAGAGGCCCCTGAGAGCGGCCTTGTCCTTTCCACCATGTGAGGTTAGAGTGAGAAAACGGCCACCTATAAACCAGGAGGTGGGCCCTCATCACGCACTGAATCTGCCAGCACCTTGATCTTGCACTTCCCTGCTTCCAAAACTGTGAGAGATGAGTTTCTGTTGTGTATAAGATACCCCATTTGTAGTATGTTGTTACTGCAGCCCAAAAGACTAAGACAAGCAACCACAGAGAAGATCCATACAAACTAGAAAATGCAACTCCCTTAACTAAACAACACAGTAGCGTACTCAGAAGAACAGGCGAGAACCCTCCTGTGTGACATGCTCCATCTGACGGCATCTCTCCCCTGCGCCTTCTCGAGAGTCCCTGGCCTCTCCCTGGCCCTGCCTCCCTCCCTCTGGAAACCTCGCAGCCTGGTTCTTTCCTCCCCAGCCTGCATCCCCACCTGGCATATCTCCAGGGGCGCCTGTTAGTGTGTGGAGCCGCTGAAGGCCAGGGACCTGCATTGTCGCCAGTGCATTCCAGGGCTGGGTTTCTGCAGCTATTTGAAGAATCCAAAAACTACAGAAAAACAAGTTCTCCAAAGAAACTCAGAGACTCTTCAAAGCAAGGTTATTATAGTCAGTAATTTGGACAATTAATTTCAAGCATGAGATCAGGTCACTTCTTTCGTTATGGGGAAGAAATGTCAATTGGAAAGCGACATAACCTCTGAGGATGACTCTATTTAAACCAGGAAATTTAAAATATCACCAGCCAGTCATTCATTCCTCTCCTTAATGTGAAATTGAGCTACTGCGAGAAGCTGAAAATAAAGGAACCAAAACTCAGCTCATGGTAAAATGGAAATTATTCCTTCCCATTCCATTATATTGCAAAAGACAACCCGGCTGGCACAGTGGCAGATGAAGGCCTGAGCCCCCGACTTGCCAGGGAGATCAAGAAGAGAATTCTGCCTTTTCCATCGAGGGAAGCTCCTGCGGAATGGGAAAGGGCTGTGGGCGCCTGAACTCTCAGAGCCTGATGCAGCCGCTCTGCCCCTGTGTCCAGCTTCCCAGAGGATGCTTAAGCCAGAGGGAGGCTCTTGCCTTTAAAATGCATTTCATAACTTACAGTAGAAGGCATCAATACTCCCAGGGACAGGAAACCCTCAGGTGAATTTCCCCAGGTGGGGAGTTCTCCTGTGGCAGTCAGATTCTCAAAGCCATAAGGAGACAAATGGGCCAGCTGAGTGGACAGCTTGGGGAGGGAAGAGCAAGCAGCCTCCACGCTAAGGCAGAAGGAGAGGGGACAGGAAAGGGGTGGCAGCCACCATGACCCTGCAATCCAGCCTCAGGCCCCTCCCAGCATCCCAGGGCTGGGGTGTGGAGCTGCTCTGGCCATTCTTGCATGAGTCAATCCATTCCCTAAACACCCAAACCCTCCCATGTGAAAAAGATGGGCCTATGATTTGATGCGTCCAGCCTTTGCGGTGCCTTCTTAGGGAGTCCCTTCCTGAGAGACAGACACACACTCCAGCAGTGGGTCCAGCAGCCCGGTGACTACATGAGTGACACCCAGAACTGTTCCGTGTTCGTTCTGTGAGCCTGCCATAGGCAGCATCGATTCGGCGTGGTGTCTAAACGTGCAAGGCGCAGCCCGGAGCAGTGACCTCAAAACCATCTGAGACCTGGGCTGGTGTCGGGGCCAAGGCTCTTTTTTGGTCAAAGCAAATGGACCTCAAGTAAGCTGTCACAGCCCTTGAAGACACATGGCCAGATTACAACAAAGCCGGTGTTGGAGACTAACAAATGGATTACAGTTTAGAATTTTAAATCACTAGACAGTGTGCTGTGCAATTATTTATAACAAAATCCTCCAGACACGGACCTTTTGGATCCTGAGTTTCTTTATCCATAAGATGATGAGGTTGAATTATCTCAGAAATCTCTTCCAGATACAATATTCTGCCTGGGGTCAGACCTGCAGGTGGGAGGTGCCCTCTCTCACTAAGTCAAATTCCCAGCCAAAAGGGAAGTCGGCCCCAGGAGGCCCCACAGATGTCTTCAATTTCTGCTGTAATTCAGAAACCTGAGGTTTAAGGAAGCTGTAGAAATTCCTCAGAGGACCAGCGGGTTTAACAGACGGCGCTAGTATCCCCTGGCTGGGGTGGGGCGGATGCATCATGTTCTGACCGACCTGGACAATCTGGTCTCCTCTATGCTGAGCCTTGAACCTTCACAGGACATTGTGTGGCTCCTGGCATGGCATCCACACAGCCACCCACATACAGGACGTCCTGCTTAGAGATGGGGAGGTAGTGCTGACACAGAAGGACTGCCCAGCCTGGGGTCTGGGAGCAGGGGAGGACCTCGGGAGCCAGACACCGGGGGCCAGTTCTGACTGCAACTCCTCGGACAGGGCATCATGGACACAGAGGGACACATCGGTGAGAAGGAGGGCTGGTGAGGAGGCCAGGCCAGCCCACGGCCACCCCCCGTCTCTCAGGCATCATCCTTATGTCCCCCGATTTCACAAACAATCACCCTCGTGTCCCCCGATTTCACAAAAAGCTGAGTCAGGCACTAGGGAGGGTGAGGGAGATGTCAAGTCTCATTTTAACAAATAATGACAGATCCCCTCAGGGCCATCTTTTTCCAGCGGGCACATCTGCACTGAATCTGCATGCATCATTTCAGCCCCCAGGGCCCAGCAGGTAAGTCCCCGCAGGCTCACAGGGCTCTTACTGCACAGCTATGCTGAGGAGCCACATCTGACTGTGGCAAGGACGCAGGCCCGGGCTATCAGAGGCGGCAGAGGCAGAGACAGGGGGTAGGACCCAGCAGAGAAAGCCTCCAGCCCCCTCTGTCCTGGCTTTGTTTTCCATCTGAACCCTGCGTGCCCTCAGGTGAACCTGCATTTCCCCCTACAGAACCAACTCTACTTGTGCACTGTGTAGACATAAAGGCTACACAGTTACTTTTTTTAGAAGAAAATAAACCAAAACCTCACCCAAATGCTTGCATTGTGAAGAAAAGCCCATTCAAATGAACTTAGGGTGCACTACATAATATTTAATATTTGATTAGGATTTCTTTAAAATGCACTGTAATTCATCTGTAGATTTCAAGTCAAAATGGTACTACTTATATGTATGAAGAATACACTTTGTAAATAAAATGGCCAATGAAATAAAACAAAAATGCAAATACGTGTGTCCAAGGGAGATTGGACTCTCCATGTATTCTACACTGTCCAAGTTTCCTGGGCTCCCTTTGCGTCTCTGAGCAGAAGATATCTGAAGGAGTGTTTCCCTTCTTCCAACCTGTCTGGGAAAAGCCTGGCTGACCGTCACCTTGGAAATCAGGTGTCTGTTGCTTGGGATCTGTTGTGAAGGAAGGATCTGGAAGCAGAAGCTGAAATGAAACAGGCACCGCTGAGGACAAGAGAGGCAGGAACTAAGTTCAAGACCTCACAGCAGAGGAAATCTGGGCCGAGGAAAGACATTCTCTCTTAGGGGAACTTTCGAAAACAGCCAAGCAGAATCAGAACAACAAGGTTGACCTTCCCAGTCACTAGTCCACGGATAATAGAATGAGCCAGGCAGCAGGCGTGGCAGTCGATTCACGTCAGAGCTATCAGCGTGGGAAAATCAGTGGTGTGTTCTCTGCGACCTGCAAGTGTGGACTGCACTGTGATGGCGAGCAGTTTGTAAAGTGTGGCTGAAGATCCAGTTCTCCCTGGGCCTCCTGAAGGCAAGACAGGGAGGAAGGAACAACACAGAGAAGCGCTGCACCCAGCGGGTGCTGCCCAGGAGGAGCAGCTGCCGTCCACGTCCTCTCCTTGCCACCCTGGTGGCCTCAGCCTCTGCACTCTTCCCACCTCCGACTTAATTGACTAAGAAAATGTGTGAGATATTTAACTCTTGTCACGGGCACTGTCTAAAGTAGTGCTTCCTGAGGCTAGTCGCGGTGGCTCACGCCTGTGATCCCAGCACTTTGGGAGGCCAAGGTGGGCGGATCACTTGAGGTCAGGAGTTCGGGACTAGCCTGGCCAACATGGTGAAACCCCGTCTCTACTAGAAATACAAAAATTAGCTGGGCATGGTGGCACACGACTATAATCTCAGCTACTAGGGAGGCTGAGGCAGGAGAATCGCTTGAGCCCAGGAGGCAGAGGTTGCAGTGAGCCAAGATCGCACCACTCCAGCCTGGACAACAGAGGGAGACTCCTTTTCAAAAAAAAGCAGCGCTTCCTGCAAGGCTAGAAATGTGCACATAAAACACATGACTGGTTAGCACTTGGAATGCAGCCAGTGCTGCTGAGGAAGTGAATGCTTGACTTTATTTACCTTTAACTTGATTAAATGTAAGCAGCCTCCTGTGACTAGCATGTGGCGCTGGACAGCATGGGTCTGGAGGTGATCAGAGCTTACTCTCCAGGTAGCAGGGAGGAGCTTTCAAGGGAGGAGCTGATGGTGCTCCTCTAGGGGTTTCGGTGAGGGGAGTGTGGCAGGTGCACAGGCATCACAGTTCCTGAACTCACACGTGGCTGGCCAGTCCAGCAGAGGCGACAGAGCACCTGGTGGGGGCTGGTGAGGGGGCTTTGGAGAGGAGGGAAAAGAACAGACAGGAGGATGGAGGACACACAGACGCAATGCTGACATTCCCCTCCCACCTGTGCGTGCTGACTCAGCCCCACCCCATAGACTTCAGTGCCTTCTCCAGGCTGCCCTGAACTGAGGCTGCCAGCTCTTTCCTGCCCCTGCACACCCAACCCACTCCACCTCCACACATTATGATAATGTAATTATCTTAATGCACCTAATTGAATTATGAAGAAACTTCCTTCTGGATGTAGCTAAGTGAAGTATCATTGATTTCTTTTTGCCATTCCTCCCCCACGGTGTCTGGTAAAAGGTTTTGCAGCTTGGGTTGAAGGAATTGGAATGATTTTCATAAGGTGATATCTTTTTAAATCACATTCTCTCTTTAATACATTTACTCACTCATCCCTTCTGCATGGCTGAACTCACACTCTGTCACACTGTTGAGGGGCTCAGGGCACAGCAGGTCCTACTTAATTCAACCAGGGGCCAAGAAAACAAGAAAAGCTACAGTGCATCCAGTGGTGAGCACAGAACCTTATGAAGCAGATGTCGTAACCGGGGGCAGCTGCCCATCTGGCTGCGACAGTACTCTGAAAATTTAAGAAGGTACTTTATCTGTCATTGATAAAACAGAGATGGTCTCATTTGGGACTCAGGGGTCATGCTGCTCTGCAAGGCCCAGGTGAGGTGGGGGCCCCCGACCTGGAAGGGCACGCAGCCGGGATTGCGGAGGAAATCTGGGGGCTTCTGGGATGCATGTGAGGAACAGGGGATGTGCCCAGCCCCGCGGTTTCATGCCAGCTGTCATCTGGTTTTGGTCCTTGGCCTGTTCCTGGCCACGCGGAGGAGCAGCCTCCCCGGAGCGCCACGCACTCCCAGGGTATCTGGGTGGCCGGGACGCAGCTTCCAGCATCGCTCACCACCTCCCGCAGCCGCATCACCTGAGTCCAGTCACTTCAACAGCCCACATCACCCAGGTCGCGTGTTGAATATTCCTTTGTATGCATTGTCGCTAGTTATTCCGACCATTTGACTAAACTCTGTGTCCTTTCTCCTCGGGGCAAACAGTGGGTCTCCCTTGCTTGACATCCGCCCAGGGCAGGGCCTGTCTCGGGGTCCTCAGCCTCCGGGGCCAGTCGCCGATGGCTTCGCGTTAAAAGAATCCCCCGTTCATGGTACAGCCCCAGGTGACAGCTTCCACAGCCCCTGCCCTCTTCAAGAGCCACAGCAGCTTCTCTCTGTCTCTCTCTCTCTCTCTCTCTCTCTCTCTCTCTGTGTGTGTGTGTGTGTGTGTGTGTGTGTGTGTGTGTTTTCCTTCTCACCTAAAACTCTTCCATTTTTAGGTCATTGCTGGGATCATGAAAACTTTACAGATCACTGATTTGAATATTTTAAGGCATTCTTAGTACCAAGAAGGTGACAAGACCCACATGCTAGACCTCTGTGGGCAGTACAGGGCAGGTACACAGGCTGACAGAGCATTTAACTTCTGCCAATATGGGATGTTGGAAAATACTTATATTTTGTGTCTGAGATGCGTGTGCTGTGTCCTGGAATTTTACTGTAGTTCTTTGCCTGGCCTTTTTATACCAGTGGCTGAGTAATAAGTAATCCAATCATTGTACATGGTATACTCAGCTCTGACCATGTAGCCACAGGACTAGTGGGAGGCCAGAGGTCAACAGAGGCAGACAGCCCTGTGGACCCATCAGCCACACTGGAAACAAACAAGTGGCTGTGAGCCCTAGGAACAGGGATCTACCAAAATGGGGTTATCAGAGAAGCCCCTTCCAGGGCACCTGCTCCTAGGAGGGCGCGAGGTCCTTTTGAAAGCAGTGAGATTAAAACAGAATCTAGAGCAGCACTTCCACGTGTGAAAGAAACTGCAGGCAAGACAGGCCACCAGTCCAGAGGACCACACAGCCACAATAAGAGTTAGAAAATAAGGAGGTGGAAACTCCTTGGCCAATTATCTGAAGAAGTGTTCTGTAGAGTTAATGGGAGGAAAAATAAGTAGAAACACAGACAGTGACAGTGGAGTCACTCCTGTCTCTACCTTCTCTCTGCATGTCTGGTATTGGACATCTACTTATGTGTAGTCATGCGTTATGGTTTGGCTCTGTGTCCCCACCCAAATCTCATCTTCAATTGTGGCTCCCATAATTCCCATGTGTTGTGAAAGGGACCCAGTGGGAGATAATTGAATCATGGGGGCAGTTTCCCCCATACTGTTCTCATGGTAGTGAATAAGTCTCATGAGATCTGATGGTTTGATAAGGGGAATCTTGTTTTACTTTGCTCTCATTCTCTCTCTTGCTGCCACCATGTGAAATGTGCCTTTCACCCTCTGCCATGATTGTGAGGCCTCCCCAGCCATGTGAGACCGTAATTCCAATAAACCTCTTTCTTTTTTAATTTGCCTAGTCTCCAGTACGTCTTTACCAGCAGCGTGAAAACGGACTAATACACCATGTTACAGCAGTGAGGGCTCCTTTCTATCTCTTAAAATACACAGCCTTTCCTTTCCTGGTAGAGTTGGGGTAGAATTTTGAGAAGATCTCTCAGAATAAGCATGCCATTCAGGGGTGTTCTGCATCAGATGGCATCTAGAAATGTTACAGAGGACAGTGTGGCTGCAGCCACACCAGGTCAGGTCTAGGAAACAGATGACTGTTCTTGGAGGCACCAGGAGAGAAAATGTGGTCAAGCAAGGCCACCTGAGAGGGGCTTTGCAGAGCTGGGGCTGGAAGAGAGTGGCAGGAGCACTAAGCCCGAGGGTTAGAGGGGCAAGGACTCACAAGGAGAAGAGTCTCTATGAGGGGGTTTTAAAGATGAGTGGGCAAGGCAGGGTGGCTCATGCCTATAATCTCAGCACTTTGGGAGGCCAAAGTGGGAGGACTGCTTGAGGCCAGGAGTTTGAGACCAGCCTGGGGAACATAGTGAGATACCATCTCTACATACAAATTTAAAAATTAGCTCAGCATGGTGGTGCACACCTGCAGTCCCAGTTACTCGGGAAGCTGAGAAAGGAGAATTGCTTGCACCCAGATTGTGCCACTGCACTTCAGCCTGGGTGAAAGAGAGGAACCCTGTTTATAAAAATAAAAAGATAGGAGTATGTACATGTGTACATTTATTCAAATATGAACACACATGCAACACACGCAATCATCAAGCACAAGAAACATTTGCAAATCACAACGCTACTTAACGTGTTCTTCCATTCAGGTCACACTGTTTTTGTTATGGTGCTGCCTTTCAATATTTATACAAACAGGAGAAATTTTCTTCCATGGCAGGTCCTCGCAAGTTACTGCTTGATAATCAGATCATGATAACCACAATATTTATCCAAATAGGTCTGTGGTTATTTTAATTCAAGGCAACTACTGATGCTAGATTAGAAATCCTAGTGTTAGGAGCCAGAGTTATCCCTTAACTATAACATTTGCCCAAATTTGATATTACTTAAAGCCAACATAAAAAAAAATTTAAGCTAAGAAAGGTTTTCTGGGTACTTTCCTTAAAAGAAAAGTTTTGTAGATAATGTTTTATGTTATGTCTTATACATTCGTAACAAAATGATACGTAACCTTTAGAGAATGAAAACCACCTTATACTAGACCTATCTATTTATCTTTGCACATTGCTTCCATTTGGAAATGGAATAAGTATATATGTAGAAAGTAATTATTCATAAAAAGACCACATGATTCAGCAACATTCTCCCTTCTAGTCCAACTTGTTTCCTCCATGTAAAGAATATACCATATTGTCTTGGGATTAAAAGTTTCCTAAATATATTTACATTTATATATTTATTTTATTTTAAAAAGAAAGAGAGAAAGAGACTGCATCCACATGTCATCAGGTTCCTGGAGATCGAATATGGTTTGGATATCTGCCTCCTCCAAATCTCATGTTGAAATATGATCCGCAGTGTTGGAGACGAGGCCTGGCGGGAGGTGTTTGGGTCGTGGGGCAGATCCCTCATGAGTGCCTGGCAGTGATGAGTCCACGTGGCAGCTGGCTGTTTAAAAGAGCATGGCGTCTCTCTTGCTCCCTTTCTTGCCATGAGATTCATCTGCTCCCCCTTCACCTCTACCAAGATTAAGTGCTTCCTGAGGTCCTGACCAGAAGCAGATGCTGGTGTCGCCCTTGTACAACCTACAGAACCGTGAGCCAAATAAACCTGTTTTCCTTTTTGTTTCTGTTTTTGTTTTTGAGATGGAGTCTCGCACTGTCACCCAGGCTGGAGTGCACTGCAACCTCCGCCTCCCAGGTTCAAGCGATTCTCCTGCCTCAGCCTCCCGAGTAGCTGGGATTACAGGCACCAGCCACCATGCCCAGCTAATTTTTTGTGGTTTTAGTAGAGACAGGGTTTCACCATGTTGGCCAGGCTGGTTTCGAACTCCTGACGTTGTAATTCACCTGCCTCAGCCTCCCAAAGTGCTGGGATTACAGGTGTGAGCCACCATGCCCAGCCTATTTTCTTTATACATTATCCAGTCTCAGGTATTCCTTAATAGCAGTGCAAAACAGACTAACACAATATCCAACACATATTTTGGCTGATTTTTGAAGACAGATTTTAGCAAAATCTAATTTTTAGCTAAATGATTCTCAATAATTTCAACAACTCAATATATTTGCTCTCATATAACTCATACCATTTATCTAAAATTAATTAAGTACTAGACATTCATGTTACAACTTTTATCAGTCTTATTTCATCAAATCCACACTGCCCTATGAGGTCTTTTGTAAGTGAGAAAGCAGGCCCCTTGAAAAATCTGGTGTTTCCAAACGGCTGGGTTGTTTCACCAGCTTTTTCAGTCACTCACTCTGCCTGGCACCTGCTACCTGCCCAGAATCGTCACCTTCCAAGGCCTGGCTATGCCTCACCTCCCCTTCTCCCACACCGCAGCAGAGGAGGGCAGTTCTCCTCTGTGGGACTGGGCTCCATCAGTCAAAGCAATGCATCCCTGTATGACATCCCACAGGACTAAGGAGGAGGGTCCAGCACTATCACCTCATCCACACGACCCGTGAGATGTCTGCAGAAGGCAGAAACCCCCACAAACTTTCACTCACTTCTTCAGGAGCAAGGAGCCCGTGGAAATTTTTAAAAACCTACACCAGCCATGACCACCCCATACACACTGTTGCTAAATTTTAAAAATGAAATTTTAATTTTCAAAACAAATAATTTAAAAAGAAAAATAACCCTCCTTTAAAAGAAAAAAATTAAGGAAATAATTTTATGTAAATATTTTAATTTAATTTAATTAATTTTGAGACAGGGTCTCACTCAGGTGCCAGACTGGAGGGCAGTGGCACAATCACAGCTCACTGTAGCCTCAAACTCCTGGGCTCAAGCGATCCTCCCACCTCAGCCTCCTGAGTAGCTGGGACTACAGGAACACGCCACAACCACAATGCCCAGCTAAGATTTAAATATTTATTTAAAAGGGATTTTTATTCAAATGATATTGTAATTCAAAAATACTGCAGATATTCAATACACATGTGCAGCAAGTTAAACAAGCATCAAATGCAGTAAACGCAACAGACCTATCTAGGTTGAAGCCATGTTACATGATGGGGCATGATATGTTCTCTGTTAGCTAAGCGCTGTGTGGTTCTGAAGATGTCCTGAACCTCAGCACCTCCTGGGGGAGATGCTCCCAGCATGCTCACCAGGCAAGGCTCTGTTGCCTTTTTACCCCTTCTTTGCAGTAAGTCTCCTGGGACCTCTGCCCTCTGCCCATCCTCGCCCATACCTTGCTATGGTGCTGACTCTGTGGGCGGTTAATAGACCTGTTAACATATTTCATTCCATATGTAAACCACAACTCCCACAGCTCAGTGAGCACCTCTCTTTCATTTTCATTTTCCAAGCCCTGGTACACAGCCTAGCCTCATGATGCTTAAAAAAGATGGTTGGTGGATAGGAGAAGCTATATTTTCAACCTTACCTCTTAAATGTCTTCACATCCATATGCTCTTCATCTCCAAGCAGGCTAAGAGATGATGTCTTCTACTCCCTCTAAATCTTTCCACAGTGACCAGGAACCAGTATTTGCACACCCTATACTTAGTAAATATTTTAAATGCTTTTCTACTTTCCTTAACCCCATGGATCAATTTCAGATTAAGCAAAGCCAAAACAAATAAACAAGTAGAAACAACAAATAAACACTGAGTGCGTAAAGTTGAAAAAAACTTCCATTTACTGGAAAAACCATGATTGGGGTCCTTTTTCTTAAAATTTTCTGCCATGCATTTTAAGAAGATGCATTTTAAGGCCCTTTAAACCTTATTAGTATTAACTGATGTTGAATTGGTATTAACAAAATGAATATGCAAATAGACAATGGCCAAACCATATAGAAAGACAGAACTCTGAGCAACAACGTTTGCAGCAACCAGCCCAGGAGGCAAAACCACAAACTCTGCAAACAGTCAGCCCAAAATATTCTCAACTTGGTCAATAACTGCCAGCTTCCATCATTTTTGCATTTGCTTCCAATTTAAGAACAACCCCAGGAAGCCAAATATGCCCCCTAACCAATCCCACGGGAATGCCCTCTTCCGTTTGCCTCCAGCGTCCCCTGCAAGCAGGGTATACCTGAAGCATGATGTGTTCAGGTGTGCCTGAAGATATGCCTTCTTTCTTCCCCATCCCCTGCCTACATTTGAGTCTCTGCCAAATGCAAGTGAGATTGGCTGACCCCTTGATACAGCAAGTTCCCAATCAAACATAACATTTGCTTGTTTTCTTTCGGGTGTTATTTTCACAGCGTTCACGATGGTAACATTAGAGTGTCTTCCTTCTTGCATCTACATGGAAAACACACACCCTGCCTCTTACCTAGCATTTTATTTTTCTAGTGATTATAAGAAGGGGGTTGTATTATGAGTGTTCTTTATCACTAGAGGCAGAAGATATTTGTGAAGTTGACCTGATTGGCTACTGAAGTCTGTAACTCCTATCAGAGATCAAAACGCTACGGGTCGTAATCATCTATGGTGACTCTGACCATACACCCCACCTTGGATTTATGCAGCTGCACTGTCTCTTACTAATGGATGTTGAGGAAAAATCCGAACATAGTCACAAATAAATTAAATATGTCCTAAGAGCTTCAATTCATTCATTGATTCTTTCAATTAATATTTATAACCCAACCAATATTTATGTGCCAATCTCTCTGAGAGACATGAAGAAATGGCTCTATTTTAAGTGTTTAGAATAATCTCATAGTTAACAAACAGCAAATTACCCCAAATTAAATATTTGTCACCTATGCATTCTTCTGTTGAGACTCTTTCTCCACTCTTTAGCAAATGCTGGCCCGAACTGCACTATTCTTCATCCTACTCTGTCAAATCAAGACTTAACACATACCTACTCTCAGTTTCAACTGAATAGAACGTAAATTGAGCATGGGTTTGATAAATACATTGGATTCTAGAAGTAACTTTGTTCTGATTGGGAAGTATTAGCAATGAATTCTTTCAGAGGAAATGAGATGTCAAGCTCATTTTTTAAAAATATCAAAGTAATATGAGTAACTTTTAATTTCTATGTAAATTAGGGACCACTCAGGCAAGACCTCACTGGATTGTCCCTAGTTAATTAATAATTTGGTTAGAGACAACCTGTCTTAATCACATATACTCAAAGATTTTAAAAATAACTATTCTGTGCCCAGAGCAACTAAACTAATGTCACAGCATGGTAGAGACACCTGGTTGCCTCTCATTAACCCCTGAATCCTTATAAGGGAACTCTTATAAAACATGTCCAGCTTAGAGAACAGAATCTCCCAGCCACCTCTGCAGCTTGGTGCAGCCACACATCTGAGCTGTTGCTAAAAAGATTGCTTACTGTATAGCATTTCTGTGAGTCATTCTCACACCCTTCCTCATTCCTGCTGTTTGAAATGCTGGTGCAGCAGTTGGGCCAGGCAAACCAGGCATCTCGTGCTGGAGGATGGAAGCAATTCGGGACACAGCAGAGCTCTGAGGGAGAAACCTGGGTTCCAGTGGTTTTAATGAAGCTGTCATATCAGCTGAACATCCTCTGGAAGAATAACCACTTGTATGGTTAAGCCACTGATATTCAGTCTCTGTTACTATTTGTCAAATTCAATTCTTAACTTATATACAGAATTCACATACAGTAATATTGAATCTAGTTTTAACTCTTGTCAAAAGTGAACCTTTTATGAGAAAAACTAAAAGAACACAAAGTCAATAATGTCATATGACAGTGAAAGAGACATAGCGTGAGAAGAAATCTGGCTCACCTGAATTATTCACCTTGGAAAAGACAGATGTTCAATTTAATTATAGGATGTTTGTGGACTACTAACTATGCACTAGAATAGCGGCTGATGTGTGTCAGAAATTAAATAGTGCATGAAAGAGAAACATTTAAATGGAAAGTGAATTTTTAGATGCAGCATCCAAACAGTCTTAATGACAACACAGTCCTGTCACTGAATGCCTGGTTTGCATGCTAAATGTGAGCGTGTGCTGAAAACCTGTTGCTCCAGGAAGTGTGACATTCACCACCACACAAATAGCATACTTCCTAGAAAGGAGTCACACTCTTTTACCCAAAATAAGGATGGAAATAAGGCCATTGCTGCTGTAAGTCCTTTACTGGTTTGTATAACAGTTCTAGAAACTGTTGCCCAATGTCTAAACTTGGTCAATTAAAAAGGTAAGAATACAGGAGGAAACAAAGAAAATAATGCTGCCACTAACTTTTACTCCATGGAGAGATACAGGTTTCCCATTCCCTCACACTCACACTGACACAAACACCTCATGACCAATGACCTGTTGTGACCTCGGGTACCATATAGTATGTGAAAATCTGTTGACCTTGAAAAGACTTTAGAAGACATAATTCATAGTTGCCTCTTCAGGAAGATCTAATCCAATCATTTTTACTGTGTGTTAAAACACTTATTGTCACAACCTTTCCTATGGATGCTTGAGATAATCTGGAATTATCTAAGAGGTTGTTGAGGGTGGCAGGAAGGGAGGCATGGGTTGATGGAGATGGTAGGGCTTTATCTTGTTTCAACTTCAGTAAGAACATTTCCATTTTTATCAGGATTCCATATGAAATGTGAAATTTTATTTGAGAAGAAGATTCAGGGTCTAAAATAAATGAATTAAAAACAAACATCATGATCCTGGGGACACACAATGGTATCAACTGATCACGTTCAGTTAAGTGTTGAAACCTGCATTTCACACATTATTTTATCATAATAATAGAAAATACACTTAAGTCTCTGTGAAAAGTTATTGATCAGATCTAAACGAAAAAATGTTAAAGTCAGGGTTCTATCTGAAAAGTATCCAGTATCTAAGCTTAGACTCCTATTAATGCATTTAAACAGCTGCTTTGTTGTTCTTTGTGGATAAAATTAAGTTATAATTCCCTGTTATATTTTAACATTAGGAAAAATGTAATAAATATTGTAAATGATTTATTTTGGTAATTCAAAGGAAAGCAAAATCATTTCATTGTTCTTATGCACATTTAATGAAATGGTATGAGACTTATAACATATTAACTAATTGTGATGTAACTTCCCCAAATCATGTAATCAACAACTTGGATGGAGTCGTCATTTGCAGAAATCGATATGATGCCTCACTGAGTCGGCAAGCAAGGCTCCTACCTTCTCTAACTGGTCTTCTTAGCCTCCAGCACTGTGGACTAGCTCCCACCTCCAGGGTTCTGAGCGCTCACGTGTGTACCCCAACTCTGCCCTTTGCTCTCAGGACCACACCTGCTGCTTTCACTATAGCAAGATAATGAGCTGAGTCTAGTTCATTTTTTAAAATTATAGAATGATCTTAACAACATTGAGGGGGCCTCAGAAAGAGAGTCACGATGATCATTTAATAGAGCAAGTGAGAGATCCCAGTGGGTTTGTCTAGGCTGCCATACTGAAGTTTAAAATTCAGGGAAATTACTAAGTAATTGATGACACTAATTAATTAGGCATTTTCATAAATGTTTTAAAGCATCAGTACTAAATGACTGAATTTAACATCCGCTGCATAACCAATCATTACTAGTATTATAATAAGGATATGGTAATTTATCATAATACAATTAGCTGGAGGTCCAAGCATATAAATTAGTACTGGTTTATAATGTGAAGAGATCTTAGATAACTGCTGTGAAAGCTTAAGGCAATGACAATTCTTATATTAGAGGAATTTATAAATGGCTGTCGACTATCATTTACTTTTTAGGATAACTGAGAATACATTTTTAGAAAAATGGCAGAAACCAATATATTTAAGCAGATGGGAAAATTTTTCATCCTTTAGACCTAAATACATCTTGATACAACTTGGGAAAAATTTTTATCAATAACATACATAATTTCTGAAGCATCTCATGAACACTTAATAGATGTTTATTATTTAAACCAATGCTCTAAATTTCATATTAGAAAAATAAATATTTAAAATTAGCCTAACAAATTCAGGCACATCTTTGTGTTTAAAAGTATATACATGTTCAGAGGTACAAGGCTAGAAAATGCAAAGATAATCCTAAGCTTTATAAAGACTTTTACTACTAAAGAGCTTATGCTTTCTTTGAAAGAATCAATATTTAGCGAATATTCTTCTGTGATTGTCAGAATCAAAATAGAATCACTAATGTTGAGAAAACCTTGACAAACAGAGCAAGGGAAGGCCACGAAGAGAGGGTTCTCACACTTGTATGCCTCATAACAAAAAAAGACTCCATACAAAACATAGCCTTGGACAAAGGCCATTGCAGCTTTAGACAAAAAAATACTTCTTCAAGGACATCTGCCAAGCAACTGCCTGTGTAAACCTCGGACTGGTGTCACCCTTTCCTTCATCTTCGTATCCAAAAGTGATTATTGCAAAATCAGTATGTAATCTTCCTCATTTTTTTCCTTTAAAAATCTTTGTCCTCCTTTTCCTCCCTGAACACACACCTAGTTTACTATGGCAAGCGTATTCCCATTGTAATGCTTCATTCCACATAAATGCCTTTTCTTTTAGAGAGACTCGCTCTGTTATTTAGGTTGACACTTCCGCATGCCAAATTTTGGTTTCTGTTTGTTTATTTTGTTTGTTGGGATACTAACAATCGTGACATATGTGGAAGCATCTGAAGCAATCCTAACCCTGGGTTAGTACAGCACAATAGCAACGTTGGCTGTTCTTTGGAAATTCAGATAAATTAAACTCATGTAAGTTACTGCTAACTCTAGGGAACTTTACTTTGCCTTGTCATAGAAAACAAACTCTTAAGTGACTGAAAAGTTCGAAAATATCCAACTCCTTTGCAACAAGAAAGAAAACGGGAATATATGCAGAATTAACAAGTAATAATTATTTAGTCAATTACATGTCACACACAGACCTAAGACATGTCTATACAACTTAGGCAAAGTTTGTATAGAAATTTGGGGGCTGTCATCCATCCCTTTCCCTCTTATTTTCCTCCTGTTACAGAATAGAGAAGGAGGGACACAGTACATAATTTAATAAGATTCTCATCCAGATCTATGTAACTCCACAATATCCTCCAGGGCCTCCCGCGGTGGCCTCCCTAATAATGTGAAATAGCTGCAGTGATGACGCACTGCGCCCCCGCGCGGCTCCCTCCAGCTAAGGCAGCCGTGGATGCTGGGCGTGGGGCAAGGCAGGCTGCTGGGCAAGTTTGCTCCTCTGGCCGGTGGGCGTTAGGGCCCACGGTCAGACAACACTGTCTCTCCCAACTGTATCCACTTAAACACATCAAACAACTGTAAGTTCAGTGACTGCTTCCTAGGGAAGCATACATTCCTCATCCTGACGTCTCATTTATCACATAACTGATAGGAAACAGAAATGAAAGAAAAAAAGAAGCAAGAATCTGCCACCGCTGCTGTCTGCGAGACACAGAATCTCAAGATGATCCCATCACACCAGGTCCAGTATGAACGACTAAACGCTTCAGCTTCCAAACGCTGAATGGAAACAAGGTCTAAATTAACTCTTCTTCTCACCTTCTCCTTCTTTCCTTCTTCCCAGACATAATAACAGTATTACAGCGTTCAAGAGGGCATGCAGAGTCTAAGCATAACAGGTGTAAATATAATTAAATTTACAGACACATATTATCCACTTAATCCTCATAGAGACCCTATAAATTTGGTGCTTCCTGCCTGGCTGTAAAGTCAGTTGAATGGGCCGTGGCATCCCAAGTCCCAATGAGCAAGGACACAAGCTGGGTGGGAAGAGGTGCCTCCCACAGCCAGACATTCTAACAAAGCTTTATGTTGTGGGTGCAGCTGGCAGGAAGTAACTTATTAAGCTGATTTGAAACCATGCACTGTTGCTTCTCTTTTGAAAATCACATCCAGTTTAATACATTACTTTGCACTTATTCTGTGACACCATTTGCTTCTTGTAGCCGTGGTCACCTTTCCTAACTTATCCCTGTCCCTGTGTGTCTTTTGAACCCATGGAGCTGTTTTCTGTTCCTCTCGGGGCAGGTCAAGGTCCTGCTGCCCGGCTGTTGGCGACTGCCGGCTGCTGGCGTGAGGTCCAGCTCAGCCTCTTCACAGCTCAGCATCCTGATCCTGCAGCCCAGGACTGGACACATTTCAAAAGTCTTGGAAAAACATGAAGGATGATTTCCCATCTGTTCTAGTTTGCATGACTCCAGAACAATTGGGTCATGTTTCTTTTAAAATCCATACTTACATATCTGACCTCTTTAAGTCCCTCTGTGTTCTAGGTCTTCACTCATACTGGTGTCCTGAAACTCTGCTCGTGGGTCAGCACTGGATTTAAATAACCCATTCTGTATCTCCTCTTCCAGAGAAGTGATAAATATGTCTGAAGGAGGCTCTCACCCTCACAGCCATTCTAGGCTTCATGTTCTCTTGAATTCTCTTCATTTGCACAGGTTATGAAATCAATTTGAAATGGCTGAATGATTCAGAGTGCGTCAAATGAGTGTCAACTGAAGAATCGCAAGGTCGATCCATTTGGAAAGGAGAGCTTTATTTCATACGGGTGGCCGTCCTGCAGGCTGGGAAGCATAACCTCCAGCACAAGCCCAGAGCAAGTCCTCCAAGGGAGGGGTAAAGGGAGCAGGAATGTCTGCTGAGTGGGGGGATGGATACGTATATTCAATAAGCTATTGGAGGAATCACGAATATTGATAAAACAAACACACGTGCAATTGCGCTTCATGCCTCTTCATGGGACCCATGTTAAAAAAATGGCAGTGTTCGCATGATCCGAGGATAGAGTTTTTGGCCCTCTGATGTCAAACGGTGAAGCAGAGGACAAGAAACCCTCACTGTGCATCCTCCCTAGGCTGGTCAGAGCCACTCTGTGGCTGGTGGTCTCTAATCAGGAACAGGTGTATTGTGAAACTGGTGGGCTGTCACGCTGAGGCTGTAAAGAGGGAGGCGGAGTCTGATCCTGGCCTCAGGTGACTGGCTAAGGGCGATAAAGGGATAAGTTGTTCATTTCTTGTTTTCCAGAGCTGGTTTCTGCTTCCTGCTTAGAGAGAATTCTGGTGAAAGGTTACTGAGGAAGGGTACACTGAGGCGTGTCCTACCTCCTGTCCTGTCATGGCCGGGAACTCAGTTTCTAAGGTTTCTCTCAGCCAACAGTGGGTCAGGGGGTCCATTCAGTGGGCTGGGGACCTTAGCATTTGATGCTTATTTCTCAGAAGCTCAGCTCTGCTCTTCAGTCTCCCTCCAGTGCTGTGCAAGTAGACCCTGGGAGACTGAGGGACTTCACTCATGTAGCGCTGAGCACATCAGAGTCTCCACAGGGATAAGCAGGCTTCCTCCTGAGATGCTTCCATGTACGCCGGACACGGTTTACAGAAAAGTGTTCTGGGTCTGTACCATGGATCTGATGGGGCTCAGGACACACCAGCCAAAAATATATATAACTAGGAGACCAGAATATGCTACCCCAAAATATGTCTCTCTCATATAAGGATTATTTTGAGCAACTGCAGACTCAGAAGAAGCTCTGCAAAGTGATCTTTTGTAGAGAACTTTACTTCTATCAAGAAAAACCATTAGTAAGGGTGTGTCCGTCTCTGCAGCAGGAAGAGGAGGAGGACTTTTCATCATCTTAATCACTAGAGACTCATCAGTGGAGAGGTCTGCAGAGCAAACCTCTGCATCTGTTTCTCGTTTTCCCAGCACTTTCCCAAGCCACCTTAACTGGATTTTTCCTCTACAATGTTCTTTGTTTCAGAGAACAATGGCATTTGAGCCTGGAGTCTAAGATATTTCTTTGAACTCTACCCTTGAGATCTGCTTTCATTTCTCTGGTTTATTGCCCATGTATACAGGAGGCATACGTGTCAATAAACTTCTGTTTGTTTTCTCTTATTAATCTGTCTTTGGTTACAGGCAGTCCCAGCTAAGAACTCATGAAGGATGGAGGAGAAAATTATGTTTCCTTCTTTAGGGATCCAAACCCAGCCCCAGGAAGGCAAAATTCCCACCCACACCTCAGCTTTCCACATGCCAGTTTTAAGAAATAAGTCTAAATTGAACGACGGTTTGTAAAGATAAGTACATAATCTCACAAACACAGTGAGCCATGTGGAGCAAATGATGGAGTCACTGAGAGATAACCCTGGCAATCTCCCCTGACCATCTAAGAAAGCCTGAGGATTTGCTGGGCTGTGGCGGTTCACCTGTGAACTAGGTTGACCTATGACCTCTAAATTCCTGTCTCTCAGAGGTGAACAAACCATCTTCTGTGCAGGGATAGGTATACTGACTACACCTTTTTCTGGTTTGGCGGACATTATGTTTTATTTCTTACAAAAAATGTGAAAAGAGTTTAAATTACAATTTCATTTTTTAACAAGCTTTTAAGACAAAACAAAATCTAGGACATCTGGAGATTCCAGTAGGAGCCTCTTTGAGTTACAACTAGATTCCTTAAGGGTATTAAGGCATTTCTCTCTCATTACTTGGGTAGAAAGGGGATCAAAACAGCCCCCCACGCCCTCAGCCAACAGGCCAGAACTGTGGCTATTTGGAGAGTGGACCAGACCACAGAGGACTGTTTATTCATCTCCCTCCACCCTGACAGCAACCCCCTTTCCCTCACGCTGGGTACCTCAGCTGCTGCAGGAGCCCAGGTGGCCCCTCTCACCATCTGGGCAGCAGGTCCTTGACAACACAGGCCTGCTTTGGAGTAGATCCCTTTGCTTCCTAATTATTACGTCATTCATGAGAGAGGGTCACTGGACAGGAGTCAAAATCTTTAGTCATCCATAAGAGAAGCCACTTCAATATAAAGATTTCACTGCTGAGCAAATAAATCCTGTAACAGAGACACCTACTTAGTAACTAAAAGGTGATCATCCCAGAGCACATTAGTCCAGCACCAGTACCCAGGAGCAGGTGGCTCAGAGCACCGCGGTCTCCAGAACCGAGAATGTGTACCCTCCTCATGTGTGTGATAAAGAAGAGGAGAAAGGCAGATCACACAGCTTGCCTATTACATGACAGGCAGGGAGCTGAGCTTACAGGACCTGCTGACATGTCTAAGCACCACAGCAACCTTAGCAAGGAAGTGTTATTGTTATTTCCATTGTACAGATGAGAAGACGGAGGCCCAGAGACTCTAAATGTACCTCCAAAGATCACCAGTCAAACACACAGCAGGGCTGAGATGGGGCTCCTGAGAAGGGCCCAAAGCTACATGTCTGCTCTCTGGATCATGGTCCTGGCCAGGGAGCCTCCTCTGGGAGTCTGCAGCACTGGCTTCTGTGGGCTGTGGGAGGCTTGTTTTTATTTCCAAAAAATAAGAATCCAGCAACCAAATGTCACAGAACTAGACAGAATAGAATTAGACAGAATAGAGGTAGTTGGTTCTAAATGATTTTTGGTTTCCTTTTCAACATAATTACAGAATTTTATTCCTTATTTTTTAATCTCCTTAGACTAACAGAAAAAAAGGAAGAAAGTCTTGGGGATATTTCTCTCTAAAGCTCCCTCTCCCATAGGTGATTGTCTGAATTAGAGATGCTTGGTTCACAAAATGTAGAGGGAAAAAATGTCATATTGTAAATTGAAATAACTTGACCCACATAATTAGGTATAAAATATAAAACTGATATAGAATACATAATTCACATGAAGTGTAATAGCTTCCCTGTTTATAGAAAACATACAAAACCTGAATGAGGATGAACTCTCAACCCTACTTTCTATTGGTATCCTAATCTGGGTTCCCTGGTAGTTTGTACAGGCGTCTGGTATCTTTTGTAGAAAAATGTTCATGTAGTGGGTTCACTTAGTCACATATACTGCTATCTACTAAATGTTCGTGTCCTCCCAAAATTCGTGTGTTGAAAGTCGACTCCCCAAGGTGATGGCTTTATGAGGTGGGGCCTCTGGGAGGAAATTAGGTCATGAGGGTGGAGCCTTCGTGATGAGATTAGTGCCTCATGAAGAGAGGAAGAGAGATGCCCGCATCCTGAGAGGACACAAGGAGAAGGTGGCCTTCTGCACACCTGGAGGGGCCTCACCAAGAACCCAACCAGACTGGCCCACTGACCTTGGCCTTCCAGCCTCCAGAACCGTGAGAAGTCAATGTCTGTTGCTTGCAAGCCCCCACTCTATCCTGAATTCTCTTCCACTCCAGGGACAAGGTATTCTGTTAGAGCATCCTGAGCTGACTAAGACAGACACCCTTGTCCACTTTTTTATGCTCGCTAGAAAGGTTTTCACGCTCGCTAGAAAGGTTCCACGAAATAAAACCACTGGAAATTAAAATAGAAGCCTAACACACAGGTATGTGGGCACAAAGCAAAATACAAACACAGCCCCTGTCCTCCAGGAGGCCTTCCCCACCCTCTCCCCAGTGAGCCAAGGCTCTCACATGACCAAGCCTCTGGGTGGGAGCAGCTTCCAACACAAGTGATCGGGGTCTCCAGAACCCAAGCCCCCATCTCTTCCACTCCAGGGACAAGAGGAGGTGCCTGGGGCCTGGGTGCCATTCAGCTGGACTGATGCCCACAGCAGCCTACCGGCTTCTGGCTGTGCTTCCTGGCAGTCCTGCCCCTCCTGACCACAGCCTCCGAGGGAATGAGGAGGTAAGTGGCTCTCCCAGCTCATTTCCTCTGGACAGGTAGTAGAAGAGATCACGGGAACAAATTTAACCACCATGGGCCTGACTATTTCATCTTATTTCAGAAGGAATGTTTAATAAATGGTAACATTTTTCACTAAAAATGTTTATTAGTAGAAAATTATTTGAATTCATAATGTATTTTGGCTCCAAACATATTCATCAAGAAAAGGAGAATAACGGCCTCACCTTTTTCAGCCAGGCCTTGTTGTCTCCTATCCCCAAGTCAAGACTGAATGATTAAAAGCAGAATTGTAGGGAAAAGCCTCTAGTCCCAGCACTCAGAACATGGTCTGGCAGGAGAACAGCTGCCCCAATTTACCCCAAGGCACTGAAGTATCCCGGGTCTCTTCCTTGGTCCTAACTGATGGCTACATTCAATCCAGTGAGTTGGCCACATGCTAACTTTATTCATGGAGACATGGGTTCTGGAACGAGGCAAGAAGGAGGCTCCAGGTGGACGCCCGGGTAAGATGACAGCTGCTCACACCACACTCACCTTGACTGCAGTTCAAACCAGACGCGTGCAGAGTGGGTTACTTTAAGCATCTACTGAATTCAATATGAGTCATGTTCATTCTCTTTTATTGTACTGAGTTATTATAATCTGCCCTCAATTCATATTCCAGGTGGTTAAACACCATTTTTAACCTCAAAGTTAGACTGAATTATGACATACAATTTCCTACAATAAAATTGAATTTTACTCCATTATAATAAAAGTCAATGTTTCCATTTTTCCTGAAAAAATTAATCTAAAATTATTCTGCTTCTTGTCGATCATTTTCATATATTAAAAAAGTATTTTTACTAGAATTGGAAGAGCTGGGAGAGCCTATTGATGTCTTCACTGGTATGATATGATTTATTGTACAGTCAGCTTTATTATTTACTTGGATGAAAATTGGATTTTTGTATGAGAAAATCTTATGAACCTCAGGTAAATGAGAGTAGCATTACAGTTTCTCCATCTATGGTTTAGATCAGACAATGAAGTAGAAAAAATCTTTAAGTTAAAAAAATTTAATATGTTTCACAACGTTTAGATAATTGGACCATTCTTTCCTTCATATAACTGTGGAAAAATCAATACTATTTAGATATTCTCTGTCTACCAAGCAAAACCTAAAAGTGTTACAATATCAAACAAATGAATAAATAAAAAGGAAAATGACAGTAAGTTAAATCCTCTATTTTCAATTCCACAGCCAGGATATGAGGGATTTTCTAGGATGTCAGCCTTGACCAGCCCCTGCCTTTCATCTCCAAAAGACATTTTCTGGGAGTCACTAACGTTGGGTTTTCAAACCCACATTCATGAATTATAGCAGATAATCCAATGACATTCAGAAATTGACAGGTGACTTCCCTCAGGTCTAAAATCTCCTTGGAATGGACCAAGCCCTCTTCTGCCTCCTGCTCCTCTTCTCCCTACCCCGCTCACAACACTTTTATCAGAGGAGCTTCAAAGCTTCAAGCTTTGTTCTGCAAAGAAAACCTTGCTGCTCCAGCAGCCTGCAAAGTCATCCATGTTATTGTGACTTAGTTATCATTAGTTTAACTACAGTTATATTATTATGTTGAGCATATGGCACTGAACATATAGAACTGTTAGAGGATTTTTTGAAAATGTAAATGTTTGGAAAATACTTTGAAA
Organism: Homo sapiens; assembly: GCF_000001405.40. Lineage (NCBI taxonomy): Eukaryota > Metazoa > Chordata > Mammalia > Primates > Hominidae > Homo > Homo sapiens. Next base: position 27,231,224 of record NC_000015.10, on the reverse strand, counting down.
TATAAAGGCAACTTTATAAGTTCTTGGTTTATTGATACAATAGCTCCAGTGTAGCACTTGTATGTATGTACCTAAAAACGTAGGTTTGAGATATGGATATTTGATATTTCCTATAGAATAAGTGTTTTTAAAATTTTTCTATTTTCTTGAATTTCCTTTAATATTAGGAAGAAATCACACACACACACACACACACACACACACACACACACACATTTTACTGTTTTAAACTTGGCTCAACCACTTAAAATATAGTTTAACAATTACATTCACTATTCAAAGGACCAAACAATAGCCCAGATTTTAGCTGCTCCTCACCCTGCTGCATGGTACTTTGCAGCCAGTTCTTAATGACACACTACAACAGAATGGTAAACTCAGGGCTGTAATTTGTAAAATTTATTTTTAGACACTTAATTTTTTTTTCTGAGCTAAGTCGTTTGGTGGCTTAATACCAAAAGTAAAAATAAATAAATAAGTAGATCACAATAGAAGCATTTCCCATTTTCAAATGGCAGCTATTCCAAAGAGGGTGGGGTAATTATTTTCTTCATTCTTAAAGGGTGAAATGAAACAGAGGAAACCTATTCACCCAAACCATAAGCAAATGGTTTAAAATAAAGCATATGCAAACTTTACAAACATATACAAATTATAAAAGCCTATGCTTCATTTTGCATATAGAACACATATTTCTAGGGAAAAAAATCTATAATTAAAAAATAACAGTAACAGGAGTAATATCTAATACAGAAAGTAAGAATAGCAATGAATTAATTGTGCCCTCTGAGGTCTGAGCACATAAAGGGTATGTCTTCCATACCCCTCCTCGGCCGTCTATAGTGACATTCTGACAGGTAGAAAATAGTCAAAATATGTGGAAATAAACTGACTATTTTTTTAAAAACCAGGTAGTTTGAGCTGTAGATCAAGTTCAGGTGATTACCATTATAGTGCATCTCAGAATCATTCTACAGGTTTGGTTCGATTTATATGAAGTTCAGAATTTTATGTTATTACAACCAAACTGAGAGTCAAATCAGAAAGGCAATCCCATTTACAATTGCCACACACACACTAAATAAAATACCTAGGAATATAGCTAACCAGGGAGGTGAAAGATCTCTACGATGAGAACTACAAAACACTTTTTAAAGAAATCAGAGAAGACACAAACAAATGAAAAACTTCCCATGCTCATGGATAGGAAGAATCAATATTAAAATGTCCATACTGTCCAAAGAAATTTACAGATTCAAGCCTATTCTTACCAAACTGACAACAACATTCTTCACAGAACTAGAAAAAAATATTTTAAAATGTATATGGAACCAAAAAAAGAGCCTGAATAGCTGAGGCAATCCTAAGGAAAAAGAACAAAGCTGGAAACTATACTACAAGGCCACAGTGACAAAAACAGCATGGTACTGGTACAAAAACAGGCACATAGCTGGGCGCAGAGGCTCAGACCTGTAATCCCAGCACTTTGGGGGTCCGAGGCGGGCAGATCACCTGAGGTCAGGAGTTAGAGACCAGCCTGGCCAACATGGTGAAACCCTGTCTCTACTAAAAATGCAAAAATTAGCCGGGCGTGGTGGTGCACCCCTGTAATCCCATCTACTCGGGAGGCTGAGGTGGGAGAATTGCTTGAACCCGGGAGGTAGAAGTTGCAGTGAGCTGAGATCACACCACTGCACTCCAGCCTGAGTGACAGAGTGAGACCCCCTTCTCAAAAAACAAACAAACAACAACACACACACACACACACACAAAAAACCTAGGCACACAGACCAATGAAACAGAATAGAGAGCCCAGAAATAAGGCTGGCTGCACATCTATAGCATCTGATCTTTGACAAAGCTGAAAAAAACAAGCCATGGGGAAAACTGCCTATGCAATAAATGATATAACTGGGATATAACTGAGATAACTGGCTAGCCATATGCAGAAGATTGAAGCTGAACTCCCTTCCTTATATCATATACAAGAATCAACTCAAGATGGATTGAAGACTTAAATGTAAAACCCAAAACTATAGCAACCCTGGAAGACAACCTAGGCAATACCACCCTGGACATAGGAACGGGCAAAAAGTTCGTGACAAAGACACCAAAAGCAATTGCAACAAAGGCAAAAATTGACAAGTGGGATCTAATTAAACTTAAGAGCTTCTGCACGGCAAAAGGAAATATTAACAGATTAAACAGACAACCTACAGAATAGAATAAAATATTTGCAAACTATGCATCTGACAAAGGTCTAATATCTACCATCTATAAGGAACTTAATAAAATTTACAAGAGAAAAACAAAAAACCCCATTAAAAAGTGGGCAAAGGACATGAACAGACACTTCTCAAAAGAAGACATACATGCAGCAAACAAACATGAAGAAAAGCTCATCATCACTGATTATTAGACAAACGCAAATCAAAACCACAATGAGATACCATCTCACAGCAGTAAGAATGGCTATCAGTAAAAAGTTGAAAAATGACAGATACTGGCAAGGTTGCAGAGAAAAGGGAACCCTTATACACTGTTGGTGGGAGCATAAATTAGTTCAACCATTCTGGAAAGCAATAGGGGGATTCCTCAAAGAGCTAAAAGCAGAACGACCATTCAACGCAGCAATCCCATTACTGGGTATATACCCAGAGGAATATAAATCATTCCACCATAAAGACACATGCATGTGCATGTTCATTGCAGCGCTGTTCACAATAGCAAAGACATGAAATCAACCTAAATGCCCATCAACGGTAGACTGGATACAGAGAATGTGGTACATATATACTATGTAATACTATGCAGCCATAAAAAAGAATGAGAACATGTCTTTTGCGGGAACATGCATGGAGCTGGAGGCTACCACTCTTAGCAAACTAGCACAGGAACAGAAAACCAGATACCGTATGTTCTCATTTATAAGTGGGAGCTAAATGATGAGAACTCACGAACATGAAGAAGGAAACAACAGATACTGGGGTCTGCTTAAGGCAGGAGGAAGAGGAGCAGAAAAGACAACTATTGGGAACTGAGCTTAATACCTGGGTGATGTATTAATATGTACAACAAACCCCCAGGACATGTGTTTATCTATGTAACAAACCTTCACATATACCCCCAAACCTAAAATAAAAATTAAAATAACAAAATTATGTATTATTTCATTGGTGCTAAAATGTTTTATTTATTTTACATTTAGTGTGTTTTCACAGGCACTAAGCATTATCCTTCATTTAACCCTTTTGAGCATTTAAAAATTTTAAAACATGCACTAAGACAATTAAAAATATTTGTTCCTAATTATGAGCAAAAATAAAACCAGCAGTTTCATGTGATGTATCAAGATGATGAAGAAAAACATGCTGGGTAGGCTGGCATATTCAAATAATTGCCTTAGCATCTGTTATTTTTCAAAAGTAGTTATGGTGGAATAAGGTTTCCTGAAATTTCCTTATTTCCATGGGTAAAATCTAGTAATTAAATTTTGTAGATAAAAAAAAATTGCCATGGTTGTTTTCTTTTTTTTTTCTTTAGAAATAGAGTCTCACTGTCACCCAGACTAGATTGCAGGTGCAATCACAGCTCACTGGAGTCTTGAACTTCTGGGCTCAAGCAATCCTCCTGCCTCAGCCTTCCAAATAGCTAGGACTACAGGTGCATGCCACCACGGCCAGATAATTTAAAAAATATATATTTTATTACATTTTTTATTTTTTTGAGACAGAATCTCACTCTGTTGACCAGGCTGCAGTGCACTGGCACTATCATGACTCACTGCAGCCTCAATGTCCTAAGGCTCAGGTGATCCTCCCCCCTCAGCCTCCCAAGTAACAAAGGACTACAGGTGCACACCACCACGCCCAGGCCCAGGTAACTTTTCTGTTTTTGGAGGAGACAGGGTTTCGCCATGTTGTCCAGACTTGTCTCAAACTGAAATCCTGGGTTCAAGTGATCCTCCTACCTTGGCCTCCCAAAGCCCTGGGATTACAGGCATGAGCTACGAAGCCTGGCCTGTTTTTATTTCTTAATTAATTGTGTAATTACTACATGTTCTAATTTCTGTTAATGAACTTGATACCTTAGTGTTAAATCAACAACATTCTATGCAAGTTAAGCCTGAAGGACACTTAGAGACCTCACCTTACAGGCGGCTGGCTGTTTATGCACCTCATGTGAAACATGGTTTACTTTCCTTTTTCTTTCAGTTTTTTTTCCCTGATATCAACGTTTTATTAAAGGAGAATAAAATGTTCTTTGGGGATAAATAGTACTGCTTTAGGAGGCAGAGGCCTGGCTTTTTGTTTCTTTTCTGAAAGTGAGGGACAACGTATCCTAGGCCAAGTCCCTCTAGGCCTCATTTGTTCCAGAGAGTAAAGTGAGTACTAGATAAGATGCTGGCTATGGCCAAAGGGACAAGGTGCCTGCCAAGAAGTGGGGAGCATTCCTCTGTCCCCATCTCTCAGGGCCAGAGGGGGATCTGCTGGTCAGGAGAGTTATGTGCCCGTCACTCCAGGAACCAGAGACCTGGTGAATGCACTGGCTGAAAATGGCAGCCAACTGCCCCGCATAGTGCCCGTTTGCTGGGGGAAGCACCGGTGGCTCCTCTGAAGCCCGGGGCATCCGGATGGCAGCCCACAAGTCACCACTGAGTGGTGGCTCAGGCCGGGAGCAGGAGCTGTGCAGGGTTCTCCTCTCCACACATCACTTTGGCCAGCTTGCCTGGGGCCCAGCCAGTGTCCTGCATCAGCATGGGCCACGTCGTCTCTGAAGCTGGGTGAGGACACTGCGGTCCCACCCCCTCCACTTAGTGGCCGCGATTTGCTTTGACCTGGACCAAGCTCACCGGGAGTACAAAGCTCATGTCATCCTCCCTGACCACGCTCAGTCCCTGAGAGCACATTGTCCATGTCAGCAGCACCCGAGCCTGTCCCTTGAGTTCCTGGATGCTGCAGTGAGAGGTATGGACCTGTGCCCTGACAGTCACCTGAGGGCATCACCAGGGTGCCTGTGCATCCATACCCAGGAGTGCCAGGTCCTCATCCCTGGGCGCTCTATTCTCACCCCTCTGCCAGCTCAGGGCCCTACTGACTTTCAGCCCCTCTCTGCCCTGGCCTCAACCTCTTGCCTATTTGCATCAACTCACGCCTGCCTGGGACATCCCAGCACCAAAAGCATCCATGTTGCCATTTCTGTGCCTGTGCCTGCCTGCAAGACACATCCAGAGAAATAAATGCAAAAAGTGGTCATCATTTCCAAAGGGAGCCCCTAATCTGCCAATCATCTTAGTCACAGGCTCTGGGTCTCTCATCTGGGCTCCTCCTCCTCCCCTGGAAGCTCCGGCCATGTGGAGTCTGTTCTTAGGGCTCCCTCTCCATCTGCAGCAGCCCACATGCACTTCCTGTGGGCACCAGCTCTCTCAGCACCCTATTCTGATGGAGGACTTCTCGAAGACCAGGGCAGGTGGAGGGCACCTGTTAGAGGGCAGCTGCCAACTTTAGATGCATTTTACTAGACAGGCTACAAAGTCCCTCACACCATTCCTGGGCCATGCCCTCAATAGCCTGGTGGTGGGTAGGGAAGCAGGATTCCATGCTTGCCTCTTCATCCCTCTGGGTGGAAGGCAGGTGGGAAGCATAGAGGGAATGAACAACCCAAATGCCCAGCATTTCTCCCTTAGATTCTTCTTCAGACAGGAATGAAAAACATCATAAATCTTGATCTACAGGTAAACTTACTCCGACTTTATAAGTAAAATCGTCAGACTAAACAATCGGCAGCCCACCCTTGTAAGTAAAATCTTCAGACTAAACAATTGGCAGTCCACCCTAAGCACCGGCTCCGATTCTGCTACCTGCCTGCCTCCACGTGGAGGGGGGCGGGGAGGTGGCGGCTCCAGTTCTGCTACCTGCAGGGCGGTGTCTGGGAAGCGAAGGCAACTGTGCTTTAGTTTATGGGCACTGTCATGGGAAGGACAAGGGAAGACAGCTTTCAGGTATATCTGTTGTTTTCAATTAAAATTATAAAAGCCTGTGTACTACATTGTGATTATTTTAAGTCAGTCAACAGAATTAAGATACTTCAGTTAGGAAGAACAAATCATTTGATGATTAATCACCAAATAAATGTGATGACCACACCCTGGAGGAAGGAAGAAGGAACTCTAGTCTTTGTCAGAGCAACAGAATGAGGTGGGAGCTTCCAAGGAGGGTGAAGACTCTCCTCACCCCAGGCGGTGGGTGGCACCAGAGGCATCCACCATTCCTAGCAACTGAGTGACCATGTTCAGCTCCCCTCCTGGAAGGAAACCTAGGGTCCCATTAAATAATGCTTCCTACAGAAATGGCTATGAAATGCTTAGCCTTGTGAATGAAAGAGGAGCTCCATTAAGCTCACAAATAGCACTGCCAGAATGATAGATGGAATACACTAACGTTATCCTATATGCACAGCATGCAAGAAAGTTTCATTGCAGGGATGTGAAAATAATCAAATCTGTTACTTCTTAACCTTTCCATCTTAAATACCTGAGAGATCAAATACATTCTCATCATAAGTCGTGACTGTGGCAATTCCTTGCTAGGACAGTGAAAAGCATTGCAAGAAGAACCTGTTGAAATCCAGTCCACTCGCATTCAGGTGAGGAAACTGAGGCACAGAGAGGATGCCTTGCATGACATCACCCTGGGCTTTAACACAGACAACTGGAGGCTACCCCATCAGCCAGCACTGCCAGTGCAGGTGGGAGAAAGGGCAGGCCCAGGTGAGGACCTGCTTCCTGGGTAGCTGTGAGGGTCAGGTAGCATTAGACATTATTTAGGTTCTCAAAGAACCACTTCCTATGCAGCTGGTAAGGCTGGCTAACACTACTCAGCATTTCAGGCCTTCTAAGAAAACGGTTCTGCACTTAGGGAAACTAAAATCCAGATTTAAATTTAGCAGCTTGGTGAAAACATGATCTTTTCCTTTGAAAAATGTTTTACTTCTTAGGTGCTGGCACACACGGAAAGCACCGGGGATGAAAACATGCGGCACCCCCAAACCCCTGGCCTCAGCAAGGCCCTCACCGCCATGCAGGGAGCAGCCCGGGAAGTTGGAGGCCACTGGGAGCTCAGTCCACGGCTTCCACGTACATCACCTGGTACTTCCTCGGAGCTCAGTCCACACGCTCTGGGTACCCCACCCAGGTGCCAGGCTTCTCACCTGCATCTTCCCCTCTCCAGCTCCAGTGGGAGAAAGGGACTAAAGGGAAGGCAGACATACAGTGTTAAGGAACAGCACACCTTACACCCAGACAGGTTCTGAAATTTATCTCAAAGAAATGATCCAAAATACAGAAGAGATGGTAGAGGCAAGTGTTCTGTAACACAAAAAGGGGGGCAATCAGTGTGCCTGCAATGAGGACGTGGGTCAGGAGGGTCAGGGGCAGCACTCACTGGGTTCACCTGAGTGTTGCCCAGCAGGGGAGGCAAGAGCACAGTGAGTGTGAAGTGTGGCACGGGGGACAAGGTACTAGACACCTTTCCATACCCATCCGTCTGTCCAGCATCATTATCTGCACATCTAGTATTTTAAACATTTTTGCAAACCCTACAGAAATGTGAGAAGTGGCTGTGTTACAGTAGTAAGATTGTGAATCTTTTAAATATTATTTTCTTCATATTCCATTTTTTTTGTAATGCCTTTCTGAAGCTGGCCCAAGTGTCCCACATAAATATTTATGAGTTTTTAAGTAAACATAGAAATTGACCCTCTGGTCTTAAAACTTGAAGCTTACATTTGTCTCATCTGAGTTCCTTCCTCAGGAAATCCACCCTCCAGCAAAGAACTGAAACTCATCAGATTGCCGTATCCAGGCTCCTCCTCCCTGGCAATACTTGTCTCAGCGATTGGCTTTCTGTGCAGCATGCAAGGGACCTAGACAGAGTCCCTGGCCTTTTGGTAACATTTCTATTATTTCAGTAGAAAAAATATATTCTAATTATTAACTGCTCTCAGATTTTGACACAATAAACAAAATACTACAGTTGCTGATAAGAGAATTTCATCAGGGCTGACCCACATTAATATTGGATTAAAATGAAATGCTATAAAGATACAAATGGATGTTGCATCTTTAAATTATTCACAGCCTCACTTTTCATCCTTTTAAAATGAATGAATCATGACTTTGGATTATACCATATCTATCCTCAGAAAAGTAAATAAGAATCAACAAAACTTGTGAACAAAGGAAGAAGTGGGAGAATCTCTTATGCTTGAAAGTTGATTGTTTTCATTCCACTCTGGCCTCTGGATGTCCAAGTATGGCCAGGATTCTGAAGTGAGACTGTGTGGAGAATTAAGGCATGGCCACTCTGTGTGTTCCAGGGCCGTGGGGAACCATTCCCAGGAGAGTGCACTCACTGGACAGCAGCCAGTGGTCTCCCGGGAACACTGCAGTCGCCATGGCTGGAATCAGAGGACCATGATATCTGGTTTGTAATGAGTCATGTAGAGCATCTAATTAATGTAAGAATCCACTCCAAGACTTCTTAAGGTCTTAATCACACTCATGGGCACAGAGCTCCTCTCTTGGGGTTGTGCATTCTGTCCTTTGCCATTTCTAGTTCTTAGGTCATTGTTTACACTGAGAGACTAAGTGACTAAGTTCCTGCAATATGCACCCATGACTCAAGTACCCGAATCAAAGTACTTGGAATCCAAAGTCCATGTCCTCTACTAATTCACTTTAGAAAATAAGGAGTTTGCTTGTGGATCTTTTGCAGAAAGTTCCAGCATGAAGTCCAAGGTCCAAGAGGAATCATATTAATAGTAATTATAGGTAATACTTATTTGGTATTAAGTATCTCTCAGGTACTCTTCTAAGCACTTTGGATCTCTGTAAAACAACTTCTTCTGTTCCCCCATTTTGCATGTGGGTGCACTGCTGCCTTAGATGGCATTGCCAGTAAATGATGAAGCCAGCATTCAAGCCTGCGCAGCTGGCTGGGACGTCTCTAGCTGCTGACTCTCAACTGTGAAAGAGGAGAGGGGTGATTCCACCCAGGTGTAGCACTCACAAAGCAGAGAGCCATTTGGGGCATCTTCTGTGGAAGAACGTGCTAGAGATTTAAGGGACTAAGGTTCTCCAGGAAGAAAATGAGGAGGGAAGAGATAATGGGATTGAGGAAAATTTGCCTTTTGAAAGGCAGAAAGAATATATTAAAGATTTTTAAAAATAATGTAGAACTTCAGCTCAGGAAAACCAAAAGCACCTGCTATCCTCAAACTAAATGGATTTCAATCATGTAGCCCATTTGGGGACAATCATACAAACTCCTAGTGCATGGCTTTACCAAAAAAATATAGATAGAAAACAGCATCTTCATCATCTTTATTTGCCATCTGGATGAGCAAGGTCATTTTGTTGACCTTAAATTTTGAGTTCTTGAGAAACACAGGAAAGAAATGTTTTATGAAACTAAAACAGGCTACGTTGATCCAGACAAATACAGGAGAAATTATTAAGGGCCATTTAGACATTCTAGAAAACAGCTACTTGGTTGTAACAAGACAAAATTCACAGAGACAACTGGAAATATGATTTAGATCAAATGTTTGATAGGTAAGCCATGGGAGCCCCCCAGCCTTTGTACCCCAAGGGACTCTCCGGGTCTCTCTGAGAGACCACCTTGAGAATGGCATCACTTTAAACAGGCTAATTTTCTGTGTATTTTCAAACTAAAAATTAGCACCCATGCAGTCTACCTTAGTTTAGTTTGTGGTTGTTGATTGTTTTTGTTTTCTAATTTCCTCAACTCTTTTTCAAATCATGTGGTTATCAATATGCTTTGTGATTTAAAGTTAGAAAGTACAGTAACATAAACTAATAACGCATGGGGAACTGGCTGGTCTTCTCACTCTTTTGCAAGCAGATGGCAAGAGAATAAAACCTTGCTCTACCAGATCAGCACACTGTCCATCAAGGAGCATAGCAAATGTCTACAAAAAAGGTCACTGAAGAAAGGAGAAGCATCATGCTTCTGTCTCTCTGAACAGGTCGATCTCTCTCAAACGTCTCATAAGATTTTAATCATCTGTTTTGTAAAATGCCCCATCTAGTTAGAGCATGTTCTGACTCCCCTTAATTAATCCTATAAGCTTGAGCAATTTCCTCCCTGAATCTTGTTTATTAAGGACATCATAATATTTATTGAATAAAAGGCAGAAAAAAGAAAAAAAAAAGAAGCAATTCCAGGTTCATCCAATGGAAAGGTTGAATAATGCTTTGCATTATTGTCCATTCTGAAGATCGAACTGAATACTTGATCTGCGATTACTGATTACAGCTAATGAAGATGATGAAACAGGGCAGAGATCCCCCTTAGGGCCCTGCCACCCCACCCTCGGCATGGAAATAAAGGAAAAATCTTGAATCCTCAAGTTCTGAGTCCCTTCCAGGGAAATTCCAGGCACCCAGTGACCCCAGAGAAATAAATGGGCAACCCAATAGGCAAGAAGACAGTAGGAACTTAAGCAACAGTCTCCAAACAGGTTAGAGTTGCAGATGTTCTAGGGACTCTATAGAACATCTTAGCATATGTTCTTGAGTTGTTTTTCAGAAACCCAGGCCCCTACCAGATGGAAAATGCCCACTGCTGTCACATCACACAGTCCTCAGATAAGGGGGAAACGGGACTGAATTCTGACCACGTTCTTTGTTCTAAATTTCTTCCTGAGGAGCCTAAAGAAGGTCACGTCTACAGGCCATCACTCTTGCTAATCTGGCCCCGCATACTGTGGCTTACCCTGGTGACCTGACTCTGGTATAACACCACATGACAATCACCAGGGTTCCTTATCCTAACTACCATATGTTAAGGTCAGCCCTTAACATTCCTTTCTGCTCACCTCAAATCTTTTAGACAAAGCTTTGGTTCCTTAACCAACTATAAATAAAAGAATCTCAATCTATCTATGACCTATAAACTCCCACTTCAAGATATCCCACCTTTTTAGGCCAAACCAATGTACAACCTCCATGTGTTGATATAAAATTTTGCCTGTAACTTCTGCTTTCCTGAAATGTACCCTGCCTTTAAAAACTCTTGCCTGTAAGCCATCAAGAAGGTCAGGTTAGGTGTGAGCTGCCCATCCTCCTTGTTGGGTGCCCTGTGATAAATGCCTCTCTCTTGCTGCGAATCCCAGTGACAGTATTTGGTCTTGTCTGCATGCTGGGTGAGCCGACCCAAGTTCAGTTTGGTGACAAGAAGAAGCATCCCCTACTAACTAGTAAAATGACCACCCTCCTCTATTGCTGGTGAAGAATAAGGAGTCGTTCTTATGAAAAACAGTTGCACAAGTCCCTGCAAATACAGACACTGATCTAATTAATGCATTTCTGAAAACATGTGTTAAGTAAATCATACTAATTGTAGGCAGATGTTTTATAGGCAAGGCGAGGAGGGAACAGGCATTCAGTTTTCTGGACTCTGTAACCACTGATGCTCCAGTCCCTGGTGGCACTCCCCGTTAGGCACACCCAACAGTGGCCAGCCAGCAAGAGTCTGGGGGCTGCAGCTGGGAGGTTGGGCGCTGTCTGCCTGGTGGGCACAGAGGTGCTGGGCACAGGTGGGGAGGACTAAGGAGGGTGTGGACAGAGGGGTGGGATGCTGCATCCAGGGCCACAGGATCCATGGACATGACCACTGTCCTCGTCCTGCCCACCCTGAGCTGCCCCATCACAGGTGCAGGAGCTGGACTGTGGGGTGGAAAGAGGCAGACCCACAGAATGTGTCTCACTCAGTTCCACAACTTAAAAACCATAAAGGGAATGGAGGTTATCTTGCCCAGACCTTATCTGACTCAGAGTAAGGGAGGGATTGAGCCCAAATTGGACTCTGCCTACCTTGGAGGAGCACAAACAATGGTCCCAAACTAAAACCCAGCCCGCCCCAAGGCCAGCCCGCCCTGAGGCCAAGAGCACTGCACACATGAAAATACTGGCTTCTCCACAGTGTAGAGCAATAGAAATAGAAAATAATATGGCACAGGGTCCCCTTGGGACTTGAAATCTGCGAGAGAGAATGATAACTAGCCAAGAGATAGCATATCAAAGACTCTGGGGTCTCAGGGGAAGAAGCTAGGACTTGGGGCTGTAGCCAGAGGAGAAGGCCAGGTCAGAGCACGCGTGGTTCCATTGGGAGATTGGTGGAGAGAATGCTTGCCCTCCCAGACCCCGGTATGGCCAGGGTCATCAGGGAGAGAGGAGACCAGGGGGATTTGCATCCATTTGTTCATTTCCTCATTACTCTGTGATTCACAATAATGGAAGCTAACTTCCTCTCCGTGTGTGAATGTGAATGGATGCAGAGCCTTTATCATACTGTGGGGTGAGGAAAGGCAGACTCCTCTGGAAGGTGACCTGGCCACGGTCACCACCCATTACCATCAGTCGCAGCGGTTCAAAATCAATGACATCTGACTCCCGAGCACTATGCTAAACCTCATTTCCTTATATGAAAAACCCAGCACATAAGATTTGCATTGAGGGTAGGAATGAGATGTGAGAATCACTCTCAGAGCTCGGCCTCAGCAGGGACAGGAGGCATCCAGCCAGGACACCACACTCAACTGAGTCAGACAGATGGGAACCGAGTGGAGACGCTGAGCAACGGAAACACAAGCAGCAGCAGCCCTGGGACATAAGCCTCCATCACTGCTGAGTAAAGGGGTTCAGAAGACATCACCCCAAAATATGTCACTTTGGGATGTGGATTATTTTGAGCAAAAGGTCATTGAGAATCAACAAGTGCAGAAAGATGCCTTCTCAGAATTCCCCTTTTCTGAATAAGAGCATAAAATTCTGAGAAATGAGGATTGCCATAAAACCCCTCTTAAGGGAGTTTCCTGCCACGAATAAGACAGAACGTTGACAACAGGGCTGGGTGCTTTTGTCACACCTGTGACTCTTAACACTTTGGGAGGCTGAGGCTGGACAGCCTGGGCAACATGGTGAGACCTCATCTTTAACAAATATTAAACATTAAAAAAAAATTAGGCAGGCATGGTAGCACACATCTGTAGGTAGTCCCAGCTGCTTGGGAGGCGGAGGTGGGAGGATCACTTGAGGCTGGAGGGTGGAGGCTACAGCGAGCTGTAATCGCAGAGTTGCACTCCAGCCTGGGAGACAGCGCGGGAAGCTCCCCTGCAGTTCGGAGAAGTGGGGAGGTTCCCAAATTCAGGTCACCTCTGAAGGCGACAGACTGGCCCTGGTTCTCCTCCGCCTCCCTACTCTGTCCCTGCGGCTGGTTTGCAGTTCACCCTCCTCCCATCAATAACCAGCTCAGGGAGAGGCAGGACAGCCGTCCCGCTGGGAAGAAGGCACCTGTGGCGACTTGGCCTGTGTCTAACCTCAGGGTGTGCCCACACGTGACCTTGCCAGGAGAGGACAGCCAAGTCCTCTTTTTGACACTATGTGTGCCTATGTTGAGAGTAGAATGTTTTGCTTTCCTTCGTCCCTCTGTGTGTGCCAGTGACTCAAATCGTAGTGAGAGTGCACTTAACTATGATACTCGTTGGTGTGTAAAATACAAAGCACTACATGGAGTAAGAAAGGGTGAGATACAAAATTCTGAGGCCACAGCACGGAGCAGGATCCTGGAGGCTCCCTGCTGGGCTGGGCAGAGCTTTCATTTCTAGAACCTGGGGCAGATCCCACAGGACAATAAAAATGGACAAGACCATCAGAAGGTCCCATGTAGGGCCAGGAAGCCAGGGCAGTGGGGCCAGTGTCTCAGAAGCATGATACCCACTGGTGGGTGAAAAGAAACAGAAGAGACATCAAGCTCTCCGTCAGATACCTAGAGCAGTGTTGGCTGGGGCTTCACTTCCAGTCCACTGATCATATTACAAAGGGCCATAGGAGACACTCAAAAATTCCTTAATTGAAATGAATTGGTCATTTGGGTTGGTTCCAAGTCTTTGCTATTGTGAATAGTGCCGCAATAAACATACGTGTGCAAGTGTCTTTATAGCCCAAATGTCCAAGTGTCCAACAATGATAGACTGGATTAAGAAAATGTGGCACATATACACCATGGAATACTATGCAGCCATAAAAAATGATGAGTTCATGTCCTTTGTAGGGACGTGGATGAAATTGGAAACCATCATTCTCAGTAAACTATCGCAATAACAAAAAACCAAACACCGCATATTCTCACTCATAGGTGGGAATTGAACAATGAGATCACATGGACACAGGAAGGGGAATATCACACTCTGGGGACTGTGGTGGGGTCGGGGGAGGGGGCAGGGATAGCATTGGGAGATATACCTAATGCTAGATGACACGTTAGTGGGTGCAGCGCACCAGCATGGCACATGTATACATATGTAACTAACCTGCACAATGTGCACATGTACCCTAAAACTTAGAGTATAATAAAAAAAAAAATTAAAAAATAAATAAATAAATAAATAAAAAATAAAAAAAAAAAAAGAAATGAATTGGTCAGAAGTAATGGCAAGTTTAAAGCCTGGAAGATCACACTGGTAGAAACAGAAAAGGCATTCATCACAGCATGAGCTCTGCTTTGAGTTCCATTGAAATTTGGTGACTAACGATCGATTCCCAGGAGGGTGTTTCAGAAATGTGCGGTGGATTTGCCTTAAAAACACACGGATGGAGGTAAATGTCAGAATAAGCTGAGGATGTGCCTTGGTCATAAAGATGCTTTGCCTCTGCACTGCACCCAGGGCAACGGTCCTGCCTTGCAGATGTAGCTGTGGAATGCCCACTCCCTCTCCACTCCCAGCAGCTCTGCAGAGTGAACCCTGTGTGCAGAGGTGCTGGGCTGAGCTAGCTGCCTCTTTCCCATGTTCACTGTCTCTAAGGGTTACCACTTGTGGCAGATCCTCCCTTTTATTTTTTAAAAGCTAGATATACTTCACCTTCGCTCATCAAT